>NC_000004.12:48718075-49027499 GCF_000001405.40 Homo sapiens | reverse complement strand
TAAAGAAAGGAGAACCATCAACAGAGATTTCAAGAGACATATTATATTTATCATGCTATCCTTTTTCTTACAACTATTCATCTGTAATTAATTCTAGATGTCATCACTCCAAAATATGTTATTCCTTCATTCTTCTCAGGAAATGCCACCTCCCTTCATCCAGTTGCTCAAACCAAAAACATAGAAGTCTCCTTGATTCCTTCCTTCTCCTCACCCAACAACATCTACCCTCTCAGCCAATCCTATCGGTTCTACTTTCAAAATATATTCTAAGTCTATCCATTTATCTCCAACTCTACTTCCATTACACCAGCAAAGATCACCATCATCTCTCTATGAGACAGCTGAAGAAGCCTCAGAACTTATCTCCTTGCATCCGTTCTCATCCCCTTATAATCCATTTTTCACAGAGCAGCCAAATTGACATATATCATTTTTCTTCACTCTCCTGCTTGAGGCACTAGAGTGGCTTCCATTGCAAGTAAAATAAAATCAGCATGAGAATGTAAATTGGTACAATCACAATGGAAAACAGTTTAGAGATTCCTTAAAGAACTAAAAGGAGAACTACCATTTGATCCAGCAATCCCACTACTGGGGATCTACCCAAAAGGAAAGAAGGCATTATGTTAAGAAGACACTTGGACACACATGTTTACAGCAGCACAATTCACAATTGCAAAGATATGGAACCAACTTAAGTGCCCATCGACCAATGACTGGATAAAGAAAATGTAGTATATATGTACACCATGGGATACTACTCAGCCATGAAAAGGAACAAAATAATGTCTTTTGCAGCAACTTGGATGGGTCTGAATGCCGTTATTCTAAGTGAAGTAACTCAGGAATGGAAAACCAAATATCGTATGTTCTTACTTGTAAGTGGGAGCTAAGCTATGAGGATGCAAAGGCATGAGTTATACAATGAACTTTGGGGACTTGGAGGGATGGGTGGGAGGGGGTAAAGGATAAAAGACTACATATTGGGGATGGCAGGAAAATGACAAATAGGAGGCAAAACTAACTTGCAGCTCCCACTTCAACAGAGAGAGCAGCACACGGAGACCCACACCATGAACTTTTGCTCCAAGAACTACCACAGGAACATGCCAAGAAAGCCAAGGGAATCCACAGACCCTTTGAAGGAAGTGTATTGTTGCTGCAGGGTCCATGGGACAGCCAAGGAACTATGAGTTGGCTTGCTTTCTCAGCTGGGAGGCTTGTAGCCTGGGGCAAGTTCCTAGCCCTGCTCACCGGCTGCCTGGGCATAAACTCAGTGCTGTTGTGGGGGCACGGTTGGAGTGAGACCAGCCTTTCATGCTGTGGGTTGCATGAGAGCTGGGTGAGGCCTGTGGCTGCCGGCTTTCTCCCACTTCTCTGGAAACCTGTGTGAGACAGCAGAGGCAGCAATAATTCTCCTGGAAACATAACTCCATTGGCCTAGGATCCACACACCCATCTCCCACAGCAGCTACAGCCGGCCCAGCCCAACGAGAGTCTGAGCTCAGACACACCTAACCCTGCCCCTACCTGATGGTCTTTCTCTACTGGCCCTGGTAGCTGAAGAAAAAGGACATAATTTTGGGGGAGTTCCATGGCCCCACCCACCACCTGATCCTGCCTATACTACCACAGCTGATGTGCTCTTGAAAGTGCCACACCCTGGCTGGAGGCCAACAAAACCAGCACACTTAACAAAAATACAACCAATGACCCTCTCAGAGTATGCTTCACTCCTCTGCTACCTCGACTGGAGCAAGTGCTGGTATCCATGGCCAAGAGATTTGAAGATGGATCACATCATAGGATTTTTTGCAGATACTCCCAAGTACCAGCCCAGAGCCCAGTAGCTCTGCTGGGTAGCTAGATCCAGAAAAGAAATAATCACTGCAGTTCAGCTCTCAGAAAGTCCCATCCCTGGGGAAAAGGGGAGAGCACCACATCAGGGGAGCACCCTATGGGAGAAAAGAATCTGAAGAGCAGCACTTGAGTCCCAGATCTTCCCTCTGACATAGTCTACACAAATGAGAAGGAACCAGAAACACAATTCTATTAATATGGCAAAACAAGGATCTTTAACACCCCCAAAAGATCACACTAGCTCACCAGCAATGGATCCAAACCAAGATGAAATCACTGAATTGCCAGAAAAAGAATTCAGAAGGTTGACTATTAAGCCAATCAAGGAGGCACCAGAAAAAGGTAAAGTCAGACTTAAAGAAATAAAAAAAAAAATGATACAGGATATGAATGGAAAAATCTCCAGTGAAATAGGTAGGATAAATAAAAAACAATCACAACTTCTAGAAATGGACACGCTTAGAGAAGGGCAAAATGCACTGGAAAATCTCAGCAATAGAATTGAACAAATAGAAGAAAAAACTTCAAAGGTTGAAGACAAGGCTTTTGAATTAACCCAATCTGACAAAGACAAAGGAAAAAAAATTTAAAAGATAAACAAAGCCTCCAAGAAGTTCAGGATTATGTTAAATGACCAAACCTATGAATAATTAGTATTCCCAAGGAAGAAGAAAAATCTAAAAGTTTGGAAACAGATTTGAGGGAATAATTGAGGAGAACTTCCCTAGCCTTGCTAGAGATCTAGACAACCAAATACAAGAAGCTCAAAAAACACTTGGGAAATACATTGCAAAAAGATCACTACCTAGGCACATAGTCATCAGGTTATCTAAAATCAAGACAAAAAAAAAGAATCTTAAGAGGTATGAGGCAAAAATATCAGGTAACCTATAAAGAAAAACCTATCAGATTAACAGCAGATATCTCAGCAAAAACCCTACAAGCTAGAATAGATTAGGGTCCTATCTTTAGCCTCCTTAAACCAAAAAATTATCAGCCAAGAATTTTGTAGCCAGCAAGACTAAGCTTTCATAAATGAAGGAAAGATACAGTCATTAACAGACAAACAAATGCTAAGAGAATTTGCCACTACCAAGCCAGCACTACAAGAACTGCTAAAAGGAGCTCTAAATCTTGAAACAAATACTTGAAATACACCAAAATAGAATCTCCATAAAGCATAAATCTCACAGAACCTTAAAAAAACAACAACAAAATGAAAGAAAACCCAAGGTATTCAGGCAACAAATTGCACAATGAATAGAATAGTACCTCACGTCTCAATACTAACATTAAATGTAAATGTCCTAAATGCTCCATTTAAAAGATATAGAATGCAGAACTGGTAAGAATTTACCAACCAAGTTCCTGCTGTCTTCAAAAGACTCATCTGACACCTAAGGACTCACCTAAACTTAAGGTAAAGGGGTGGAAAAGATATTCCATGCAAATGGACACCAAAAGTGAGCAGGAGTTGCTATTTTTATATCAGACAAAACAAACTTTAAAACAACAGCAGTTAAAAAAGACAAAGAAGGACATTACATAACGATAAAAGGACTAGTCCAACAGGAAAATATCACAACCCTAAATATATATGCACCTAACACTGGAACCCCCAAATTTATAAAACAATTACTATTAGACCTAAGAAATGAGATAGATAGCAGCACAGTAACAGTGGGGACTCCAGTACTGCACTGACAGCACTAGAGAGGTCATCAAGATAGAAAGTCAACAAAGAAACACTTAAACAATACCCTAGAACAAATGGACTTAACAGATATTTACAGAACATTCTACCCAACAACTGCAGAATATACATTCTATTCATCAGCACATGCACCATTCTCCAAGATAGACCATATGATAGGCCATAAAACAAGTGTCAACAAATTTAAGAAAATGAAATTATAGCAAGTACTATCTCTCGGACCACAATGGAATAAAATTAGAAATCAACCGGGTGCAGTGGCTCATGCCTGTAATCCCAGCATTTTTGGAGGCCAAGGCAGGTGGATCACCTGAGGTCAGGAGTTCAAGACCAGCCGGACCAACATGGGGCGAAACCCCATCTCTACTAAAAATACAAAATTTAGCTGGATGTGGTGGTGCATGCCTGTAATCCCAGCTACTTGGGAGGGTGAGGCAGGAGAATCACTTGAACCTGGGAGGTAGAGGTTGCAGTGAGCCGAGATTGTGCCATTGCACTCCAGCCTGGGTGACAAGAGAGAAACTCCATCTCAAAAAATAAAAATAAAAATTGGAAATCAACTTCAAAAGGAACCTTCAAAACCATGCAAATATATAGAAATTAAATAACCTGCTCTTGAATGATCATTGTGTCCACAATGAAATCAGATGGAAATTTAAAAATTCTTTGAACTGAATGATAATAGTGACACAACCTATCAAAACCTCTGGGATACAACAAAGGCAGTACTAAGAAGAAAGTTCACAGCATTAAATGCCTGTATCAAAAAGTTTGAAACAGCACAAATAGAGAACCTAAGGTCACAACTCAAGGAACTAGAGAAACAAGAACAAACCAAACCCAAACCCAGCACAAGAAAAGAAATAATAAAAATCAGAGCAGAATTAAATGATATTGAAACAAACAAACAAAAATACAAAAGATAAATGAAACAAAAAGCTGTCTCTTTGAAAAGACATATAAAATTGATAGACTATTAGTGAGATAACCCAAGTAAAGAATAAGTTCAATTAGAAACAAAACAGACAATACTACAACGGATACCACAGAAATGCAAAAGATCATTCAATGCTACCATGAACATCTTTATATACATAAACTAGAAAACCTAGAGGAGATGGATAAATTTCTGGAAATATATAGCCCTCCTAGATTAAACCAGGAAAAAATAGAAACTCTGAACAAACCAATGAAAAGCAGCCAGATTGAAATGGCAATTTAAAATTGCTAACAAAAAAAAGTCCAGGAACAGACAGATTCACAGCTGAATTCTATCAGACATTCAAAGAAGAATTGGTACCAATCCTACTGACACTATTCCAAAAGATAGAGAAAGAGGGGATCCTTTCTAAATCATTCTATGAAGCCAGTATCACCCTAATACCAAAACTAGCAAAGGATGTAACAAAAAAGAAAACTACAGACCAATATCTCTGATGAATATAGATGCAAAAATCCTCAACATAATACTAGCAAACTGAATCCACCAGCATATCAAAAAGATAATCCACCATGATCAAGTGGGTTTCATATCAGGGATGCAGGGATGGTTTAACATCAGTAAGTCAATAAATGTGATACACCACATAAACAGAATTTAAAACAAAAATCACATGATCATCTCAATAGACACAGAAAAAGCAGTTGACAATATCCAGCGTCGCTTTATGATTAAAACCCTCAGCAAAATCGGCATAGAAAGGTCACACCTTAAGGTAATAAAAGCCATTTATTATAAACCCACGGCCAACATTATACTGAATAGGGAAAAGTTGAAGGCATTCCCCTGAGACCTGGAACAAGACAAGGATGCCCACTTTCACCATTATATTCAACATAGTACTGAAAGTTCTAGCCAGCACATTGAACAAGAGAAAAAAATAAAGGGTATCAAACTGATAAAGAGGAAGTCAAATTGTCGCTGTTTGCAGATGACATAATGGTATACCTGGAAAACCCCAAAGACTCCACCAAAAAGCTCCTAGAACTGGTAAATGAATTCAGCAAAGTTTCAAGATACAAAATTAGTGTACACAAATTAATAGCCCTGCTATACACCAACTGTGATCAGTGATAATCAAATCAAGAATTCAACCCCTTTTACAATAGCTGAAAAAATAAATAAAATAAAATATTTAGGAATATACTTAACCAAGGAGGTGAAAGACCTCTACAAGGAAAATTACAAAACACTGCTGAAAGAAATCTTAGATGACACAAACAAATGCAAACATATCCATGCTCATGGATGGGTAGAATCAATATTGTGAAAATAACCCTACTGCCAAAAGCAATCTACAAATTCAATGCAATTCCCATTAAAATACCACCATCATTCTTCACAGAACTGGAAAAAAATCCTAAAATTCATATGGAACAAAAAAAGAGTCTGCATAGCCAAAGCAAGACTAAGTAAAAATAATAAATCAAAGGCATTACATTATCCAACTTCAAAATACACTATAAAGCCCTAGTCACAAAAACAGCATGGTACTGGTATAAAAAAAGGCATATAGACCAATGGAACAGAGTAGAGAACCCAGAAATAAGCCAAATGATTACAGTCAACTGATCTTTGACATAGCAAACAAAAACATAAAGTGGAAAAGGACATTCTATTCAACAAATAGTGCTAAGATAATTGACAAGCCACATGTAGAAGAATAAAACTGGATCCTCATCTCTCACCTTATACAAAAATCAACTCAAGATGGATCAAAGACTTAGATCTAACACCTGAAACCATAAAAATTCTAGAATACGACATTGGAAAAACTCTTTTAAAATTGGCTTAGGCAAAGCCTTCATGACCAAGAACCCAAAAACAAATGCAACAAAACCAAAGATAAATAGATGGAGCTTAATTAAACTAAAAACTTCTGCACAGCAAAAGAAATAATCAGCAGACTAAACAGACAACTCACAAAGTAGGGGGAAATCTTTGCTATCTATACATCTGACAAAGGACTAATATCCAGAAGCTACAAGGAATTCAAACAAATCAGCAAGAAAAAAAAAATCCCATCAAAAAGTGAGCTAAGGACATGAATAGACAATTCTCAAAAGAAGATACACAAATGGCCAAAAAACATATGGAAAAATGCTCAACATCACTAATGATCAGGGAAATGCCTGATCAAAACCACAATGTGATACTACCTTACTCCTGCAAGAATGGCCATAATCAAAAAATCAAAAACTAATAAATGTTGGCATGGATGTAGTGAAAAGGAACACTTTTACACTGTCTGTGGGAAGGTAAACTAGTACAACCACTGTGGAAAACAGTGTGGAGATTCCTTAAAGAACTAAAAATAGATCTACAATTTGATCCAGCAATCACACTCCTGGGTATCTACCCAGAGGAAGAGAAGTCATTATATGAAAAAGATACTCACACATACATGTTTACAGCAGCACAATTTGACATTTCAAAAATATAGTACCAGCCCAAATGCCCATCAATCAACAAGTGGATAAAGAAAATATGATTTATATATATATATGTGTGTGTGTGTGTGTGTGTGTGTGTGTGTGTAATGGAATACTATTCAGCCATAAAAAATGAATAAAATAATGGCATTTGCAACAACCTGGATGGAATTGGAGACCATTACTCTAAGTGAAGTGACTCGGGAATGGAAAACCAAATATTATATATTCTTGCACGTAAGTGGGAGCTAAGCTATGAGGATGCAAAGGTGTAAGAATGATACAATGAACTTTGGAGACTCAGGAGACTCAGTTGCTTATTAAAGGGTGGGAGGGAGTGAGGAATAAAAGACTACAAATTGGGTACAGTTAAACTGCTCAGGTGATGACTGCACCAAAATCTCAGAAATCACCACTAAATAACATATTCACGTAACCAAACAGCACCCATTCCCCAAAAACCTATTGAAAAAAACGTGATCACAAAATAAGACTACATATTGGGTGCAGTGTACACTGCTTGGGTGACGGGTGCACTAAAATCTCAGAAATCACCTCTAAAGAACTTATCCACATAACCAAAAACCACCTGCCCAAAAACAATTGACAATGGCTAGGTGCGGTGGCTCACGTCTGTAATCCCAGCACTTTGGGAGGTCAAGGCAGGCAGATAACTTGAGGTCAGGAGTTTGAGACCAGCCTGCCCATCATGGTGAAATCCTGTCTCTGCTAAAAATACAAAAATTAGCTGGGCATGGTGGTGTGCGCCTGTAATCCCAGCTGCTCTGGAGGCTGAGGCAAGAGAATCGCTTCAACCCAGAAGGCAGAGGTTGCAGGGAAACGAGATCATGCCACTGCACCCCAGCCTGGGTTACAGAGTGTGAGATTCCATCTAAAACATTAAAAAAAAAACTATTGACATTAAAAATAATACTAATAATAAAATGAAAATAAATAAAAAATAAAAGCAGCACTTCTCACTGTGTTCTACAAGGCCCTGGTATGGCCCTCCCCAGCCTCTCCACGTCATCTTCTACTACTCTTCACCGAGCTTCAGCCATGCCAGTCACCCTGATGTCCCTCAAACACACCAGGTGTCGTTCTCCCTCAGTCCTTTATATGTGTTCCTTCTGCCAACATCCCAGGCCTCACAACTTTTTTCTCAACTTGCAAATTTCATCTCAAATGTCACCTCCTCAGACAGTTTTCTCTAATCCCCCATACCCAGTTACCCTCCATTCTACAATCCTGTTTCCTTCATGGCAGCTTGATCTAAAAGGAGACCATTTCTTTATTTGTTCTCTAAATACTATAATTCTCCCCTACTAGAATGCAAACTCTGGCAGGGCAGGTTCTTGTCCAACTTGTTTATATCTGTATCACTGGCACCAGGTAATAAAGAAACATTTGGTAATCATTAGCCAAATGAATGAATGAGCAAATGACCAAAAGAACAGGTATTAAATCCAATTCAAATAACTCCTTCCAAAAAGAATTCCTGGATGACATTAGGTATCCTTTTCTGATGGACATTATGTTGCAATAATAATGACCGACAGTTAAAGGAGCATGTAATGATGGTCTACTATTATCTACTTATTAAGAAATAGTTACTTAGTTCTGAATACCTGGCAAGCACTCTGTAAGTTACTGGAAGTACAAAGACCAAGAAGAGAAGCATGGTCTGTGTTCTCAGTGTAGCTTTTTATTCAAAATGAAAAATGTTCCCGCTAGTACAGATTGCTAAAATTCAAAGTCAACCCTCAACAATTTCTATTTTAACCAAAACTGTAACTCTGACTGCATTATGAAACACACTAGATTTTTTATCAGATCAGATAGAAAGCACAACATTCAATTACTTATTCTTATTTCTGCCCACTGTTCTAAAAGAGAAAAGGATATTAAAACATTTAAAACTGCAGATAGCAAGAGAGGAAAGAAAGAGACAAGAAAAGTTTTACTACCTGTCAAGGCATAAGCTACCCATAATGTGCAAAATCAAGAATTATCTGTAAGAGTTTTCCTAAAGAATCTCACATTGCTGTATTCAGCAATATCTACCAAGAAGTACAGAAAATCCAATATAAAACAGTTGCTTATTTCATAGTGACATGGTTTGAATCTGTGTCCCTACCAAATCTCATGTTGAATTTTAACCTCTAGTGTTGGAGTTGGGGCCTGGGGGTGACCAGATCATGGGGGTGGAATTCTCATGAATGGTTTAGCACCACACCCTCGGTACTGTTCTCTAATAAATAAATAAATAAATAAATGATAAAACACCCCCTTTGGTGTTGTTGTAATAGTGAAAGAGTGAGTTCTCATGAGATCTGGTTGTTTTAAAGTGAGTAGCACCTGCCAGGCATGGTGGCTTATGCCTGTAATCCCAGCACTTTGGGAGGCAGGCGGATCACAAGGTCAGGAAATCAAGACCATCCTGGCCAACATGGTGAAACCCGTCTCTACTAAAATACAAAAAAAAAAATTAGCCGGGCATGGTGGCACACCGCCTATAGTCCCAGCTACTCAGGAGGCTGAGGCAGGGGAATTGCTTGAACCCAGTAGGCAGAGGTTGCAGTGAGCCAAGATCGCACCACTGCACTCCAGCCGGGCGGCAGAGTGAGACTCCATCAAATAAAAAAAAAAAAAATGTGTAGCACCTACTCCCTCTCTCTCTTGTTCCTGCTCCACCACATAAGATAACTAGCTCCCTGTTTGCCTTTCACTATGATTGCAAGTTTCCTGAGGCCTCCCCAGAAGTAGAACAGATACCTCCATGCTTTCTGAACAGCCTGTAGAACCATGGGATAATTAAAATTCTTCTTTATAAATTACCCGGTCTCAAGTATTTCTTTATGGCAGTGCAAGAACAAACTAATACACATAGTTCAGATATGTTAAATCATGAATGGCAGAAATAACTCCATAAAACAAAATCATCAACAATTTGCCTCTAGTGTATGGGCCTATCCTATTCCAAGAACCCAACTTCATAAAATAATCCCACTATCTTATCAGTCTGGCACATAAGGGTTAAGGAGATAGGGCCCAGGGCTCTGAAGTCATCAGATCCAGGTTCAATCAGAATGGTAAATTGTACAAATATATGCACATATATATACCATATAAAATTCTATTTCAAGGTTTTTAATTACTTACCACTTTGCCCAGTTTTCTCTCATAGGCTTTATGCCGTAGTCCTAATCCCAACAATCCCACACCAACAAGCAGCCACAGAACTAAACAGAAAAAAGAAATAATTGGGTTTTTTTAAAATAAATAAAATAAAATAAATTTGCTGACACTGACCTTCAGTGCCTCAGCTCCAGTGCCATGGCACCCTCCAGGAAGTTCTTCTTGGAGGACCTGGAAGATGAATGGGTGGAAGAAGAGTCTTGGGGAGCTCATTGACACTGAACGTGACCAAGGTGCCAGCCGACGCTGAGGTGGTTTGCTCTCCCCCAACTGCCTATATCGACTTCACCCAGCAGAAGCTAGATCCCAAGATTGCTGTGCCTGCGCAGAACTGCTACAAAGTGACTAATGGGGCCTTTACTGGGGAGATCAGCCCTGGCATAATCAAAGACTGCAGAGCTACGTGGGTAGTCCTGGGGCACTCGGAGAGAAGGCATGTCTTTGGGGAGTCAGATGAACTGATTGAGCAGAAAGTGGCCCGTGCTCTGGCAGAGGGACTTGGAGTAATCACCTGCATTGGGAAGAAGCTAGATGCAAGGGAAGCTGGCATCACTGAGAAGGTTGTTTTCGAGCAGGCAAAGGTCATCACAGATAAGGTGAATGGACTAAGCAGCCCAGAAGCCCAGTAACTGCCCCTCCCCTGCACATGCTTCTGATGGTGTCATCTGCCCTCTTTTGTGGCCTCATCCAAACTGTACCTTCCTTTACTGTTTATATCTTCACCCTGTAATGGTTGAGACCAGGCCAATCCCTTCTCCGCTTACTATAATGGTTGGAACTAAACGTCACCAAGGTGGCTTCTCCTTGGCTGAGAGATGGAAAGGGTGGAATTTGCTCCTGGGTCCCCTAGGCCCCAGTGAAGGCAGGAGATAAACCATCCTCTCCCTTCTTACACCATGAGGCCAAGATCCTCCCATCAGAAGCCAGGAATGCTGCCCTCTTCCATGGTGCCCACTCCTGTGTGTGCTCTGTATGCGAACCACTCACATGGGAGGGAATAAACACATGGCACTAGGGAAAAAAAACACCTAAATTTGTTTTAAAATAACAAGGTTTATAAAATTATTGAATTTATTGGCCAATGATTTTGTGCAAAGGGGAAATGTGTAGTTCTTCGGTTAATTTTCATGTGTGACATGTGTACATCAACCACTCTTTAAACCCAGATTTCAAGAATTTCCCCTAAAAATGTTCCAAGGACCATGAGCTTAAAGTAAAAATAAGTCACAAAACACACAAGAAAACAAGTTTCCATGAGCAGGAAACAAAGAAAAAAACACCCTGCAGAATCAAGCCCACAAAGAGACAGATGTTGGAACTCTCTGAATCAGAATATAAAACAAGTATGCTTATTATATTTACAGAAATAAAAGAGGGTATTCAAAAGTATGACTAGGGAACATGAGACTAAAATAAATAATCAGAAAATTTTGAAAAGAAATCAAATAGAGTTCTAGAAATAAAAAGATAATTATAATAATTGAAATTAGAAACTCAAAGACAATCAAATTAGACAAAGCTGAATAGAGAGTTAGTTCAAGGGGCAGCCCAAAACATAGAGGCAGAAAATATGAAAGAGGTTAACAGCAATGGAAAACAGAATAAGAAAGTCCAACACATATCTAATTGGAGTCAAAAAGAAAGAGAAAGAATGGGAAAGAAGCAATATTTGCAGAAACAATGTTGAGAATTTTCCAGAAATAATAAAAGACATGACTCTTCAGATTCATAAAGCCTGAAGACTATCAAGCAAGATGGAGGAAAAAATCTGCATCCAGATATATCACAGTGAAACTACGGAACACCAAAACACAGAAAAATCTTAAGAGCTGCCAAAGAGAAAAGACAGATTATTTTCCAAGGAAAAACAATTACACTGACAGCTGACTTCTCAACAGCAGAAGACAGGAGAATAATATCTTCAATGTGCTAAGAGAAAAACAACCAACTACTAAAAGAATAGATATTGAAAGTATAATTTCCAAACTAGAAAGAGGAGTGGGGAGGAGGGGCATAAGGGAAAAAAAAAACCCTAATCAATGAAAAAAATATCAAAAAGAAAAAGGAAAAAACATACCTAGAAAAAGTGGAAAATGAAAAAGAAAAGTAAGATGATCACATTAGATAAATATACATTCAGAAATCATGGTAAAAATAGATTAAACCCTTAAAAGACAAAAATTGACATTCTGGAAAATGCAAAACAATGAAAACAGTAAAACATTAGTGGTTGCCAGGGGTTTGGAGGAGGAATCGATGATTAGGTGAGGCACAGGGGATGTTTAGGGCAGAGAAAGTATTCTGTATGATACCGCACTGAGGGATCTATGTAATTATACATTTGTCAAAACTCCTAAACTGTACAAAGCTAAAAGTGAACCCTAATGTAAACTATGGCCTTTGGGTGACAATGATGTATCAATGTAGGTTCATTTATTTTAACAAATGTATCATTCTGGTGAGTAATTTTGATAGTGGGGGGTGCTGTATGTATGTGGGGGCATGAGGCATATGGAAAAATCTCCACGCTTTCCATATAATTTTCCTATGAACCTAAAATTGCTCTAAGAAACTTGTCTTTTTTTAATCACACAAAAATGACTAAATAACTGTAAATAAACTGTTCCAAATGCCTCGATTTGATAAGTGAATTAAAGAATTGTGGTTCTTACCAACAACAAAAAAAAAGACAAAGATTGTCAGGATTAAAAACAAAAACTGCTAGTTATTTGTTTCAAGGGATATACCAAAACATAAGAAAACACACAAAAAAAATCTCATTTCTCCCTAAGTTTAAATAGAATCTTTTCTTCTCTCTTTTTTTTTTTTTTTTTGAGTCAGAGTCTCATTCTGTCATCCATGCTGAAGTGCAGTGGCACCATCACTGCAGCCTTGACCTCCCAGGCTCAAAAGATCCTCCCACTTCACCCTCGCCCTCCCTAGTAGCTGAGACTACTGGGACTGCAGGTGCACCACCACAAATGGCTGATTTTTAAATTTTTTGTAGAGATGGGGTCTCACTACATTGCTTATGCTGGTCTCGAACTCCTGGCCCCAAGCAATCCTCCTGCCTTGGCCTTTCAAAGTGCTGGGATTACAGAAGTGAACCACTGCACCTGGCCAAATATAATCTTTTAAATTAAGATGAAACATATATGAAGGTTTTTATATAATGGTCTGTTTTGTGATATTTCTTTTGGAAATACATAGAGAACTTATACAGCTTCTTAATTGTTTTTTATATCTTTACACTATAATATTTTGTCTCCTTTGTAAAGCACCAAGTCCTTGAAGGTGGAGACCATTATTCACATCTTTGAATCCTACTTAACAACTACTTAACACGCTGTCTTCACATTAAATACATTCAGTACATTTTTATTTAATCCAGTCTATTTTACATGAGTTTACTATATTGAATAGTAAACTAATTTCATGTTTGAGATTTTAGTTCATCAGCATCCCAAACATTAACATAATCTCCCCAAAAAAGGAAAACAAGAAATGGAGTAAATAGTCTCAACCATTAGAACAAATCATTTTGGAAATTCTGCATGTTGAATTCTCTTATCTATGTTAGAAGTGAAATAAAACCAATACAGAGTATTTATGGTGGAAATGGCATGATATCAGAGATTTGCTTTAAAGTACAAAAAAAAAAGTAGAGAAATAGATGGACGAATAGGAACAGCTCTGTTCTGCAGCTCCCAGCATGATCGACACAGAAGACAGGCGATTTCTGCATTTCCAACTGAGGTACCTGGTTCATCTCATTGGAACTGGTTGCACAGTGGGCACAGCCCATGGAGGGTGATCTGAAGTAGGGCGTGGCATCACCTCACCCGGGAAGTGCAAGGGGCCAGAGGATTTCCCTTTCCTAGCCAAGGCAAGCCATGACAGACTGTACCTGGAAAAACAGGACACTCCCGCCAAAATACTGTGTTTTTCCCATGGTCTTAGCAACCGGCAGAACAGGAGATACCATCCTGTGCCTGGCTGGGTGGGTACCTCACACAGGGAGCCTTGCTCACTGCTAGTGCAGCAGTCTGAGATCAACCTCCAAGGCGCAGCCTGGTTGGGGGAGGGGCATCTGCCATTGCTGAGGCTAGAGTAAGTAAACAAAGCAGCCAGGAAGCTGGAACAGGGTGGAGCCCACCACAGCTCAGCAAGGTCTACTGCCTCTATGGACTCCATCTCTGTGGGCCAGGCATAGCTGAACAAAAGGCAGGAGAAACTTCTGCAGACTTAAACGTCCCTGTCTGACAGCTCTGAAGAGAGCAGTGGTTCTCCCAGCACGGCATTTGAGCTCTGAGAACAGACAGACTGCCTCCTCATGTAGGTCCCTGACCCCCATGTAGCCTAACTGGGAGACACCTCCCAGTAGGGGCTAACAGACACCTCATACAGGTGGGTGCCAATCTAGGACAAAGCTTCCAGATGAAGGATCAGGCAGCAATATTTACTATTCTGCAATATTTCCTATTCTGCAGCCTCCACTGGTGATACCCAGGCAAACGTCTGGAGTGGACCTCCAGCAAACTCCAACAGACCTGCAGCTAAAGGACCTGACTGTTAGAAGGAAAACTAACAAACAGAAAGGAATAGCATCAGCATCAACAAAAAGGACATCCACACCAAAACTCCATCTGCAGGTCACCAACATCAAAGACCAAAGATAGATAAAACCACAAAGATGGGGAGAAACCAGATCAGAAAAGCCAAAAATTCTAAAAACCAGAGTGCCTCTTCTCCTCCAAAGGATCACAGCTCCTCACCAGCAATGGAACAAAGCTGGACGGAGAATGACTTTGATGAGTTGACAGAAGTAAGCTTCAGAAGGTGGCTAATAACAAACTTCTCCGAGCTAAAGGAGCTTGTTCTAACCCATTGCAAGGAAGCCAAAAACCTTGAAAAATGTTAGACGAATGGCTAACTAGAATAAACGTGTAGAGAAGACCCTAAATGACCTGATGGAGTTGAAAACAATGGCACAAGAACTTCGTGATTCATGCACAAGCTTCAATAGCTGATTTGATCAAGTGGAAGGAGGATATCAGTGATTGAAGATCAAATTAATGAAATAAAGTCAGAAGACAAGTTTAGAGAAAAAAGAGTGAAAAGAAATGAACAAATCCTCCAAGAACTTTGGAACTATGTGAAAAGACCAAATCTAGGTTTGATTGGTGTACCTGAAAGTGACGGGGAGAATGGAACCAAGTTGGAAAACACTCTTCAGGATATTATCCAGAAGAACTTCCCCAACCTAGCAAGGCAAGCCAACATTCAAATTCAGGAAATACAGAGAACACCACAAAGATATTCCTCAAGAAGAGCAACCCCAAGACACATGACTGTCAGATTCACCAAGGTTGAAATAAAGGAAAAAATGTTAAGGGCAGCCAGAGAGAAATGTTGGGTTACCCAAAAAGGGAAGCCCATCAGACTAACAGCGGATCTTTTGTCAGAAACCCTACAAGCCAGAAGAGAGTGGAGACCAATATTCAACATTCTTAAAGAAAAGAATTTTCAACCCAGAATTTTATAACTAAGCTTCATAAGTGAAGGAGAAATAAAATACTTTACAGACAAGCAAATGCTGAGAGATTTTGCCACCACCAGGCCTGCCCTAAAAGAGCTCCTGAAGGAAGCACTAAACATGGACAGGAACAACCGGTACCTGCAAAAACACGCCAACCAGTACCATGCAAAAACATGCCAAATTGTAAGGACCGTCGATGCTATGAAGAAACTGCACCAATTAATGGGCGAATAACCAGCTAACATCATAATGATAGGATCAAATTCACACATAACAATATTCACCTTAAATGTAAATGGGCTAAATGCCCAGACACAGACTGGCAAATTGGATAGTCAAGACCCATTACTGTGCTGTATTCAGGAGACCCATCTTGCATGCACACACACATGGGCTCAAAATAAAGGGATGGAGGAAGATCTACCAAGCAAATGGAAAGCAAAAAAAAAGCAGGGGTTGCAATCCTAGTCTCTGATACAACAGGCTTTAAACCAACATAGATCAAAAGAGACAAAGAAGGCCATTACATAATAGTAAAGGGATCAATTCAACAAGAAGAGCTAACTATCCTAAATATATATGCACCTAATACAGGAGCACCCAGATTCATAAAGCAAGTCCTTAGAGACCTACAAAGAGACTTAGACTCCTACACAATAATAATAGGAGACTTTAATACCCCACTGTCAATATTAGACATATCAATGAGACAGAAGGTTAACAAGGATATCCAGGACTTGAACTCAGCTCTGCACCAAGCGGAACTAATAGACATCTACAGAACTCTCCACCCCAAATCAACAGAATATACATTTTTCTCAGAACCACATCACACTTATTCCAAAATTGACCACATAAATGGAAGTAAAGCACTCCTCAGCAAACATAAAAGAACCAAAATCATAACAAACTGTCTCTTAGATCACAGTGCAATGAAATTAGAATTCAGGATTAAGAAACTCACCCAAAACCACACAACTACCTGGAAACCGAACAACCTGCTCCTGAATGACTACTGGGTAAATAATGAAATGAAGGCAGAAATAAAGATGTTCTTTGAAACCAATGAGAACAAAGACACAATGTACAAGAATCTCTGGGACACATTTAAAGCAGTGTGTAGAGGGAAATTTATAGAACTAAATGCCCAAAACAGACAGCAGGAAAGATCTAAAATCGACACCCTAACATCACAATTAAAAGAGCTAGAGAAGCAAGAGCCAGCAAATTCAAAAGCTAGCAGAAGGCAAGAAATAACTAAGATCAGAGCAGAACGAAAGGAGATAGAGACACAAAAATCCTTCAAAAAAATCAATGAATCCAGGAGGTGGTTTTTTGAAAAGATTAACAAAATTGATAGATCACTAGCAAGACTAATAAAGAAGAAAAGAGAGAAGAATCAAATAGACATGATAAAAAATGATAAAGGGATATCACCTTCAATCCCACAGAAATACAAACTACCATCAGAGAATACTATAAACACCTCTATGCAAATAAACTAGAAAATCTAGAAGACATTGATAAATTCCTGTACACATACACCCTCCCAAGACTAAACTAGGAAGAAGTTGAATCTCTGAATAGACCAACAACAAGCTCTGAAATTGAGGCAATAATTAACAGCCTACCAACCAAAAAAAGTCCAGGACCAGAAGGATTCACAGCCGAATTCTACCACAGGTACAAAGAAGAGCTGGTAACATACCTTCTAAAACTATTCCAATCAATAGAAAAAGAGGGAATCCTCCCTAACTCATTTTATGAGACCAGCATCATCCTGATACCAAAGCTTGGCAGAGACACAACAAAAAAAGAGAACTTTAAACCAATATCCCTGATATACATCACTGTGAAAATCCTCAATAAAATACTGGCAAACCAAATCCAGCAGCACATCAAAAAGCTTATCCACCAAGATCAAGTTAGCTTCATCCCTGGGATGCAAGGTGGGTTCAACATATGCAAGCCAATAAACATAATCCATCACATAAACAGAACCAAAGACAAAAACCACGTGATTATCTCAATAGATGCAGAAAAGGCCTTCGACAAAATTCAACAGTGCTTCATGCTAAAAACCCTCAATAAACTAGGTATTAATGGAATATATCTGAAAATAATAAGAGCCCTTTATGACAAACCCACAGTCAATATCATACCGAATGGGCAAAAACTGGAAGCATTCCGTTTGAAAACCAGCACAAGACAAGTATGCCCTCTCTCACCACTCCTATTCAACACAGTGTTGGAAGTTCTGGCCAGGGCAATCAGGCAGGAGAAGGGAATAAAGTGCATTCAGTTAGGAAAAGAGGAAGTCAAATTGTCCCTGTTTGCAGATGACATGACTGTATATTTAGAAAACCCCATCATTTCAGCCCAAAATCTCCTTAAGCTGATAAACAACTTCAGCAAAGTCTCAGGATACAAAATCAGTGTGCAAAAATCCCAACCATTCCTATACACCAATAACAGACAAACAGAGAGCCAAATCATGAGTGAACTTCCATTCACAATTGCTACAAAGAGAATAAAATACCTAGGAATCCAACTTAAAAGAGATGTGAAGGACCTCTTCAAGGAGAACTACAAACCACTGCTCAATGAAATAAAAGAGGACACAAACAAATGGAAGAATATTCCATGCTCATGGATAGGAAGAATCAATATCATGAAAATGGCCATACTGCTCAAGGTAATTTATAGATTAAATGCCATCCCCATCAAGTCACCAATGACTTTCTTCACAGAATTGGAAAAAACTACTTTAAAGTTCATATAGAACCAAAAAAGAGCCCACATAGCCAGGACAATCCTAGGCAAAAAGAACAAAGCTGGAGGCATCAGGCTACCTGACTTCAAACTATACTACAAGTCTACAGTAACCAAAACAGCATGGTACTCATACCAAAACAGATATATAGACCAATTGAACAGAACAGAGGCCTCAGAAATAACACCTCACATCTACAACCATCTGATCTTTGACAAACCTGACAAAAACAAGAAAGGAGGAAAGGGTTCCCTATTTAACAAATGGTGCTGGGAAAACTGGCTAGCCATATGGAGAAAGCTGAAACTGGATTTCTTCCTTGCACTTTGTACAAAAATTAATTCAGGATGGATTAAAGACTTAAATATTAGACCTAAAACCATAAAAGCGCTAGAAGAAAACCTAGGCAATACCATTCAGGACATAGGCATAGACAAAGACTTCATGACTAAAACACCAAAAGCAACGCAACAAAAGCCAAAATTGACAAATGGGATCTAATTAAACTGAAGAGCTTCTGCACAGCAAAAGAAACTACCATCAGAGTGAACAGGAAACCTACAGAATGGGACAAAATTTTTGCAATCTATCCATGTGACAAAGGGCTAATATCCAGAATCTACAAAGAACTTAAACAAATTTACAAGAAAAAAAAAACAAACGACTCCATCAAAGAGTGGGCAAAGGATATGAACAGACACTTCTCCAAAGAAGACATTTATGCAGCCAACATACACATGAAAAAATGCTCATCATCACTGGGCATCAGAGAAATGCAAATCAAAACCACAATGGGATACCATCTCACACCAGTTAGAATGGTGATCATTAAAAACTCAGGAAACAACAGATGCTGGAGAGGATATGGAGAAATAGGAACGCTTTTATACTGTTGGTGGGAGTGTAAATAAGTTCAACCATTGTGGAAAACAGTGTGGTGATTCCTCAAGGATCTAGAACTAGAAATACCATTTGACCCAGCCATCCCATTACTGGGTATGTACCCAAAGGATTATAAATCATGCTACTATAAAGATACATGCACACGTATGTTTATTACAGCACTATTCACAATAGCAAAGACTTGGAACCAACCCAAATGTCCATCAATGATAGACTGGATTAAGAAAATGTGGCACATATACACCATGGAATACTAGGCAGCCATAAAAAATGAGTTCATGTCCTTTGCAGGGGCATGAATGAAGCTGGAAACATCATTCTCAGCAAACTATCACAAGGACAACAAACCAAACACCACATGTTCTCACTCATAGGTGGGAATTAAACAATGAGAACACACGGACACAGGGCGGGGAACATCACACACTGGGGCCTGCTGTGGGGTGGGGTGAGGGGGGAGGGATAGCATTAGGAGGAATACCTAATGTAAATGACGAGTTGATGGGTCCAGCAAACCAACATGGCACATGTATACCTATGTAACAAACCTGCACGTTGTGCACATGTACCCTAGAACTTAAAGTATAATTTTTTAAAAAAACTAGAGAAGATAGCTATTAACAACATGGCAAAATGTTGAGAATTGCTGAAACAGGATGAAGGATACATGAGGGATCATTATACTCTTTAATTTCATACGTTTAGAATTTTATATAATTAATTTTTTTTAAGAATGTAAAACTATACTTACAAAGTTTCATGTATTTTTCACTCTTTCTGAAAAGCACTTTAGAACTGTTTTTTGTTTGAAGAAGCAAGTCAAGGTTTTTCTTAGGACCAAATAGCATATTCAGCCCGATAATTAACATCATTGTCCCTGTTATAAGAGAAAGAAAGAATATGTTATAGTCTGATCCAAAAATCCTTCCAATGTTGTATTCCAGCAGCTGAGAGTTCCTTGAAAGGAACATACCCTGGAAATTCATGTACTGATTTAATTTATCTCAGAACCTAAACAATTACTCTAGTAGTGCTTTTGATAACTGGAAAATATCAGGTAGGGTTCTAGGAATCGTGCTTTAAATGACAGGACCCCAGCCTTTTCCCGATACATATTTCTTTGAATTTCTTGAGTATTTCCTAGTTGTTAGGTTGCTGAACGTGTTCATGACTGACTGTTGATTGGGCAGGGGACAGTGAAGTCTTCTGAGCTCCCATAGGGATGCAATAAGAGCCCTTCCGTGCACCAGGTTGAGGATCACAATGGATCATACGTAGGCTCTTAATATGGCAGTGCTTGTGATAATTCTGCCCCAGGATGTGAGTTTTCTGGGCACAGAGGCCTCACAGAGGATGCATGCTGGAAATCACAGTGTGCCAACAGGCCAGCCAATAAAGTGGAGCTAAATTGGGATATGCAACAAACTAGCTTACACTTAAAGTTTACTTACTTCATCTAAAACCATACATACTAAGAATGGAAACAGAGATATGCTGCCATATGGAAATTAAGAAATTAAGGCATTTAAGAAATGTCAAGTAAAAGTCAGAAGCCAAGCAAAAACAGCGGTGTCCAATTTTCCAGGAAATAGCAGGAGGAATCCAGGAAATAAATTTATAACTAAATTCTGATATAATAAATATTCTTTTCAACTCAGTTGTATTAAAAGCCACTCTGAATATTACCAACATTTCTTGGCTTTTGTGGCCTCATCAAATAACATCACTCTTATTTTTCTTTAAAGTTCTTAGTTGTATGAAGCTGTAATTATGCACTGTTTCTACAATTCCATAAGTAGTGAGAAGAAACTAAAAAAAAAACTCATCGTTCATAAAATTCTAAAGAAACAAACTCATGCATGGAATAGCTCTTACTTTCATTTGTTTTTTTCTCATGGCAGATCCCTAAGCAAGCTGGTATAAGAAAAAAAGCAGGGCATTGGACAAGAAAACAAAGCAGGAGAGAGTACACACACCTGAAATAAATCAGAAGAAATACAAAGTTTGCAAAGCCAAGGTTACCACGGAGGAAATGCAGCAATGTGTTTCTCTCATTAGATGAAAGCTTGAGTATTTACCAGAAATACCAAATTCTCCAAGTTAATTCAAAAATATTTCATGTAATTTTAAAATATGTCTTTCAAACCAGCCTCTCCTGACAGATGTCTAGCTCGTGGGGTAGAAAAGCATATGGCAAAATGTGCAGAGTAGTCGGATGTCTGTCAGGGCACCAGGGGAACTGTAACAGAACCCAGGTAGATGTAATCCCAGCACCTTGGGAGGCTGAGGCAAGAGAATTGCGTAAGCCCAGGAGTTCGACGCCAGCCTGGGCAACAAAGTGAGACCCCATCTCTACAAAAAACAACATAATCAGCCAGGCATGGTGGTGTGTGCCTGGAGACCCAGCTACTTGGGAGGTTGAGGGGGGAGCTCAAGGATACAGGGAGCTATGACTGCACCACTGCACTCCAGCTGGAGGAACAGAACAAGACCCTGTCTCAAAAAAAAAAAAAAGAAAAAAAAAAAACAGAACCCTAATAGAAGCCTTCACTTCTCCTGAGTAGCACTCACACAACTGTAATTTCTTAAGTATTTGTCTCGTTTTATATATGATGTTTCCCCCATTCAACTAAAGCTCCAGGTAGGCAAGGACAGTGGGTGTTTTTAATATTTCAGCAGCTGGGAGTGGTAGATAAAGTAGACCAGAAGAGTGAGAGGGTGGGAAAGGGGGCAATGATGAGAAATTGATTAATGGATACAATGTACCCTGTCAGGGTGATGGATACTCTAAATGCCCTGACTTAACCACTATGCAACCTATGCATGTAACAAAATTGCAATTGTACCCCACAAATTTATACAGATAAAAATGTGTAAAAATAATCTTCAGTATCTGGCACTGTTCCTGGAACATAAGGTACATGATCATTTTTTTTCAAAATGTAGACAACCAGTGAAATCGTGTTAATATTTTTAATGAATAAGTGAACAAACAAACAAGTAGATCCCTTATTAACATGTTTTTTCTCCTCATCTTTCAAACACTTTGTAGAAGTATTTGACATGTTACTTAAGCTAAAATTATGTAAACTAAAATGATTCACAACATTCGATTTATGTATGCCTAGTATACACCAATAATTGTATTATTGCCAGAAGCCAATTTTTAAAATATTAAAATTGAACTAAGTTTATGAAATTATAATTTTGGTATGTGAATCAATTTTTAAAATATTAAACTGAGCTAAGTTTATTAAATTATAATTTTGGTATGCAAATTCATAACCACTAAAATGGTAAATATATTTGTTCTATGACTTGGAGATTTACCATTTACACTAAGATATATGAATTTTTTGTTACAAATATGGTAAATAAAAATAATAGAGTCTAGGTGTGGTGGCTCACACCTGTAATCCTAGCACTTTGGGAAGCCAAGGCAGGAGGATCACTTGAGGCCAGGAGTTCAAGACCAGCCTGTGCAACATAGCAAGACCCCTGTCTCTACAAAAAATTTTTTAAATTAGTGGAGTGTGGTGGCCCACACCTAGTAGACCCAACTACTTGGGAGGCAGAGGTAGAAGGATCGCTTGAGCCCAGGAGCTCAAGGCTGCAGTGAGCTGTGATCACATCACTGCCAGAGTAAGACCTCATCTCAAAAAACATTCATAAATAAAATTCAGGGGAACCCCAAAAAATCACAATCCCCATGTATATTTACGAGCCAACCACTGAAGTGGCAGCATGAGTATCATGATCATACCTTTTCCTAACGCATCGTATAACACAAGTGTTACATTGTTTACGCTTTAGTATGGACTGAATCTTTTCACAACTAATTAATTTAAAAGACCTTTGTAGTAATAAGTATTACAGAAATGCGCTGGTAAATTAATACATTTGATTTTAATTTATAATTTAGACATCACTCCAGGTTTTGTGTTTTAATCAAGAGAGTCTATTTTACCAAGAAAGCTAGATCATCCTGCTTATTTCCACCAGTTACATAAAGTGCTAAATCCTGGTCAGTCCATAAGGATATTTTTGAGCAATTATTTTAATCCAGACCTTTCAAATGTACTCACCCAAAAGCACATCTGATCTTTCTCTAGCGTAGACACCTCCTGGGACAAACTTAAAAGCTGTGCACCAGGCACAGAAAAATATTTCTAGAAGATAAAATATCATGGCAATGGTCATGGTTTTCCCAGGGTTTGTCCCTGAGTTAATAAGGTGTCCAAGTGTTTGGGGCCACATGGATGCAGTAAAGATGGCGAAGACACAGCCAGACACAGCAGCTGCCCATGTGTGCAGGTAAAGGAGCCCCGCAGCTGAAGCTGTTCCTGTTTGTGAGAGAGAAAAGAATCAGACAGGAAAGCAGTCGAGCTTAGAGGATGACCAATTTATAGCCTTTAGGACCAGAACAGACCTTAGGGGTATACTGATCCAATCTCCAGACAGATGAGAAAACTAAGATCTGACAAGGTTAATGTGATTTGCCTAATGTCACACAGCCAGTTATTGTCTCAACTGGAGGTAGAATGTGGATCTAGTAAATCTCAGTTCACTGCTATTTCCTCAGAAAGGGCAGGAGGAGTGAAAAGGGTATTTTTAGGTAATTGCTGTTAAGATCCTAACAGCAATAAAAACTAAAATTTCTGCAATACCAAAAATATGTCCAAAAATATTACATTTAACCAATCAGATGCAGGACATTAGAAAACAGGTAGAGTGTGGTTTCTAGAACACCTCTGTTAAGGGGCTTCTAAGGAATTTCTGTCCATCTAAATGCTACCACCTGTCCTACAAGAGGTACATTGACTTTTCCAACCACACAGCCCCAAGAGAAGACATAGCATTTGTAGGCTCACTGCTTTAGCAATTCTGCAATCAGTTCATTCATTACCCAACAGCCTGCTAGGTGTCAGGAGCTATGCATTCTGCCTGATCCACAGCAGGCACTCTGTAAATGTTAGTTTATTGAGCCAATGCTGAGATCACATAACCTTTCCCCCAATCCTTGTGAAATCAGCTTTGAAATAGCACTGCAGGGTCCACTCCATCTTGGGACCATCAATATAACCCCTTTCCATAGAAAATATGGCATTTTTGAAACATTCCAATCCATGTTGTATAATTGGGACCCACCCTTCAAGGGTAGCTAGAGCAGGCTCTTCACTACTTCGGCCAAGAACTCCAGAAAGGAGTGGGAAGCAGAAAGTGGCCCCAGTCAGCATCTTAATGCCCCATAGCTCAATAAGTTCATCAATACATTCCATTGCACCATCACAGGGCAATGCCACCTGCCTGACTGCCTATTTCTCCCCACTTCAAAAAGAACATCTCTCAGATGAGCATGAGAACTAGATTCCAAGGTCCTCTACAACCCATGGAGTTTAACTCCATAGGGAGATTTCAAATACCTAGATTCTCAATGGAATTTTTTCATTTTAAAATAAAACAACTGTAATGCCTATTTGCTTTAGAAATTTTAAAAATACAGAACTGAAAAGAAGCAATTAAGGATTGTCTAAGACGGAGATAACCACAGCCAATATTTCTGTGTATTTCTAAGTCTCTTCTGTGTATATACAGAAGTATTTTTACATAAATGGAATTGTACCACATATTAAAGACTATATGCTGCTATTTATGAAACATTATATCAGGAACATTTACTAGTGTAAATAATTTTTTTCTAAAACATTTTAATGTACATATAATACTTCACTGGATAAATACACCACAATATAAGTAAGCATTTTCCTATTGCTGGCCATTTGTGAAGGTTCCTATGTCAAGCTTTTAAAACAACAGTGTGATGAACATCTTTTTTTGTCAATGATCCCTTACCACATTACCTATTATTTCCTTAAAACAGATTCCTAGCAACACAACTCTTATGTCAAGGGGCATAAGTATTTTAAAGTCATGACTTGTGACCAGTTGCTTTCCTGAAAGCAACTTTCAGGAAACCTTATACCCAGCTTTCAGGAAACCTAATACTTGTCTTTGCTTCCTGCAGAAAACTTGCCAAGTCTTGACACCTCTCACATCCTGCCAAAATTTCATCTTTAATTTGGTAAAAATCTTTACCAAATATATGTAATAATACCAAAAATCTTTACCAAATTAAGGTCGAAAATGCTATGACATTTTAAATTGCACTTATTTGACTGTTAGTGAGGTTGAATTTTTCTTACTTACGGCTTACAATGACTGTTTTTAAAAGAATGATCCCGAATTTGATATTCTAATCTAAAGACGTTAGAATAATATTGTTCTCCTTACTACAGAGAATTATCTAGAGGGAATGAAAACATCTCTCAAATTTATCTTGACTGTTATCATTTTTATTTCTATTTTTAAATAGGCTCTATATTTTAAATCCACCAAAATTGTACTGTTTAAATAGGTTATAAATTCAAAATTACAATTCAAATGCTACAAAAGGGACTTTCTGACCCGTAACCCATTTGTTCCCCTTAGTGAAGGCAACCAATCCAGTGTAAGCACTTACCATTGCATCCTTCCAGAGATACCCTACACATACAAAGAAATACATATGTGCATGCATTTCCCTTCCTTTTTGTACACCAATGACAGTATATGATACGCACTGTTAGTCACTTTACCTTTTTCATTTAACTGTATTCCTTAACTGCTTTTGTTTGAGGCCCTCCAATAATCTCCCCCAAATCTGTACAACATCAAAGACATCAAGCAGAAGTAATAGTTAACTATTTCAATAACAATTATAATAACTGACATGTAAGTTTTCAATAAATGAAGTTTTCCATATAGTAAAATTATCTGGACACTATAGTACAATGGGGTCCTATCAATATGTTTACTATATCTAGACTTTTTTTAAAAATAGAACTCTGGCTTTACTAATTTAACTGCTATCAACATTTAAAGCACCTGTATCTTTGCTTGTATGAAATTGTTCAGTCACTGCCATAATTAATTTCATGCTGAGTCTCCAGTTGGGATTGTCAACATAAACTGTGCAATGGGAAAACAGGATTTCTTTGGCCACAGCTTGCATTATTGTGTGGTTTCCAGAGATGAATCACAGTGAAAAGTGGGCACCACCTCCAGATAATTAAGCTTGAGCTCCAACTTATTGCAGGTGAGTAAGTGATCAGAAAGGAAGATGAAGCTGGTGAATTATGGCCCTGCTTTCTTCTACTGCAAGCAGCCTTCTAGAAGCCTTAAATCTGCTTTTCTTAGAGTCTTTAAAGCTACTATTTAATACTCCAGAGAGACAACAAAACTAGATTAGGTTTGACTCTCAAGGATATGACCTTACTTGTCTGGGGAAATAAGCATAAGACGGTAGGTTCACAGCTTTCCTGTTCTTTAACTAACAGTCTATTTCTCTGTGTTCTTCAGGTTAAAATGAAGCTGTTAACTACCTGCCCAATAAGCACTTTGCTTATACTTTATGTGAAAAGGCATGATATAAATGCTGAACAAACGCTCAATGCATTTCTTTTTCCTTTTCCAAGTTATATGCAGATTAAGAAGCTACTGTATATGCTTAATGCAAACTCAGCACTGACAAACTTTCCTGGCCCTTTTCCTGAGGAATCTCACAAATAAACTCTCTGATGAGAAGAAAGATTACTCTTAGGTACACACAAACCTCCACAGGCTCCAAATACAATGCCTATCAAAAAATACACAAGCAATACAAACAGCTCAACAAGACTGCAACAGTATGTTCACATAGCTCCAGGAGGAAGAGGACCTGGCCAACCTCATCGATTTAGCCACGTATCTGGATTACACATACATTTCCATGCAAATGTGACGGCACTTACGGTGTACAGAAATTCACTTGCTATGTTGTCATCCTAAATCTTCTATTACTGATACAGTCTCTCAAACCCACACACAGCACCTAGAGTACCACTCTGAATCACCAACTTAATTAACATGTATTAACAACATCTCATCTCTCCTCACATAAACCAAATATAGTATTTGCTATATAATAAAGTGGTTTTTTTTTTACTTAGAGTCAGAAAACCTGACTATAATCATTAAATATTGCCTTTTAAGGGAAAGGAGGAGGGCTGGCATAATTCTGTTATAGGAAAATAAGTTCAATGCTCCCTCCTCTTCACAAAGACTAGGGGAGAGGGAAGAGGGCAGCCCAAAACATGATTGTCTTCACTGATACTTCTGGGGTCCTAAAGGGTGTAACTGGGAAGAGATGGGTCAGGTCTTTGAGTAAGCAGACATGGACCCTACAGCTGGGTGGAAGGCTGGGAGCTCCCCTGTTACATGTAAAGGAGAAAGGGAAATGGAGCTTCATCATGGAACTCTAAATGGCATTTTTGAAACACGGAAAAGCAAGGAATCTTGAAGAGTGAAAGAGGTCTGGCAACTGGCAACATGGCCATGCACAGCCCTCATCTCCTCAGTAAAATCTGCTACTGATGAGAATTACTTATGGGTTCACTGTATCCATCAGGTGAGGGACAGCCTAAGAACTCTGACTTGACCACTACCCAATCTATGCACCTATACACTGCTGGTGAGAGTGTAAATTAGTCTAACATTTGTGGAAATCAGTGTGGCAATTCCTCAAAACAGAATTACCATTTGACCTAGCAATCCCATTACTGGGTATGTACCCAAAGGAATATAAATTGTTCTACCATAAAGACACATGCACGCGTATGTTTATTGCAGTGCTATTCACAGTAGCAAAGACATGGAATCAACCTAAATGCCCATCAATGGTAAACTGGATAAAGAAAATGTGGTAATATACACCATGGAATACTATGCAGCCATAAAAAAGAATGAGATCATATCCTTTGCAGGAACACAGATGGAGCTGGAGGCCATCATCCTTAGCAAACTAATGCAGGAACAGAAAACCAAATGCTGCATGTTATCATTAAATGGGAGCTGAATGATGAGAGCACATGGACACAAAGAGGGGAACAACAGACACTGGGGTCCACCAGAGGCAGGTAGGAGGAGAGAGAGGATCAGGAAGAATAACGGGTACTAGGCTTATTACCTGGGTAACAAAATAATCTGTACAACAAACCCCCATTGCACGAATTTACTTATGTAACAAACCTGCACATGTACCCCTGAACTTAAAAGTTATCAATCAGTCAATCTCACTTGTAACCCATAAGTTTATACAAATAAAATAATATACTTTAATTAAAAATCAAGAATTTTTATAAATCTGCTACTTAACACATGTGCCTTGTTTATGTATTTTTGGGAGTAGGTAGTATTATGGCAGTGTAGTCCAGGAAAGCAGCACAGCCACAGGAGGAGGGGGAGGCGGAGGTAGGAGGAAGCAGGAACTCAGAGCAGGTAGTCACCGGTGACCTTGGTGACATCTGCATTATAGTTGCTGTTTACAACAGCCCATTTGGCCACAGTACATATTTGTATGGTTGTATCTACTTTCAGTCGAGTTGCGCATGCTTGCAAACAAACTGGATAACCAAGCTCAGTCGTGTTCTATCTGCAGGTAAATTCCACATACCTGTAACCCACCAGATCAAACCAGTACCACGAAACCACAAACAAGATGGAAGCATCAATCCACTTGCCAAGCACAGCAGTACTGCACCTCTGTGAAAAAGGACATGCTCTAAGACATGTGACATTAGTAATATTTCATCATCCCGAATATAAAATAGAAATATACCTCCCACCTCTGGGTACATATAAGAGATAACGTGTGTGAAACAACCAGTGAGATCATGAGAGCCCACTGGAAGCCAATATTATACACATTCAGAACAGAGAAGGAATAAAACCTCTGCCATGAGATCAATGATATCTGCCAACTTATCATGTAAACACAGTAACCAAGCTTTCTCAGACTATTAAAGTACAGTCCATGTTGGTCAGTAACATTTTAAATGATTCTGCCAAGAACAAAAAGCAAAGGTCATTGGAATGGTTTCTATTTAGTTTGCTTTTTTTTCTTTCTTTCCTCTACCTCAATACTGCTCTTGCCTAGAGTCTCGGCCTTCCCAAGACCAGCGTCAGTTTGATAAATAACTGATAGCTGTGTGTCTTTTAAAACAACCACAAACTATTTTATTCTGTTGCTATTTTGGCAAAAAGTTGCAAGAGGAGGAAAAAAGAAATTTGACTAAACTTTAGAAGGAAACCCAGAAACAATAATAGCTAGAATATAGGACTCATTTAAGTAGCTGTCACATAAATTAAGCTCAAAACCATAGCATGCACTACATACCAGGCACTATTTTAAGATTTTCCCCTGTAATTATTATTCATTTAATTCTCATGTGCCTGTAAGATAAATGCTAATATTATCCCCATTTTGCAGAGGAGAATTCTGGGGGAAAGGGTATGTAAGTAACCTGCTTGAGGTCATACACAGTAGCCCACATAGGACTAAGAATCTAAAATTGTCCTCAGGCTCTGGGATGAGGCTGTTAGCCACATTACTGCCTGCTCCTACCTGTGTAAGAATGACCCTGGGGCTACAGAAGACCAAATATGAGAAGAGGCCATGAAGGACAGTGTGGATCTTTTTCTACTCCCAAATCAACAACAAATATTTTTGAGTGCCCACTATGTGCCAGGCTCCATTCTAGGTGTTTGGGATGCATCAATGAACAACGATCCCTTTCTCCCATAGAGCTCACATTCCAGTGGGGGAAACATATAATAAACACCATTAATAAATAATGCAGATAGGGCCAGGCACAGTGACTCATGACAGTAATACCAGCACTTTGGGAGGCAGAGGTGGGAGGATTGTTTGAGGTCAGGAGTTTGAGAGCAGCCTGGAAAAAATAGTGAGACCTTGCCTCTACAAAAAAAAAAAAAAGTTTTAAGTTAGCCAGGTGTAGTGTCAGGTGCCTGTAGTCCCAGCTATTCATGATGATGGCCTAATGCAACATTTCTCAAGCTGGTTCTGAGAAACACACCTATTCTGTCAGATATTAATAGATGTTCTAAAGAAGAATTCCATGTTCAAATAACTTTAGGAAACCTGCAAAAGTCTCTAATATGCTGATGTGCATTGTGAAGCACAAAGAAAGGGAGATTGAAATGCACTATTTCCTCAACCTATTTGATGTAGAAGCATTTTCTTTTTCTCAGAGTAACCATTAACATCTCAAGAAACCAGCATCTCACAGAACACAGTTTGGGAAATGCTGGTCTTGTGAGTTGCAGTTCCGTCTTCAGTGTCTCATTCTAACATACAGGATTAGGAAATGTCTGAAAAGCAAATGCTGATTTTATATATGTGAGAAAGTTTCCCCCTGAAGTTTAGTTACATTCTTCTTGTGAGTAAAGCAAGGCCAGGGATGTAATATGATTGGCCCAGAGTTGAATGGTGAGTTTCTCCTGGTTACCAGGACTCACCATTTACCATTAAAGTTCTTCCTTTACTCTGCCACAAAACTTATGCTTGTTTTCACAGGTAACTTTGGAAACTAAGCTTTAACACATAGGAATAAACTTCTTCCTTCCTCTCTGGCCTTTTGTTCCTTTCTTTCTTCTCTGCCTTCCTCCCAGATATGGAAGAAGATACAGACTCTAAATGAAATAATATTTTCAAAAGTCCTTGTTCAGGACCTGACACAGAGTAAGTAATCAACATTCATTCCTTTTCCCATTCCCTGCCCTCAAGGGACTTAGTGTCTAGACAGGAAGAAAAACATTTTTTAAAATCTGTAATACAGAATATAAAGTTTCTAACAGATACATATATATATGTGTGTGTGTGTGTGTGTGTGTGTGTGTGTGTACACATATATAACACATATATAAAAATTGATTGACTCAAAGTATTATAGTATGTGGCATAAAGGAGGATCCCCTGTGATAATAACAGAATAATTCACAGAGAAAATGTTTGTGCTGGGTTTTGAAGGGAGTAGGGCTTGCCAGGACATCAAGGCAGAAAAGCAAGCCCAGGCAGAGGGGGGACAGGAACAGTCTGGCACTTCCAGAGAAGCGCAAGTGGGTTCGACTCAGGTGAAGCAGGAGGATAAGATCAGAAAGCATTTGGAAAGGTAAGTAGGGGGGCCAGATCCTGCCTCATATGGGAGAATTGGGGGCCACCAGGTATTGGTGGGGGGGAACTGCTGAGAGGTTATCAGTAAAGGAGTGGTGGAATCAGATTTGCATTTTACAGAGATCATTCTGGAACCATGTGGAGAAGATTCTGCTAAAGAGAGACAATTAGGAGACAACAGTAATAGCCTGAATGAAAAAATGGTGAGGACTCCACTAAGGCAGATGAACTTAGGGATAGAGAAGAAGGGGTTAATCTAAGAGAAGTCATAGAACTGAGTTGGAGAAAATGAGGAAGATGGAGAATTCTGGGCAAACTCTTGGTCTCAGGTTTGGATGATGAGGTGGACAGACAAAATGGACCTGGGAATGGGGGAAGAAGAACATGCGTGGAGGACTGGGAAATACTGAGTTCAGATTTGGACAAGCTGAGGTTGACAAGCCTGTGGGATATGCCCAGATCCCTGCTGGGGAAAGATCCAGTAGGCAGCTGCATGCCTTCAATTGTAAGAATTCAGCACTACAAGAGAGAAAAGATATCGGAGGCAGATCTTTTAAGAATTCCTCCAATTTTTTTGCAAGAAGAGATGGAGCCAGTTACAAGAGAAAAGATGTGTCAGGAAGAGCAGAGAGAGAGTTAAAAAGGACCAAACACAAGGACCAACACTTGACTCCAGACTACTAACTCCCTGTGTGACCCTGTCCCACAGCTGGAACAAGAAAGTACCAGAAGATGCAGGGATCTCCTGGGGCTGCCCTCCTTTGCTGAGAATAGAGATCTGTGCCCCAGGCAGCCAACCTAGTCTCCTCAGGGGACTGTGGTCTTATCCTACTAAATGCCCATAACCATAACCAGAGGGTCTGGAGGAAATGGCCAGGGAATGCTGCTCCTCTCCCACCACTGAGAATGCTCTTCTGTGCAGGCATTCCTCGAGATGCCTATGCTGGAGCTCTGGGAACCTCTTACTTAGCTGTGCACAACCATTGGGCCTCCCACATCTACTTTTCAGCAATCCTTCTGCACAGAGGAAAAGACCCTTCTAGTGCCCTTCTCTCCAGAGCACACAATAATTTCATGCCACATTCTGATATCTAGGGAGAGTGGTATGAAATATCTGGCTAGCACAGACCTAGCTGTCTGACAAAGGAGGCATTGCTTCCTCCAGGCATAACTGCCGATTTTGTGATTGCTTCCAAACCCAAACTCACCCAAATGGGTTAGGATCTGGCCCTGGATGTGGATGCCCACTCACTGCCCATCTGGAAACAAGAGAGACTTCTCCAAAAACCCAGTGGGTGAGGAACACAAGGCTACCAAAAGCAGCCCCTGCCAGCAGCCAGTTGGGTCTAGAGGCCATCCCCGTGGCTACCTCACCAGTCTTCTTTTCTTCAGGTTTACTGCAGTCACCATCTAGAATTTAAAAATACATATATGGAAAAAGTTTAGTTATATGGAAATTTGCGCTCTATATTTAGCAGACTTTTAGCAAGGAAGAAATGGTATTTGGCTTCAAGAAGCTTACTTCGGAAGAGGAGATGAGACATGCAACTACAATATGAAGCTAAACATGCTGACAGCTATTTAGTGGGAGACATAATTCCATGCAGGCCAGATAAGGAATGGTTTAAGGGAGAAAAGGCATTTTGGAATTCAACAGGTGAAAATGCAGAAAATTATTTGCTTCATGTGAAGCTAACGCATTGCAGAAAAAGTGTTTGTGTTTGTGAACAAATGTTGTACAAATTGAGTGGAACATTTCCAGTACACAAGCTGCTTCCTCCCAAAGAACAGGGCTCTCATCTAACCCTCTGTGGGTGCAGAGTAATATTAGTGCATTGACTGGGCAGCCACTGTGCACCAACCCCTCTTCCAAGCCCTGTATATTAACTTTATATTAACTCATTTAACTTTCACAACTTTATGAGGTAGGCTCTACTATTAATCCTATTTTACAAATTAGAAAACAGGGCCAGATGCAGTGGCTCGAGCCTGTAATCCCAGCACTTTGGGAGGCCAAGGCAGGTGGATCACCTGAGGTCAGGAGTTTGAAACCAGCCTGGCCAACATGGTGAAACCCTGTCTCTACTAAAAATACAAAAAAAAAAAGTTAGCCGGGCACGGTGGCAGACGCCTGTAATCCCAGCTACTCGGGAGGCTGAGTCAGGAGAATCGCTTGAACCTGGGAGGCAGGGGTTGCAGTGCGCTGAGATCGTGACACTGCACTCCAGCCCGGGCAACAAGAGTGAAACTCCATCTCAAAAACAAGAAAACAGACACAGAGAGATCAGGTAGCCTTTCCAAGTTCACACAGCTAGTAAAGATAACCTAGGAACCTGGGATTGGAGCTTAGGCAGTGTAGCTCTTTGGTACTGTTTAACCAAGAGGTCCAATTCATCACAGCAATGACTTCACACACAAAACTGTAACAACTGGAGAAGATGCCAGCAGGAGGACTTCTTCGTAGAAACAGAGAGAGCCTATTGGGCAGATGCTTTGTGACCCCATCCAGCCCTCTACAGGACAGAAGGAAGGTCTTAGGGTCTGACAGTATGGCTGGCAGTCTAATTTCCCAAGAAAGCTTCTCTGACATTAACAGGATCAGAGTGAGGAGGGGCAGAGCCGAGAGCTATGGGGATGGGATGGAATGGGAGAAGGCGGTGGTGACAGAAGGGAGGCCAGGGGTCTGGGGGCTCAGCGGAGAGTTTTGAGGAAAAAGAGCCATCTAAACTGAATTTGCTGAGTAAAATGCAGTGTATTACAGTGGGTGACTCCACCCCCACCCAGGACCCAACAAATCTTCAAAGGAAACTACAAAAAATACTTGGTATGCTCAGATAGGCTGAGAAGGTGCAGGGTGAACAGTCAGTTTTATAAAGGAAGGCACAGAGCAGAAATGGAGGAAGGGACTGCCAGCCAGGAACTGGGTCACATACATTTAAAACAGAGGCCAGATAGAAGAAAAGTCAGGAGATGTAAACAGTACCCTGAAGTTCAGATCTTTATCAGGCTGTACCGGCAAAATGGGCTGCCCGAGTCTCTGCCTCTAGATATGAATGTAAAACATAAGTTAGGGGACCAGACAGAGTTCTAAGTCTTCTACTATTAACATCACAAGGCCAATTTACTGACATAATTTCCCTCTATTCTCATTTCATGCCAAACTAGGGGCCACAGGGGGAATTATACAAGCACTTTTTGGTGAGCCAATACCCTCTAAACTTCCATTAGTCTGTGAGATTTCACCTTGTAGTTACAGAAGAACAGTGACTCACTGAGAGTTACACAAAAAGCTAGGAGCACGTTAACTAGAATCCACTAATACCTCTCCCTTCTTTTTAGAAGAGTCTCGGGTTGGTTTATGAAACAAACTCTAAGCTGGGCATGTTTCTGTCTCGGAGAAAGCTGGCCCCTGGGAGAGACAGGTGATTGGAAAGTCAGTATGCATATGCAAGGTTTCTTATCTTTTCAATTCTTAGATTTGGAGCTTCAGACCTCTGGGAAAAAAAACCCAGGGAGTTCCAGTGACAGCCATACGTGACAGAAACTTTCCTTAGTGTTACAGATGTACTGAGGTCAGTGTGGAGGTGGAGGATGGAGAATCCCATCCTAGAGAGCTCTGACCAGGGGAAAGAAGGAGGAAGACAGAGCTGAATGCCAGCTGGGATATGAGGCCTGGTTCTCGTCTCCCACTGCCACAGTGCTACAAACCAGTAATGGTATTTTATTTTCACCCTCTGTCTGTACAGGCAAGGAAAATGTGCCTCCTGCTTAGCAAATAGCCCACTGGCTGCACCAATTATTATTTCAGAGGAAGAAAAAGCTGAAATATAGATATAATGCAGAAAGACTACTTTTATAGATTTTCTTTCCAAGATGTGCAACATTCACATAGGAAAGGTAAGCTCTGCAAAGAGAAAATTCCTAAGTTACAGTATTACCTGTGCCAATACGATCAAGTGTGGCTATGGCACTTAATGTCAGTATCACTTTGTTGGACATCTGATAACTCCAGATTGGGTTTAGTGAAGTATACCATATGCGTAGAACAACAAGAACAATCTGTCCTAAAATGAATCCCCAAATTCTGAGGTACCTGTAAGTGCAAAAGTATTTTTAAACACTTTTTATGTGGACTCAATGTACTATGTCCATCATGAATTTCAGTTTCATAGAATAAGTAGCTGAAATAGTCTTATTGGTAATTTGCAATAATGAATGTGATTTAGCCTCTATATAGCAACTTCAGCAACTTGCTATAATTCTTTAGTTTTCAAAACCTTATTGAGATTGATGGCAAGTATTCATGTCCTTGTTTTGGGAAAAGGAAAAAAAAGGAGACTTTGACAAAGCCATATGGAAGGTAAAAACTATAACCTGGAACTCCTGGCCCCAGGTTTCCCTTTGGTAACTGGTTATACTTGTTTGTCTATAAGTACATGAAACATTAACCATACCTTTGCAAATGACTTCCTGACCACCAAGTCACAGCTTGCACTATCAGTGAGGAAGACACCCCAAGCGCAAGAACCATCAGTCGAAGTTTGGCATTTGGAGCCTGGAAGGAGGCTATGCTGCCTACAAACAAAATAGGGAGAGCTAAGCATTTCTGGCAAGTATGGATTGGAACTCCGTGATCTGCATTTGATGCATGTTATCTGATACCATCTTTATACTCAGGAAGACAGAGTTGATGTATAATTTTATATATGTATTTAAAATTTTTATTGAAATACAATTCACATATCATAAAAGTCACCATGTTAAAATATACAATTCAATGGTTTTTAGTATACTCATAAAGTCGTGCAACAATCACCATTATCTAATTCCAGAACAATTTCATCACCCCAAAAAGAAACCCCATCCCCATTAGCAGGTCACTTCTCATTCCCTTCTCTCCACATGCCCTAGCCTCTGGCAACCACTAATCTATTTTCTGTCTCTGCGAATTTTTCCTATTCTGGGCACTTCATATTAAATTGTACAATATGTGGCCTTTTGTGACTGCCTTCTTTCCCTTAGCATAACGTTTTCAGGGTGCATCCAGGTTGTAGCATGTATCAGTGTTTCATTATTTCTCATAGCTATATAATATTCCATTGCATGTATATACCACATTTTGTTTATCCATGTATCAGTTGATGGGCATTTAGGTTGTTTCCATTTTGTGGCTCTCATGAATAATGCTGCTATGAACATTTGTGTACAAGTTTATGTGTGAACAGATGTTTCCATTTTTCTTGGGTACATACCAAGGAATAGAGTTGTTAGATCATATGATAACAGCTTCTATCACGCTTTGCCAAAGCAGCTGTGCCATTTTATATTTCTTATATTTCTACCAGTAATGTGTGAAGGTTCCAATTTCCCCACATCCTTGTCAACACTTATTATTGTCTGTCTTTTTTGATTATAGCCTTTCTGGTGGATCAAAAATAATCTAAATTGATAGGAGTATGAACTGGTTTCATAGTTAATTACACAGTAATTAACCTAAAATATCTGAGGTGCCAGAAGTGAGATGGCATGTAATGCTCAGATCCTCTCTGTATTTATATAAGAATATCTCAGGACTCTAAAAACAAAGTTGTTTCATGTCCTTAAGAAGTATTTGAAGGGAGTTTTAAGACAAATCGTGGCTTACTTTAGCCTCTGTTAGCAACAACAAAGCTCAATGGTCACCTGGAACAGCACTTAGCAGAGATTGGCCACTTCCTCCTCAACTCTGAGTAATGTTCCCTACCTATTCCATATTTCCAAATATAAATCTACTTCTGCTCAAGGGGATGTGTTTTCATGGAGGAAGAAAGTGAAAAGGGAATAGGAAGCATCAAAATAAAATACAATATCTACCCCAAACTTATTTTATATCACATCCCTTACCATCACCAGAAGTTACTGGGCCAAAAATGGACTTAAGTAATGGAAACTGTCCCAGTAACTACTCAGTCTGTGGATCTATAGGTAAGGCCCACATAGGCAGCACCAAAGGTGACAAGAAAGTACCACCTATGAGATCACTCCCATAAAATCAACCTGAAGTGTGATAAGGAAATGAATCTTGCAAGACTCGGAGCTACGGTGGTTCATGTAAGGATACTGTAAGCCAATGCCAGTTGAAATCAATTAATATTTACTCAGTTAAGGGTAGGAAACTTCATTTGTTATTTCTGGAGCTGAAAATTTCAAGACCATTTGACATGTCTTTCAATTCCTATGGACACCAATTTTGTAAAGGGCACACTTTTCAGGAGTTTTTACCACTATCCTTCTGAGCCTGAGTTGTTTTAAAAACAAGAGCTCTAGGCCATGAGCAGTGGCTCACACCTATAATCTCAGCACTGTGGGAGGCCAGGGAGAATGGCTTGAGCTCAGGAATTCGAGACCAGCCTGAGCAACATAGCAAGACTTCATCTTTACTGACACAAAACAAAACAAGAGCTCTATACCTTTGTGGGGATCCACAGAACTCACTGCTCTGACTGTGTTGTGCGATGGCAACATCCTAGTGAAATGTCACTAAGCAACGCATGACTGTGAGTATATCTGTAGGATATATTCCTAGAAGTGGAATTTCTGGTGAAATATGCATATTTGTAATTTTGATAATACTGCTAAATTGTTCTTCATAGAGGTTGTGCCAATGGACACTCGCACAAGCAATGTATGAGTGCCTGTTTCCCCACCCCTACTGCACAGTGCAGTAAGACTCAGCTGTTCTTTGCCAATCTACTTGTCAAACTCTAGATAAACATATCTGTATGTGTATGATTTATGACCTATACATTTGATTCCATTTTTAAGAACTAATTGTATTTCCTTTCCAGTGAACTGATCAGATCCTGTGCCCCCTTTTCTATTGATTTGTTGGTCTCTTTTTATTATTGGTTTGTAGGAACTCTATATATAAGAGAAATTAGCCCTTTGGCTGAAAGAGTTGCAAATATTTTTCCTAGTTTCTTGTTTGACTGCTTACTGTGGTGTTTTTCATCATAATTTTCACATTTCTTGTGAATTATTATTTAACAAACTTTTTTAAATGGCTCCTGAGTGTTATGTCACAGTTGGAAAGAAAAACACAATGTATTCAAGAGCTGATCAGTTCTTTAAGGTGTCTTTCCCCTACTCATTGCAGTGATTTTTAGGTCTTTCTAGTCTGGAAAAAACAATGGAAATGTAAAACACATTGACTCTCAGTCTAGTCTTCCAATTACTAAAGCTCTTCTAAGGCAGTGGTAAGGAAAAGAGAAATCTTTGATTTTTTAAATTCAAATATTTAGTATTCAAAGAACAGTCTACATAATCTCACTTGATTTTTAACTTAAAAAAAACAACTTAAAGAAACTCTTTTAAATCTTACCAATAGTGATTATCCTCAGCAGGGTTAGCATCCACTTCTTGTTAACCAATTTCCAGAAAGGAGTAATTGTTAGGAATATTGGAGAAAGAAATGCTATACTAAAACCTTCAAGCCCAGTGAGTTCTAGTGTTTGCAAAGGAAAGTAATAGATCATCGGTCCCAGGTCATGGTAGAGAGACCAAGAAACACATCCTACAAAAAAAAAAAAAGTTAAAGAGAGAAAGTGTAACTTCAACATTGTTTCTAACGACAGTCCTGTCCCTCCACTCCAGCCGCTTGGGCTGGTCATTCTTCTTCATGACTCTGGCCTGAACTGGGTTCCAGTTGTCTCCACTGACATGGAACAAAACAAGAGCTCTACACCTGTGTAGGGATCCGCAGAACTCACTGCACTGACTGTGTTGTGCTTAAGAGACTGATGGACAGAAAAGCAATGGCAATTTCCTCGTGAAATGTCACTATGTAACACATGACACTGAGTATATCTGTAGGATATATACCCAGAAGTGAAATTTCTGGTGAAATGTACATATTCTCCCACTCCTCGCATCAGGCCCCAGTAGAGGATGGCTTCCTGCTGCCGTGAGTCTCTCAACATCCCTTGCGTGTTCCTTTCCCTTGCCCATATGGCTGTAGACAGTCTCTTTATTAAGTCCTATTCATTTGGACCATCTGAGTTGAATTTGGCATCCCGTCAGGACCCTGACTGACAAAATTTTCTTACCTAAGTTGTCCCCTGTATAATGAAAAATATTGTGAGAGTCCAAAAGGGCAGCAAGCAGCAGGACTCCCTCCTCCAACCCCAGACTACACCCAAAAGCACTTGAGTGAGGCAGCAGTCGTTCCCTTGAGTAGACCATTTTCAGTCCAATCCTTATGAGGCAGTGCTGGGTAGTGGAATACCCAGATCTGAAGTAAGTTGTACCTCTGCCAACAGCTGCTGTATAATCTTGAGCAATAATGATAATTAACGCTATGGGCACTTGCCATGCACTAGGGTCTGTGCTAAGTATTAACATGTACCATCTGTCTCATTCCTTATACAGCCCCATAAGCTATGAGGTGGGTACTATTTCCGCTCCCCTCTTATAAATGCAAAAACTAACTAAGCAAGAACAAAACAACAAACAAAACACTGAGACTCAGAAAGTTAAGTGAGTACCTAAGGTTACACAAGTAGCAAATGTCAGAGTTGCCCTAACTCTAAGCAGCCTGGCTCCAAAGGTAGCCGGTCTAACCACTGGGCGTGGGAACTTTCTACCAACTGACTTTCCAACCTCCCCTTCTTAATCAGCAAAATAGGACTTTCAACCCCTTCACAGTGTTGTTGGGAGGATTAAATGAGATCAAGTGCACTGAGTACCTAGCACCTGAGGTACTTATTGAATGCTAGGCACTGTACATCTCCCAACTTATAGATACAGGCTGAGCCAGAAAAAAATAGTCTGAAGCACTCCCGAGAATTACCAGCTCCCAGAAAATCAAGTTCTCAGGAAGGCGCCCCACCCAGACCAGAGGGATCTTTGTTTTGTAACGAACCGGGGATTCTAGCAATATCCCAAATGTTTGTCTGGGAACTTTGATTTTATTACTCACACAGCTCCGACAGAATTACACCAATAAAATTGTCCTCGGGATTTTGCAAAGCTGGTGAGAGAGCAGATGAGACTCGAGTCTGATGCTTTTCGCCAAATGCCCAAGTGTGCAGCCGACACCAAGGCCACTTGTCCTGGGCCCAGCCCACGGCAGCAGCTGCCGCCCAGTGTCCACCTACAGCTCCTGGGGAAAACGGGTGCCCCTTTCCTTCTGAATTTTAAAGTTCAGCACTGAACTGTATTAAGTTAAACTTAAAGGCCACGGGTGGGGGGCTTTGGGGACGGTACCGGCCGCGCGGGGTCAAGGCCGACACGAGGAGAATTCGCGCTCCTTGGGCACAATCCCAGGGCTGCTGGGAACTCGGGCGACGGGGTCTCTCGCGGGCGCCTCGCAGACTCAGCTTGAAGACTTCAATCTAGGTCTTTTCCTTTATTCCCTTCAGTAGGAAAAGTTCCCAGGGGACGATAAGCATCTCCACTCTGGGCACGGAGCGCCCTTTTCCTCCTACCTGAACTCAGCCAACCTGGCCTGGCTCCACGGCTCTGGACATGGCCCGGGGAGCTGGCACCCGCGAACTCGCGGCGAGGGGCTTCGGCTTACCCAGCAGCGACTCCAAGAGGATTTCTCTCCACAGCGAGGGCATCGCCGCGGCGAGGGGCAGCGCTTTCCAGGAAAGCCGTGCGGGTCGGGCCCGCTGCCCTAGCCCTGCGCCCCCAGGTTCCCGCCGCCGCGTCCTCCCGGGCCTGCGTCCGCGCCCCTCGTTCCCGCGTCCCGTTGCCAAGTGAGCCCCAGCCAACTGACCCACTTGCCGAACCGAGGCAGTGTGGGGCCGGTCCGCCCGCCCCTTCACGACCACACCCAGCCTCGCCTGCCAGAGCCTGGCCAGGCCGGGCGCCACCTGTGCGCGTTGCGCCGCCTCCGGCGCCTCTGGTCCCCGCCTTTGCCTCCTTGGCGCGAGCCCCAGCGGCACCCTTGGCCGGTGCAGGGGACATGCGTCTCGGCTCTGACTCTGCTATTGGGCCCGAACCCGAAGCAACCCCGGGGATGCAGCGCTGCCAGAGCCCAGGAGGGAGCGAACAAGTGCAACTCCGGACCAGTGGTGCCCTCGTTTAGACTAGGCCCACGGGGTGCTCTGCGAGGAGAAGGCAGAGAGGAAGGACCGCTGGAGACCCAGATGGGGACCCTGGAGGAGCAGGTCCTGTGCACCAGCTCCAGCGCCCTGGAAGCCTTAGGGGACCACGGGGCGCGAACCCGACTGTGGCGATCTTCAGGCCAGGGCGACGCATCGGAAGCGTGCCGGCAGGGCCAGGGCCACTGCTGGGCCACTCTCAGCTTTGATAGTAAAAGTGCAATTTGTTAATTGCCTCCTAGCAAAGGGGCCCAAAATTCCAGCGGCTGCAAGATATTCTCAGGGGAGAGAAAGTAACTGATGCGAGTGGAAACCCGGCCCTCCCCTAGTTTATGAATAATGATATTTGAGAGTGCTTATCCCTAAAAAGAAGGTGGGAGACGTTCTGATTAATGTGGAGAGTGAACTAGGCCAGCTATTTCTCGCTCAAATGTATCACACTCCTGGATGTCTTGAACTTGTTTAAGAACCCCTGAAAGCAATTTATTTTAATGCACTTTAATTTCTTAAGGAGAGCTTATTATTTATCAGTTCCAGAAAGTTTGCTCTGAAATTAAACAATGATGGCATGCCCAAAAAGTATTAGAATCACATTAGCAGCAATCATTGCTATTAAGTCCATAGGAGTATTGAGCAAAGAGTTTTTTTCTGTTTTGTTGTGTTTGAGACGGAGTCCTGCTCTGTAGCCCAGGCTGGAGGGCGGTGGCATAATCTCGGCTCACTGCAACCTCCGCCTCCTGGGTTCAAGCGATTCTCCTGCCTCAGCCTCTCGCGCAGCTGGGACTACAGGCACGTGCCACCACACCCAGGTAATTTTTGTATTTTTAGTAAAGACGGGGTTTCACCATATTGGCCAGGCTGGTCTCAAACTCCTGACCTCATGATCCGCCCTCCTCGGCCGCCCAAAGTGCTGGGATTACCAGCGTGAGCCACCGCGCCTGACCAAGTAAACAGTTCTTAATCGGTTAATTACTAGCTCTCTCAATCTCAAGGGTAGATACATAGATTAATGGAATAGAAGTGAGAGACTGGAGATAAAAACCCCCTTTTAGGGTCAAATGAGTTTCACAAACTTGCCAAGACAATTCCACAGGGAAGAGTCTTTTCAAAAAAATGATTCTATGAGTACTATCTGTATGCAAAAGAATAAAGTTGGATCCATATTTCACACCATATACAAATATGAACTCGAAATGGATCAAAGACCTAAATGTAAGAAATAAAACTGTAAAACTCTTGGAAGAAAACATCAAAGTAAATCTTCACGATCTTGAATTAGGCAATGGATTCCTATTATATATAAAACGCCAAAGCACAAGCAACAAAAGAAATAATAGGTAACTTGGACTTCATTAAAATTAAAAGCTTTTTGCTTCAAAAGACTCCATCAAGAAAGTGAAAAGACAATGTACACAATGAAGTTCTGGGATACAAGTGCAGAACGTGCAGGTTTGTTACATAGGTATACACATGCCATGGCGGTTTGCTGCACCCATCAACCTGTCATCTACATTAGGTATTTCTCTTAATGCTATCTCTCCCCTAGCCCCCAGCCCCCCTGCGACAGGCCCGGGTGTGTGATGTTCCCCTCCTTGTGGCCATGTGTTCTCATTGTTCAACTCCCACTTATGAGTGAGAAACATGAGGTGTTTGGTTTTCAGTTCTTGTGTTAGTTTGCTGAGAATGATGGTTTCCAGCTTCATTCATATCCCTGAAAAGGACATGAACTCATTCTTTTTCATGGCTGCATAGTATTCTACAGTGTATATGTGCCACATTTGCTTTAACCAGTCTATCATTGATGGACATTTGGGTTGTTCCAAGTCTTTGCTATTGTTAATAGTGCTGCAATAAACATATGTGTGCATGTGTCTTTATAGTAGAATGATTTATAGTCCTTTGGGTGTATACCCAGTAATGGGATTGCTGGGTCAAATGGTATTTCTGGTTCTAGATCCTTGTGAAACTGCCCCACTGTCTTCCACGATGGTTGAACTAATTTACACTGCCATCAACAGTGTAAAAGCATTCCTATTTGTCCACATCCTCTCCAGCATTTGTTGTTTCCTGACTTTTTAATGATCACCATTCTAACTGCTGTGAGATGGTATCTCATTGTGGTTTTGATTTGAATTGGGAGAGAATATTTTAAATCACATCTGTCCCACCACATTTACTTTGATCTCTATTTGCAGTAGGGCATTATTGGCGTTCTCCCTTGATCTATTGAAAATGTCTCCCAGTGTTCAGAAGTCCCTGGATAATTTTGTTTAAAAAAATGTAATTTTAGAAATGTTAGAATTTATGGTGGCATTGATTGCTTTTTTAATGAGAAAACAAAGAGGAAGAATCAGATCATCTCTTCTTACCCTTCTATTATATCTCTGACTTCTTGGGATCCTGCACATATCTGAAGGTCTCTTAGAAAACATTCTAGCTATTAGGTACCACTTTCCTCAGTATACAATTTTACACATTTGCCAGACATCTCAAGTCACACTGGAACGTCGTCTCAAATGCATCATTCTTCTAATATCAGGTTGGAAAATTTGTAGCACATGGGAAGGCCCACAGTGCTCTCTGACCCAGCACATTGCAGATATACACAGCCACAGCTCTCTTCCCTGCTTGCCTCAGAGTTGACCTCAAAATCTTCTCAGAAATAATGACTGGATAAACAAAATGTTGTATGCCCATTCGATGGAATATTATTCAGCCGTAAAAAGGAGCAAAGTACTGATCTATGCTATAACATATAGAATATATGTTATATATTATCTTGAATACATTACGCTAAGTCAAAGAAGCCAAACTCCAAAGGTTGCCTGTTGTATCACTCCATCTATGTGAAATGTCTCGAATAGGTAAACCCATAGAGGCAGAAAGAGCATTGGCAGTCACCAGGGGGTCAGGGGAAGGAGGAATGAAAAGTGACTGCTTAAGGGGTTTCTTTTTGGGAGTGATGAGATGTGCTGGAATTAGATTGTGGTGATAGATGCATCATTCTAGGAATATGCCAAAGCCATTCCATCGTACACTTTTAAAGGGTGGCCCGGGCGTGGTGGCTCACTCCTGTAATCCCAGCATTTGGGGAGGTCGAGGCAGGCGGATCATTTGAGGTCAGGAGTTCCAGACCAGCCTGACCAACATAGTAAAATCCCGTCTCTACTAAAATACAAAAAAAAATTAGCCCAGCATGGTGGCTGGCGAGTGTAATCTCAGCTACTCGGAAGGCTGAGGCGGAAGAATTGCTTGAACCCAGGAGGCGGAGGTTGCAGTCATCCGAGATCGTGCCACTGCACTCCAGCCTGATCAACAGAGCGAGACTCTGTGTCAAAAATAAATAAATAAACAAAAATAAAAATAAAAGAGTGAATTTTATGGGATGTCAATTTTTAAAGGAAGAAACAATTGTTCATAGCGGCATTATTTATAATAGTCAAAAAATGGAAACAACCTGAATGTGCATCAACTGGTTGATAAATAAACAAAATGTGGAATATCCATGGAGTCGAATATGATTCAGCAATGAAAGGAATGAAGTACTGCTATATACGCTGACATGGATGAACCTTGAAAACATTGTGCTAAGTGAAAGAAACTACCTATTGTATGATTCTATTTCTATGAAATGTTCGGAACAGACAAATTGATAGTGATGGAGGGTAGATTAGTGGTTGCTTAGGGCTGTGGGGACATGTGGGATAGGAAAGGCGACTAATGAGTACAGAGTTTCTTTTAGAGGGAGATGAAAATGTTCTAAAATTAGATCATGACAATGGTCGCACAATGGTTGCACAACTCTGTCAATACATGAAAAACTTTGTGTTGCACATGTTAAATAGTGTTTGAATTATATCTCAATATGGCTATTTTTAAATGCAATTCATTCCAGTTAAATAGTATTCAAATGCTTTGGTTGGGATTTCAGTCATTTAGTGTCAAGTATTCCCCAACATGTGAAGGACTTCAGTGACTACAGACATCAGACACTGCATTTTCCTTCTTTGTTGCCCTTTGTTTATTTTCCATGCACGTATAGAAAGCATCTAGCTCAGTGCTGTGTGTGCCTAGCAGGTGCCTTGTAAAATGTGTTCCTTTACAAAGCTGAGTGCTAGGAAAAACTTTACTTCTACTAAGGATGCAATGTGCCTTCTCCTCCACCAAGAGCTCAATTTTTGGTTTTAGTGTTGTTGGTTTTATTTATTGCCTCATTAACCATTTGATCACAGCTAACCATAAGGAAGTCTGGAAAATGCAGTCTAGCTGTGGTCCCAGAAAGAGAAAGAAATCAAGTTTTAGTGAGCAGCTATCTATCTCCGCTACAAGAACTGCTTTATATATAGGATTGTTTTAAAATTTATTTATTTATTTATTTATTTATTTATTTTGAGATGGACTTTTGCTCTTGTTGCCCAGGCTGGAGTGCAGTGGCTCCCTCCGCCTCCTGGGTTCAAATGATTCTCCTGCCTCAGCCTTCCGAGTAGCTGAGTAGCGCCCGCCACCACACCCAGCTAATTTTTGTATTTTTACTAGAGATGAGGTTTCACCATGTTGGTCAGGCTGGTCTTGAACTCCTGACCTCAGGTGATCCACCTGCCTCTGCCTCCTGAAGTGCTGCGATTATAGGCGTGAGCCACACCAGACAAAGTTTTAAGGCACTCAGCACAGCACCTTTGGTACTCACAGTATTCAGGAAATAGTACTTGTATTATTACAAGTATGCCCCCACCCCTAATGTTTTGCCTTGTGACAAGTACATGGTAGGTCTTCAAAACACAACTGGTAATTATATCAACAGCATCTCCATCCTGCACTCACTTTAATTGCCTTTTCTAGCTTTCTACAACTCATTCTGGCTTTTTTCCAACTGCGGAGACAAGAATGGCACTGAGTATGCCAGGAAAAATTTCGTCAGAGGACCCTCCACCCTTCTACAAAGGAATCAAGATGTTTCTGCTGTGTTTGCAATCATTGTTCAGATTTGACAGTTTGTCCCTCAGTGGCACATTATGGGAAAGTTTGTCATGATTTCTAGCACTTTCCTATGTAATTTTTAAGTATAGTTTGAATTATTGTTCCTATAACAGGTTAAATATGAAGCTGCTTTTTAATTTCATTCCTAAATATCATAAGTCAAATAGGATACTCATAAAGTCGAATAGAATATTCATATAAACTTCTTGCTCTCCATTACGTTTCACTGCTATTTAACTACTAATGTTATATATTAGTAGGCTGGAGTGCAGTGGCATGATCTTGGCTCACTGAAACCTCCGCCTTCCAGGTTCAAGCAATTCTTGTGCCTCAGCCCCCCGAGTAGCTGGGATTACAGGCACATACCACCATCCCCAGCTAATTTTTGTATTTTTAGTAGAGATGGGGTTTCACCATGTTGGCCAGGCTGATCTCGAACTCTTTACCTCAAGTGATCTGCCTGCCTTGGCCTCCTAAAGTGCTGGGATTATAGGCATGAGCCACCATGCCCAGTCTGATATTATGTAATTATTACTCAGAACATCCAGGATATGAGTTATCATATGACTGATGAGATAATAGCATTATTCAGTTTGACTTGTCTTGTGAGTACATCCATTATACGTAAGTTTACTACTGCCACATCAATTTTCATATTTACGGTCTGCCTGGTTTTAATTTAATTTTGAAGGCCACTGTCTTTTCATTGTTGTTGGAATCTCTTCTTGGACTTCAAGTTACCATTTGCATACTTATTTTTTTTCTTTTTTTTTGAGACGGAGTCTCGCTTTGTCACCAGGCTGGAGTGCAATGGCATGATCTCAGCTCACCATTTGCATACTTATTTTACATGGAAATGAATGAAGTCCATTATGACACTGCCCACACCTTTTTCTTCCTTCCCTATTTCTTGGAGCGTGAACACATCAAGTTTACTCAGAGCATGTTGAGACTACTTTTCTTTTCATAAGAAGACAAGACACAATGCAAAGAAATGATAAACATTTGAGGTGACAGGTATACTAATTACCTTGATTTGATTATTATGCATTGTATACATGTATGGAAATATCACTCTTTATCCCATAAATATGTACAGTTATTACATGTCAGCTAAAAATAAAAGGGAAAAAATTGTTTAAAAAAATACAAGAATCGGCCAGGCATGGTGGCTCACGCCTGTAATCCCAGCACTTTGGGAGGCTGAGGCAGGCAGATCACTTGAAGTCAGTAGTTTGAGACCAGCCTGGGCAACATGGTGAAACCCCATCTCTACTAAAAATATAAAACTTAGCCAGGCGTGGTGATAGACGACTGTAGTCCCACCTACTCAGCAGGCTGAGGCACAAGAATCACTTGCACCAAGGAGGTGGAGGGTGCAGTGAGCCTAAATCACACCACTGCACTCTAGCCTAGGCGACAGAGCGAGATCCTGTCTCAAAAAAAAAAAAAAAAAAAAAAAAAAAAAAAAAAAAAAAAAAAAAAACCAGGACTCTCTACTAGTAGATAATCCCTTTTATCATATAATAAAGACCTTCTGTTCACCTAGAGAAAAATAGAAATCCTCTTCTTTTTTTTCTTTTTGAGACAGGTTCTCACTCTGTCGCCCAGAGTAGGGTGCGGTGGCATGGATCACAGCTCACTGCAGCCTGGAACTCCTGGGCTCAAGCAATCTGCCCCCCCGTCAGACTCCCAAGTAGCTGAGACTACAGACACGCATCACCACACTTGACTAATTTTTAAAAATTTTTGTAGAGACAGAGTCTCACTATGTCTCGAACTCCCGGGCTCAAGCAATCCTCCTGCCTTTGTCTCTTAAAGTGCTGGGATTGCAGACATGAGCCTCCATAGCTGGCTTCCTTTTCTTTAAAGAGGTAAGATAAGGAGAACCCCCTTAATACCAGTTCAGGCCCTCAATTATGCTCATTAATTTTAAAAACACCTCTGCCACTTTAGGAAAAGCTAAGTTCATATTAATTTAATTTTGAAGGCCACTGTCTTTTCATTGCTGTTGGAATCTCTTTTTGGACCTCAAGTTACCATTTGCATACTTATTTTTTTTTCTTTTTTTTAAGACGGAGTCTCGCTCTGTCGCCAGGCTGGAGTACAGTGGCACTTCATCTCCGCTGAAGCTAAGTTCAGTGACAAAGGTCTATTTCTCCCTTGTATCATGTCTATCGTGGGATGGCTGCAACTGCACTCCATCATGATCCAGGACTCTGGCTGAAGGGGCAGTCTCCACTTGCAGGTCTCATAGAAGACCACATCTCTTCCTCTCACACTCAGCAAACACAGTGGCCAAGACAACCTCAATGGGGCAGCATCTACGCAAAAGAGGCAGGAAGTGTTTTGAACAATAATGCAATCTATTGCAGCCCTCTTTTTTAATAAGAATGTATAGCTCTGTTCTTTTCATGTTAATTTGTAATTGATTAGTAGTTATTTAATGATCATCTTTGTTTTGGAGGTTTTTTTGAGTTAAAAACTATGTTCTACTAAATAAAAACCTCATGTTCGACTGAAGATTGTATTACAAAGCACACAGATTTCCATTTATAAATATCTGATCAGATACATATGAGGCTATAACAGAAATTATTTATTGTGACTATATCTAGTTCATTGCTTTTGCTAGTTTCTTTTCTTTTTCTTTTTCTTTTCTTTTTCTTTTTTTGAGACAGTCTCCCTCTGTCTCCCAGGCTGGAGTACAATGGTGTGATCTCAGCTCAATACAGCCTCGACCTCCAGGGCTCAAGCAATAATGATCATCTTTTCTAACCTGCTTTTTTTTTTTTGTCTAATACATTAAGAATATTTTTTCATGTCAATAAATATTCTTCTGCAATGTGACTTTAAAAACAATTTGTTTTTAGAGACAGGGTCTCACTCTGGGGCCTTGGCTGGAGTGCAGTGGCATGATCATAGCTCACTGCAGCCTCAAACTCCTGGACTCAAGCAATCCAAGTAGGCATGCACATCCATGCCTGGCTAACTTTTTAAATTTCTGTAGAGACAAGGTCTCACTATGTTGCCCGGGCTGATCTCAATTCCTAGGTTCAAGCAATCCTCCTACCTTGGCTTCCCAAAGTGTTGGGATTACAGGCATGAGACACTGTACCCAGCTGCAACGTGACTTATAAATATTAATAGTAATATTATTTCATAACATGATTACATAATTTACTTAACCATTCCCATTTTGAAGGCTATTTAGGTTGTTTTGTTTATGGGAATAGTCAAACAGACTCCCCACCTAGAAAACATGAACACTTTTTTTTTTTGCCACGTAGTTTATTTTAAATAGAGAGTTTACATTGTCTCCAACAAAAAGTAATGATATTCTCTACGGAGCTGATGGTCCTTGGTTCTATTTTAGCTAGAATCTCCAGGGCACTGGGTTTTGCTTAAGATCAGCAGACTCAGACCCCAGGTGTTTTCCGAGTTTACTCACCCAGTGCTGTCTGAGTTTACATTACTTATGCCTGTAATCTCAGCACTTTGGGAGGCTGAGGTGAGTGGGTCACTTGAAGCCAAGAGTTTAAAGACAAGCCTGGCCAACATGGTGAAACCCCCATCTCTACTAAACATACAAAAATTAGTCAGGTGACTCATGCCTATAATCCCAGCTACTCGGGAGGCTGAGGCAGGAGAATCGCTTGAACCCAGGAGGCAGAGGTTGCTGTGAGCCAAGAACATGCTACTGCACTCCAGCCTGGGTGATAAAATGAGACTCTGTCTCAAAAAAAAAAAAAAAAAAGCCGAGCGTGATGGCTCATGCCTGTAATCCCAGCACTTTGGGAGGCCAAGGTGGGCAGATCACAAAGTCAGGAGCTCAAGATAAGCCTGGCCAACATGGTGAAACCCCGTCTCTACTAAAAATACAAAAATTAGCCAGGTGCGGTGGCGGGTGCCTGTCATCCCAGCTACTCAGGGGGCTGAGGCAGGAGAATCGCTTGAACTCAGGAGGTGAAGGTTGCAGTGAGCCAAGATTGCGCCATTGCACACCAGCCTGGCAACAGAGCAAGACTCCGTTTAAAAATAAAAAATAAAAAAAAATCAGCAGACTTCCACTCTGACTCTAAAGAAACGACGGCGTGCACTTTGTCCGCCTCTCTCCACTGAGACAGGTGGGTTTCTTTCCTTGAATGGAAAGAAAGTGGAAGCCCCCTATGGCAGAGGAGGTTAACTATCAACCAAACATCGTGCTTATCCTCCATCATCTATAGAGTAGTTCCTGGAGAGGAACTGCCAGCCAGGGGCTGCATTTCTCAGCTCCCCTGGCATCTCCAGGGTTTTGTGTGATTAGTTCTCACCAACTGAATGTGGCCAGAGTCACTGAGTTGTGTCACTTCCAGAGAAGAAGATTTAAAAGTGGTTTTTTTCACCCCTCTTTCCTCTTCTGCTTGTGATAATAAGGCCCTGGGGAAAGGCTGAGCCACAAGAGGAAGGGAGCCCTTGCTAGGAACACTGACTTTGAGCTGTTATGTGTGATTGTCTTAGACCACCGAAAAGACGGGGTTTACTTATTACAGAACTAGCATTGCCCAAACTGTGACACTCCCAGCCTCCTTTTTCCTCTGAGAGAGTTAAGAGGGTATAAAAATTAAAGGGAATCCCATTGAGCATTCATCCTATGCCCCTCTAGGCACCGGAAAAAGAGAAAGAGAATCAAGTTACAAAATGGGAGTTTAATGTTTCAACTAATTTCTCCTCTAGGAATTGTTATACTGCCTGAGATGATAATTTGTTCAGTAAACACCATCCAGGGCAATCAGTACAGGCAGGGATCCAGTCTTCCCCACCCCCAGAATGCTCTGTCGGATTTTTAAACAGAGATCGCATGTGAAATCACTACATTCTTTGAACTAGAAAAATGGGGAGGATTGACACAACTATGAAGAGTGGGACCTCGGAGATAAACCAACCTGTGTTTGAATCCCAGCTTTACCACTGACTAGCTTGCTCAAGGCTAAACTTCCAGGAACAATGGCCAAAAACCATGCTGCATAACTGATCTGAAAAGATCTCCACTGGCTGCACTGAACACCAGATTCCACAGTTGCCCCACTGCCATGTTGGTGCTAAGAATTCAACTACCCCGAAACTGTTCCAGCCACCAGCACCAAAGCCACCACTGACCCCCGACCTTGCCTTTTCAGCTACTGTTTCTGCCATCACTTCCAAAGAGGGTGGGTCAATATTGGTCTTTTAGGAAGCAGACTCCAAGGCTGGAATTAGAAGTGGAAGAGATTAAGAGGGAAATGCCCATGAAAGACAAAGAGGGAGGGAGCAAGAGTCGGAAGGGAGAACCTTCAGCTGTGATATGGATCTGGCACCTTAGAAAGGAGTAGGGGAAGGGGAGGACTGGGTAAGAAGAGACTCAGACGGTAGTGACCTCTGCAAACATCTCTGCCAGGCAGCAAGGGAGCCTATTAGAGTATCTGGCACTGGGGAGGAATGGCCCAGCTCCAGTATCCTCTCTGTGCCCTTTCATTGACTGGAGCTGCCTAGACAGAACAGAGACTCATAGAATGAATGCTGCAGCAGATGCCAAAGGCTGTCAGTTAATTACACTCTTCACAGCAGGTTATCTTGAAGGCATAGCTGAGTGGCACAGCAGCTCCATGCTGCCAAAGGAATGCTTGGCATCAATAGATCCTGAGTTGAAGTCTAACTGATAGAGATTAGACCATGTGTCCTTGCTGCAAGAAAGCCTGGAGAAACAAGTGACTGGCATTTTCAGCACCAAAGGAGAAAAGGTCAAAACAAATGAGTGTCCACTATAGCATGTAAATCACTGAGCCCCATACCTGGCATACAACAGACAACTGGATGAATGGAAGCTGCCATCCTCACTAACCACACTGAGAAAGTGATGGAAGGAGAATAGGTTGTTGCATCAGTCTCTCCTGGGTTCACATCTGGACTCCAGCCTTCCAAGTAAAATCAGAGAAGCTACTTAACCTTTCCGAGCCTCAGTTTCCTCATCTGTAAAGTCTCCTTTGCAGAATTGTGAGGATTTGAGCCATGCATCAAATGATTGACCCAGAGTATGCTCTGAGAAGATAACAGTACTAAAGTTACTTGGTGGTGAGCAGAGTATGGAGCACCAAGATTAGAATGAAAACTCTGTGGGGGTGAGTACTGCGCTGCACCACACTCATCTTTGATGGTTTGTTTTTTGGGGTTTTTTTTTTTTTGGTTTTTCTTTTTTTTTGGAGACCAAGTCCCATTCTGTCATCCAGGCTGCTGGAGTGCACTGGCACAATCTCGGCTCACTGCAATATCCACCTCCCGAGTTCAAGTGATTCTCCTGCCTCAGCCTCCTGAGTAGCTGGGACTACCGGTGCCCACCACCATGCCTGGCTAATCTTTTTGTATTTTTTTTAGTAGACATGGGGTTTCACCATGTTGGTCAGGTGGTTCTCAAACTCCTGACCTCAGATGATCCATCTGCCTCACCCTCCCAGAGTGCTGGGTATACAGGTGTGAGCCACTGTGCCTGGCTTCATCTTTGATGTTCGGATAATCAGTAGCAGAGCATGGCATATACCAGGTGCTCAGCAGATATTTGGTGGGTGCAAATGAATGAATGAGTGAACAAATGAACATTGTTTCTTATTGATAGATAACAAAGACAAAGCTGCATAAATCATTTTAGGCTGGGATTTTTGTTCTACAGACTGGTTCTTCCCAATAATACTCTCCCTTCCCCTTTATTTCTTTTTCTTGCATTCCATCCAATCACTTCAAGGAGCTTAAAGATTATATAGTCAAAAAGTTTATTTTATTTTGTTAAGTTATTATTTTTATCACAGTGAAATTTTTAATTTTATCAAAACAGTTCTAAGATTCACACAGTAAGGACAAAACTTCTTTCTCCTGGCCCTACCCATCCCATCCCTAATTCCTATTCGTCAGGGGCAAACATCTTCATAGCTATTTTTTCAGCGTTCACTTCCATATTGCTTTTTCTTGATTTTTAAATATTTTGACATCATTGTTTTTATTGTAGAAGATGAAGGGTTAAATCTCTTACAGTGCTTCTCCCCTAGAAACACATGCACACAGATACATAACATGCACGCATACCCCCCACATACACACACCTTCTCCCACTCAATATAGTTGTTTCAACTATTTCTCAAATTTTGATTAAATCAATAATGTGTTTATCATATTAAGATTGCATCACTGCTAATCATGCAGAACGCTTAATTATATTTTATTTCTCATCTAATTATTGTGTTCTCTTTCGTTTATAATTGATTTTTTGTTAATTTGTTTGTTTGTTTGTTTACTTAACTGTGACAATCACAAACTCATTCCCAAACTATCCTCCAGTCCTGTAAAACCTCAGGACCATCAAGACCATGAGGTATTCTATCAGCTCCCTTTTTCTCTGAAGTCATCCCTCCTGGTGTTCTCTGCTCTTCTGCTCCAATCTGGGCAATCTGCTTTCCAAGCTTGCTGCAGGGCTGTTGTCCTGAACTTCCCTTCAGCCTCATTGGAGACATTGCTTCATCTCTCTCCCATACTCGACTCCCTCTTTATAGGATCCTATGTCTTCCTCTTGACTGGTTTACTCCAGCAGCTTCCTGAGAAAGAGTGCATGGGAAGTAAGTTTTTTTTGAGGCCTTTCATGGCTGCAAATGTCATAATTCTACCCCATGCATGTTAGTACAATCCATTGAGATTGAAAAATTATTAGAATAGGAAACACCATATTGCAATTATTCATCCCCAGGTTTAGCCAAGTGTGAGAGGAATTCCAAAATAATAGTGACTTGAACGAAATTGAGATTTTATCTCTGTCACATAAAGGTTGCCATAAGTAATCCAGGGCTGGTGTGCTTGCTCCACAGGTGTCAAGAGCCTGGGCTCTTTCTATCCGGGTACTCACCATCCTCAACAGGCATCCTTCGTTTCATGGTTCAGGACAGCTGCTTCAGCTTCAAGCTTCACATTCTCAGTCTAACTTACAAGAATAAGAAAAAGGAAGGAGAAGGACAGGGGACCACCCTTTCAGGACATTCCCTAAAAGTTGCATACCTGACTTCTACTTCCAACCCATTGACCAGAATGCACTCATCTGACTGCATGAACAGTCCATCCTTATTTTACCCTTGTGTTTAACCTTAATTTCATGACACCTCCCACAGATTTTATTGTACCTATATGTCTGCATCATTACTATTATTAGATTTTAAGCATATGGTGTGACATAAACATGCCTCTTAATTTTTATTATATCTTCACTTAGTAACCCAGATGTTGGGTGCCACTAACCATTACTTCTGTTTTGTAGGCTATATGAAGTTTGAAGCACAATATTACCATACTTCCCCAGAAGAAACTTCACTCCACAAATCATTAATGATTTTTGAAGGTTGGCCTGATTGTCTTCCTGGGGAACTTTGTCCATATTGGTAATTTATTTATTTATTTATTTAGAGACAGGATTTCCCTTTGTCACTGAGGCTGGAGTACAGTGGCAAAATCTATAGCCCGCTGCAGCCTTGAACTCCTGGGCTCAGGCTCAAGTGATGCTCCCACCTCAGCCTCCCAAGTAGCTAGAACTACAGGTATGCACCACCACATCCAATTAATTTTTTAAAATTTTGTGTAGAGATGGGGTTTGTATTAGCCTGTTTTCACACTGCTATAAAGATGCTACCTGAGACTGGGTAATTTCTAAAGAAAGGAGGTTTAATTGACTCTCAGTTCCATTCTGCATGGCTGGGAGTCTTCAGGAAACTTACAATCATGATGGAAGGTGAAGGAGAAGCAAGGCACCTCTTACATGGCGGCAGGAGGAGCAGGGGGAAGCGCCACACTTTTAAACCATCAGATCTCATGAGAACCCACTCACTATCATGAAAACAACATGGGGGAACCACCCACATGATCCAATCACCTCCCACCAGGTTCCTCCCTTGACACATGGGGATTACCATTCAAGATGAGATTTGAGTGGGGCCACAGAGCCAAACCATATCAGGGCCTTGCTATGTTGCCCAAGCGGTGGTGTAATCATACCTCACTGTAACCTTGAATTCCTGGGGTCAAGTGACCCTCCCACCTCAGCCTCCCAAAGTGTGGGGATTACAGCCATAAGTCACCACACCTGGCCAATATTGGCAGCTTTAGGCTTCAGAACTGTTTTTATCTTTTTTGGTGAGGAGGTCATGTAATGTAAAGCAGGGGAGGTGTTTTGTGTTTCCCACCTTGCAGAGTAAGGTGGCTTGTATCAGAAGAAAATGAATTCTACATTAATAAAAGGGCAGAGAAGAAAGAAGTTCCTTGGATTAGATTGATTTAGTTATTCCAAAATGTATACATATATCAAAATATCGGCCTGGCATGGTGGCTCACACCTGTCATCCCAACACTTTGGGAGGCCATGGCGGGCAGATCACTTGAGGTCAGCAGTTCAAGACCAGCCTGGCCAACATGCTGAAATCTCATCTCTACTAAAAATACAAAAATTATCTGGGCATGGTGGCTTGCACCTGTAATCCCAGCTATTCAGAAAGCTGAGGCAGGAGAATTGCTTCAACCCAGGAGGTGGATGTTGCAGTGAGCGAGATCATACTGCTGCACTTCAGCCTGGACAACACAGCGAGACTCTGTCTCAAAAAAAAAAAAAAAGAAGAAGAAGAGAAAAAACTATCACGTGTGCACCACCAAAACTATACACAATTTTTACTTGTCAATTAAAAATAAAGGACCAGGCATGGTGGCTTATTCCTGTAATCTCAGTACTTTGAAGACCAAGGCAGGTGGATCACCTGATCCCAGGAATTCAAGACCAGCCGTCTCTACCAAAAATACAACAAATTAGCCAGGAGTAATGGTATGCACCTGTGGTCCCAGCCACTCAGGAGGCTGAGGTGGGAGGATTGCTTGAGCCTGGGAGGCTGAGGTTACAGTGAGTTGAGACTGCACCACTGCACTCCAACCTGAGTGAGAGAGTGATACCCCATCTCAGAAAAACAAAAATAAAAAATAAAGGAAAAGCAGGGAGGAAGAAGACTCTCGGCAGCATTTGAGCCCCTCATTCTGTTTTACGATCCAGCTGCATCTGTGCTCTTTCAATGGTTTGGTTGTTCAATAGTTCCATGGATCCTATTAGTCAATGTATGAGTCAGCGTTCTCCAGACCAGTAGAACCAATAGAATGTGTCTGTGAGTATGTGAGTGTCTGTGTGGTGGGAGAGGGGGGTGGAGAGAGAGATTTATTATGTGAAATTGGCTCATATGATTATGGAAGCTGAGAAGCCCCAAGATCTGCAGTTGCTAAGCTGGAGATCCAGAAGAGCCAATGGTGTAAGTCCAGTCCAAGAGCCAGGAGGCTCAAGACCCAAGACGACCAGATGTTTTGGTTTGAGTCAGAAGACAGAAAAAGACTGACTGCCAGCTCAAAGTGGTCAGGCAGGAAGAGTTCCTTTTTTTATCTGGGGGAGGGCCAGCCTTTTTGTTCTATTCAGGCCTTCAACTGGTTGGAAGAGGATAACTCACATTTGGGAGGGCAATCTGCTTTACTCAGTCTACTGATTCAGATGTTAGTCTCACCCAAAATCACTCTCACACACAAACCCAGAAATAATATGTAACCAAATATCTGGGCACCCCAAGGCCCAGTTGACATATAAAATTACCATTACAGTCAGAAAATTCTCCCTTTTGTCCAAGACTGTTTAGTCTGGGTTTTAGTCACTTGAAAACAAAGTAATCCTTGCAGCCAGGTGTGGTAGCTCAAACCTGTAATCCCAGCACTTTGGGAGGCCTAGGTTGGAGTACTGCCTGAGCCCAGGAGTTCAGGACCAGCCTGGATAACATAGTGAGACCTTATCTCTAAAAAAAATAAATAAATTAAATAAATTAAAATAATAATAATAATCCTGACATTCATATTCAAAGTCACTTATTGTATTTGCAACAGAGCTTTCTCATTGTGCACATGGCTAGTTTCCCATGCATGTATGTGTTGCAGGGGGTGATGAGGGCAGAGGATGGGAGGGTAGGGGAGGTTAGAGAGTGATGACAAAAGGGTATGGAGTTTCTTTGGAGGATGATGAAAATGTTCCAAAAGTGATGATGAATATACAACTCTGTGGATATATGAAAAGCCATTTGTCCTGCAGCAGATATAACACAGGCTCCTAAAAAAGGAGCAGTGATGGCAATTAATATCCCCACAGAGGACCAGACAAGCCATGTGCCTGTAGCAGCAGAGCCAGAAGTGCCAACCAAATTTATCCCTGTGGCCAGGGCCAAGAGGGTTTCTCAATGAGATTAAAGGGCATCAATCACTTTGGTGCCCCCAAAGTAAAAAGGTCTGCCTGAACAAACATTTTCAATGTAGTAAAAATAAAATAAAAAAGTTTTAAGAAACATTGAGTTCATATCCTAACATGAACATTAGGTTTTCTTTCACTTAGACTTATCATCAAGAGCACCATCCTAGCAGATTCTTTTTAAGGTTTACTTAGAAGGCATGTCTAGGAAATCAAAAATCTATATTTAAAAAAAAATGTATGGATCATTCAGCAGTTTCTTGGATATATACATTTTTACGTAGTCATCCTCTGAACATTAACTGTGAGCCCTCTGTGGGTGAGGGGCCATCATCATCCCTGAGTGCATAGAGATGAGCAAGACATAGTCCCAGCCAGGAGGAGCTCATGGCCCAGAAGTGGAGTCAGCTCAGGTGATCACAGTCCAGCAGGATAAGAGCTGCCTTTGGAAGGGGTTGGGGGCATGATCTGAGGATCTGAGGGCATGAAGGAGAGAGTCACCTGGGGGCCCCAGAAGCAGAGCTGCGATGGTCTAGTTATGAATGGCATATTGTGATGCTCATTTACCTTCCTGAGCCTCCATTTTCCCACCAGCAAAGTGAAGCCAATTAAAGAATGATTGCGTCAGTGCACTAACTGGTCTGACTTGAAAGAAACCACAGATCAAATGCAACTTACATCATGCTGTGAGTTAGCTCCCTTGGAAAACTGTGACTCAATGTATAAATTTCTAGAAGGAGTTACCTAAATACAAGAATTCCATTAGTATTATCAAATTTCTCATTCGTTTCTTCATTCAATAAACATTTCTTGAGCATCTACTACCCATGCTTCTGAAACTGAAATACACGACAGGGGTAGGTGGCAGTGTATCAAATGGTATAGACTCAGCAATTCAACATTGCAGATCTGCTTGGAGCATTAGGTTTATTCAGGGTAAGCAATTCATAACATTTTTATATTAAAACAAGCATGGATATACTACAGAGAAGAATGCAAAATGCATATGAAGTTTTAGGATAAAGCATTTTGAGTTCATAGTAGACTTCTCTGATATGTGTCTTACAGAATTTGGGGTGAAACTTGTGCATTCTCTGTTGCTATTAATTAAATATCAGTTGTTAAGTATCTTAAAAGATGCAAAACATACATCCCTCCAAAAGTGTATAATCTGAGCTGAAACAGGATATCTAAAACTATAAATCAAATAGATACCCATATGTGTCTTTTGAGAAGTATGAGATTGCTTCTGTGTCTGTGAGGTCATTTTATATCAGACGCCTGATGGGACAGAACTATGAAAAACCAATTCAGGGGCCCCACCAGAGAGAATCTGGAGAAGAAAATGAAATTCATCTGGTTACTCATTAAAGAAACAGATTCAAGAATAGCAGAAGAAGGGTCCCTGTAAAGTAAAAGCTCACATCCACTCAGGCAGTCAAGGCAGATGGCTTGGACGGATGGAGAGGATCACAAACGGCAGGGATTGGGAGAAGCCCATTCCAGCTGAACAGAGTGACACCGAGAAAAGGAACAAAGTAAAGCAAAGAAAAGTTGTATTTGGGGTTCAAGGATTAATCAGTTGGTCTAAATCAGAAGTTTGACCAAGCATGCCAGCACAGCCTAATGAAGGGACCTTGAAACCAAGGGCAAAGAATGTGAAATGCACCTGCCATTTAGCACATGCTCAAATGGAGTTTGCTGAATTAAATGAGCAGGACCAGGCTGATGAGATAATGCACCCCACTGAGCCCTGGCAGGTTACAACCAGTTAGCACCAGAGTCTGCCTTGAAGAGTTTCCAGCCTGCTTGCTCCTCCCTTTCCCTCACCTCCCTGTCTAGTCTCTCCCATTCCAACACACATACAGAAAAAAAAAAATGTTGCAATACCACTCTCAACATTAGCTTCAATATACATAGTTAAGTCCACAAGTAGTCCTGTGTGATGGCTCATCCAGAGGGTGGAGTAACTTGTGCTGGGTGAATAAAGGGGTAGAGAATTGTGACTGCCCAATTTTGGGTGTGCGCTATCCTTGCAAGTTTGTCATTTTGGGGTCTTCATAGTTGCCAGATTGTCCATTCACCTTGCAAAGGAACTATGTCTTGACTAATTTAGTTTCCTGTGGCTAGCACATAGTGTGGAGGTTTGAGAGAGTCAATATACATAACAGCCTTCTTCCCCACTCAATCTCTGAACCAACTGAAAGGTATAAAGGAATCAAGCAGATAAAGATGTAAAAATCAGCAGCTTGACTGCTCATAAAAGCTGAAAGGGAGCATGTGGCTTAGGTATGCAACAACAATGGGTGTCCTGATAACTGAACCCAAGAATTAGGCAGACTCACCCACACAGCCACAGGCAGCCCTAGAAAAAGCACAGGTCTCACCCACAGATGCAGAGCCTGTATTTCATAACCAACTGCAGAACAGAGTGTGTGCTCTGGGGCAGGCCAATCCCAAAAACAGAAAGGGAGGGGAAAAGCCTGAATGAAGCAGGCCAGCAACTTATTCCCAAACCACCAGTACCTCCTGAGGGAGACTTAAGCCAGTTGGTAAGGATAGGCCATAAGTGTTACCCTAGTAAGTGTCCTTAGGGTCTAAGAGTTTCCCCCAATATGTGGCATCACTAGCCATGCATCTGCTTGGTTGTCTATGTAATGGGGAACTTACTAAGGCCAACTTCAAACAAGGGACCTATTCAGAGAAGGTGTTCAGTTATTCCAGCTGGTCTCCTCTCTGCAGATGGAAGCTGCAGCACATCTTCTTGTCCCAGGAAGAATCATTTGATCAGCCCCTCTTGGTTTTGAAGTGTATTGTCCAGGAGGCATTGGAGGATGATAAAGGGTGTACAAAAGAATCCCTGTTCATCTTGGAGATCTCTGGAATGCAAAGCAGGTCACTGGGGAGGGATGGTGTCAATTTGTATAAGGGCCTTTGGGGAAAGAAAGAATGGGGCCCAACACCTGCTTTCACAGATCTGAAAACTTAGAAACTGGCTGGTTGCAATACTATGGTGACAATAGCGTCAATCTTCCCCAAGAAACAATAAAACTTTGAAATACAAAGTAGATTATAGCAAAAGACTTTTATCTTTTATTTATTTTTAAAAACACACATTTCCTAGAAGGTGCCAAATTTTCAACAACAGAAAAGAAAGTCTACTGATTCAAAGGATGCTTTTGCCAAGTACTGTATATGTATACCTATACATATATTAATTTGACAATACTGAATCTGTGGTAATCACCACAAATAGGACTATATGAAAATTGCATAGTATAATAGACGTATGTGAGGTTTTAGGCCAATTAATAATATGCATGACATAGTGACTAGTTCAAACATTTAGTCTATTTACTAAAACCAAAATATTCCAACCTAGTAGCACACTTATAAAAGATAATTACACTAATTACAAGTAATTACTGCAAGTTCATTTTTAAATTTTAAAGAGGCTTGATGTGCTGTCTTCTTGGAAACAGCCTAGTGTGTATTCTACATGCATATTAAGTTCATAGAGTTTGTTGATGAAAAATGTCAAACTCTGTAAAATATTTGAAGAGATTTATACTGAGCCAAATGTGAGTGACCTGTGACACACCCCTCAGCAGCTCCTGAGAACATGTGCTCAAGGTGATCAGGCTACAATTTGGCTTGATACATTTTAGGGAGGCAAATGACATCAATCAATACAAGTAAGATATACGTTGGTTTGTTCAGGAAAGGCAGGGCAACTAGAAGCAGAGGGGCTTCCACATCACAGGTAGGTTCAAACATTTTCTCATTAGCAATTTGCCGAAAGATTTGTTAAGTTACTGTCTAAAGACTTGGAATCGATAGAAAGGAATGTCTGGGTTAAGATAAGGGGTTGTGGAGACCACGGTTTTATCATGTAGGGGAAGCCTCCAGGTAGCAAGCTTCAGAGAATAGATTGTAAATGTTTCTTACCAGACTTAAAGAGTCTGTTCTATCAGTACTTCTAAAAACTGAGGCAGGTATAATGAGGCATGTCTGGCTTCCCCTTCCCATCATGGCCTGAACTAGTTTTTCAGGTTAACTTTGGAATGCTCTTGGCCCAGAGGATGGGTGAATTAAAATGGTTGGGGAGACTTAGAATTTTATTTTTGGTTTACAAGATTTAGAGTTAGAAGGGATCTTAGAAATTAACTACTTATTTCCTTGGGTAGATACACCAGTCCTCTGATTTTATAAATTAGTATGTGATTTACCCAAGGTCAAGTTATTCCAGGAACAAAACCAGACCAGTCTTTTGTTTTCTAGTTTGTACCTTAAAAAGTATATTTTTAAAAAATCTAGTTCTGAATTTTTCTATTTTAGACTGACTTTCCATCCACCTGATCTAAATGAATTTTTTTGTGCAGACAAGAACAACAGAATGGAACCAGTAAGTCATACAAAATTGTCCTCAAACTCTGGCACTTCCTGGGGAACAGAAGAATTACAGGGAGATGTGGCAGGTTTCCTATGGAGCTAATGACCCTTTCAAGGGGTCCCAGCAATGTGCTCACCTGGTCATATGTTTACATAAAATTTTCAAAAGTAAGATATTTTAACCACAACTGGTTCAGACAACTGTCTCCTTTCACTAGAACTTCCTGTCTGTCACATTTGCCTGATGTCTCTGGCATTAGAATGGCTGCAAGCAGTTTTGGGATCCTGCTAAGGAGAAACTGACCGGGGAATGTGCCATTTTAGCAGAAATTTGGAAAGTTGCTTTGGAAAGTTCCAGTAAACCAAGTGAAAAGTGACAGACATCATTTGACTTATTATTTATTTATTTATTTATTTATTGGTTTTGGGGTTTTTTAATTGTGTTTTGTTTTGTTTTAGAGACAGGGTCTTGCTGTCACCCAGGCTGGAGTGCCCTAGAGCAATCACAGCTCATTGCAGTCTCAAACTCCTGGGCTCAAGCAACCTGCCCACTGCAGCTTCCCAAGCTAGTACTACAGGCACGTGCCACCATGCCTGGCTTTTTATTTTTTGTAGAGGTGTGGCCTCACTGTGTTACCCAGGTTGGTCTCAAACTCCTTGCCTAAAGCAATCCTCCTGCCTCAACCTCCCAAAGTGCTAGGATTATAGGCATGAGCCACCATGCCCAACTTTGTCATATACTTATTAAAGAACTGGAAGAAAATTCAGGGGAAAAAATGGAATGTGAAGCAAAAGTGGCTACAATAAAGAATGGAATCAAGAGAAAGTCTAACATTGAGAAGGAAATTATGACCAAAAATTTCAGATCATAGCACAGAGGAGGAGATACATTTCAAATAGAAGTAATAAATAGGTTTTTGGGTTGTTTGATAATCCCGTTAATGAAAAAGAGCAAACAATGTGAACACACAGGGAAAATATTTAAATTTCTTGCTAATTTGACATGACACTGCCATCTTAAAAGATAGAAATCACAGTATTCCGCTACAAGGAGGATGGAAAAACAAACTGGGAAATGAATGCTGTCAATGCAAACAGTATTCAATATTAGACACTGCACAAGAAAACTGGAAAATGTCCTCAGATCTTACGGCCCATAAGTGAATTACAGAGAGTTCCCCAAATTTGACCACAAGCCTCAGAATGTACATGACATTACCTGTGAATTGTGAAGCTCAAGGAAACTCTTCTCAACTGTCAACAGTAAACAAATTTTGATGAACCATGATAGAGGAAAAGCCAAATGATCTTTCTATTCTCACTGTAAAAAATATTGCCTGGCTGGATGTGGTGGCTCACATCTGTAATCCCAGCACTTTGGGAGGCTGAGGTGGGCAGATCACTTGAGGTCTGGAGTTTGAGACCAGCCTGGCCTCAAACTCATGGTGAAACCCCTTCTCTACTAAAAATACAAAAAATTAGCCAGGCGTGATGGCGTGTGCCTGGAGTCCCAGCTACTCAAAAGGCTGAGGAGGAATCACTTGAACCCAGGAGGCAGAGGTTGCAGTGAGCCAAGATCACGCCATTGCACTCCAGCCTGGGCTACAGAGTGAGACTCCAGTCTCAAAATAAATTGCAAAATCATTTTTATGAAGAGACAAAGAATTTTTTTAACTTTAGAGGAAAGATGTATGTGAGACAGTTAATCTACAAAACATTTATTTTTCTGTCTTGTGTGGTGTGCATAGTAATTGTCACCTTTTTGAAATTTGCAACTTGTTGCAATTTTGTTTCTCATTCTAAAATACGTATTCTCTTCCATACTTGATATTATATTTGTAATTTTATGTTTTTTCATTTTAAAGAGGAGTCCTAAAATGGAATATGCTACAGTTCCCACAAAAACTTGGACCTGCCTCTGGATGTAAGTTAAAAGGCAATGTATTTACTTAATAGGAAGAAATTGGGGCCTCTTTCTGCAACCTCGAGGAGGCGCTCATTCAGATGCTGACCAGTATGGCCACCAGAACGTTAGTTATACTGCACCATGACCAGCAGGTGGCAGTGAGGTAGAGCAATTCAAAATAATGCCTACGTTTGCCATTAAAAATACCAGCAAGATAAAATATTATTTTTGTATACTGCCTGGTACCAGATGTTTCACTTTGGTGCTTTGGATTATTTTAGAAGAATGTTATAAGAAAGATATGAACCATAAATATAGCTTCCCTATAGAGCTGAAATGTACCAAAGGAGTTTTACATTTAATAGTACATCAATCTTTACCCATATTTTAATTACTTGGTTTTACTACTGTAAACTAAAAATAAAATTCTAAGCCCCCCCCCCCAACCCCCATTCATCTGAAGGGACCTCTCCTCTCAGCCAACGGCATTCCAAAGTTAACCTGAAAAACTAGTTCAGGGCCAGGTGCGCTCATGCCTGTAATCCTGGCACTTTGGGAGGCCAAGATGGGTTCTTGGTTAGGAGTCTGATACCAGCCTAGCCAACAAAGTAAAACTCCATCTTTACCAAAAATACAAAAACTAGCGAGGCCTGGTGGTGCACACCTGTAGTCCCAGCGACTGGAAAGGCTGAGGCAGGAGAATAACCAGGGAGGTCGAGGCTGCAGTGAGCTGAGCTCGTACCACTGCACTCCAGCCTGGGCAACAGAGTTAGACTCCATCTCGAAAAAAAAAAAAAAATACCCTAGTTCAGGTCATGATGGAAGGGGGAGTCAGACATTCCTCATTATACCCCTTCCCTTCAGAATTCAGGCACTACTGACCAGCATGAACATTAAAACAGAAATCTTAAGACTTTTTGTAGCAATAAGACACCAAATTCCAGCCTGACTCAAGTATAGATACATGACAGATAGCAGGCCCTGAAAGAAATCAAAGTATTTTACCCTAATATATATTTCTTTGACATAGTTTGAAATGGTCCTGCAAAGCTGTATCTTATGGGGAAAATCTACATTCTGTAGAGAATCCCTTTCCCTTTCCAGGTACTTTCCCTGATCCAAGAGAGAATTAATTAAGACTCTGTTATCTTTTTAAGTCTGATAAGAAACATTTACAATCTATTCTCTCTGAAGCCTGCTACCTAGAAGATTCATCTGCATAATAAGAACCTTGGTCTTCACAACCCCTTGTCTTAACCCAGACACTCTTTTCTATGGATTCTAGGTCTTTAGATAAACTCTTTAAAGCAATTACCAATCAGAAAGTCTTTGAATCAATCTATGACCTAAAAGCACCCCCACCCCCCAACTTCCAGTTGTGACCAAGCCAATGTACATCTGACATGTATTGATTGATATCTTATATCCCCCTAAAATGTATAAAATGAAGCTGTAACCTGACCACCTTAGGCACATGTCATCAGGGCTCCTGAGGCTGGGTCATGGGCACATCCTTAACCTTGGCAAAATAAACTTCTGATACAGGAGATAGAAAGAAATTATTTAGGCGATAGTGAGGGTAAAAGAGTCCTTGATGGAATTTCCCTTTTAACAAAAAGCAGCCCCAAAATTATTCTTTTCTAACAAAGAGCAGCCTGAAAAATCAAGCTGCAGACATAGATAAGCAAGCTGGAAGTTTGCACAGGTGAATGCCAGCAGCTGTTCCAATAGAAAAGGGCTACCCAAGGGCCAGGTATATTCAACACAGAGGCTCCATCTCCCCTTTTTTATTTCACCATGTGTACAGTAAAGAAACAGGCAACATGGCCAGGCAGAGAACCCATCTGCAAAATACAAGATTAGGGTAGGGGCAGCCAGATTTTCGTGTGCTATGCAAATGGCACACAGGCCTAACCAGTTTTTTGTGCCTTATGCAAATGGCACACCTGGTCCAACCAATATTTCGTGCCCTATGTAAATCAGACATCGCCTCCTCAAGCTCATCTATAAAACCCCTCAAATTTCACTGCAGACCAGAAAACCCACTTGGGACCTCTCTCTCTGCAGGACAGAGCTCCTCTCTTTCTTTCACCTATTAAACCTCCACTCTTAACCTCACTCCTTGTGTGTCTGCATCCTTGATTTCCTTGGCATGAGACAACAAACCTCAGGTATTACCCCAGATGAATGATGTCACTTCACTTTTAAATTGGTTGAGACTTGTCTAATGCTTTCTGGTTTACACCATCATGAAACCATGCTTCAGAGTTTACTCCAAAAAGGTGTCTTCTACCTCATTTTTCTGTGGGATAAGCCATTATTTCTCCACCTAAGAAGAATCTCTTCTTTTTTTTTTTTTAGCACAATACAGCAATTTATTTACATGCTTAAAGTGAATACAGAGGGAAATAAAGATCACAAAATTATACATACTACAACAGTGTGTCATATATTAGATGGTATAAATGAATACACCAGGATGGTGTTTAACTAAAGATAAAACTAAATATCCAAAATGCAACACTCACTGATTTGCTGCTTCAACACAACACGCTTTTATACAGATTTAAAAGGTGTCAACATTAGTAGCTGCAAAGTCAATTCTCGCATGTGATTTCAGCTTAAGAGATGTCAGAAAACAAATCTAAAATACCAGTTTTTGGTATTCTCAAGATATTCAGAACAAGAAAAATCCTATAATACAAGAGAGTCCAGATGTGTGAAGAGCCTCTTTTAATCTTGGAAAGCAAATATTAGTTTGCAGGGTCTGTTACATGCAAAACTAAAAGAATTTCATGCTTATAAGGAAAAACCAACATAATCATAACAACAACTAGGGCCAGTGGATAGCAGAAAGATTATGATCAATTAAACCCAGGGTCCATTCCAATGCTGATACTCAAGATCCTTGGAAAAACTATTAGTAATAAGAGTGAATACAGCAATAGGGCCATGTAGAGCTATGTAGAATTGGGCATAGTTCCAAGTTCTGTATATTATTTTATTTACCTTAATTTTACTCGGCTGGGCGCGGTGGCTCACACCTGTAATCCCACCACTGCCTGACCAACATGGAGAAACCTCGTCTCTACTAAAAATACAAAATTAGCCGGGCATGGTGGCGCATGCCTGTAATCCCAGCTACTCAGAAGGCTGAGGCAGGAAAATCACTTCAACCCAGGAGGAAGATGTTGCGGTGAGCCGAGATCACGCCATTACACTCCAGCCTTGGCAACAAGAGCAAAACTCCATCTCAAAAAAAAAAAAAAAAAAAGTACTCAATCCCATGAGGTGGCACTATTATTATTTTGCTTTCAGATGAGAAAACTGGGCCACAGAGAGGTTAAATAACTTACCTAAGGTCACACAGTAAGTAATAGAGCTGAGCTTTGGATCTAGGCAGCCAGGCTCAAGAACTAGGGCAATTTGCCACCATGCTATAACTTTTGCTACAAATCCAGTCTTATTTTCTCCTTTCCCAAGAGAACATCTTTATAAAGCAATCAGTAGGACATACCCCAAGAACAGCAATATTGCAATATTCTAGTCTTTCAACAATGATAAAAGGAATGTGGCTATTAAGTTTGATTCCTTCATGCTAAGACAACTGCATTCATTGTACAAGACTGGAGGAGAAAGAACTCAGCTTCACTCACTTTTCTCTTGTAGTGACTGACCAAGGCACCTGCCAGCTTTACAACTCCACATGGATTCTCACAAAGATGTCTTATTCCACTTGCCTCTCAGGTTATCCAGAGCCTCTACTTTTCTGGCTCTTAAATTCTTTGAAAGAATAGACTGAACTCACTTTCCTTACCACTGAATCATCCACTCTCTCTTCAGCCCTCAACCCTGCTTCTGCCCCTTCTACTCCTGGGAAGGTGATCTCAGTGAGGCCACCAACAACCTCCAGTCAGCCAAACTCACCTCTTCTAGGCCCTTCCCTTGGCATCCATGACCCTTCTCCCTCTGGCTCTCCTCCTACATCTCTGTCCTTTTCTTCCTTTGTCTCATTTGCTGATTCTTTTTCCTCTACCCATGCCTTCCCCTCCCTCCCCTCCTTTTCCCACCCCATTCTCTTCTCTCCTACACCTTTCCCTGGTCCTCTCATCCTTCCGGCCTCAGCTGTCCCTTAGAGGCTGATGATTCCCAACATTCTCTTATTCCAGTTGCTCTTCTATGTTTTTATCTTATATCTCCCCCTGTCCATTATACATCTCACTTTGGATGTCTCACTCAAAATGTCCAAAACATTGTCTTCTGCCCACTGACTGCATTTTCTTCCATCCTTTGTTTCAGCTAAGGGCATCGTCATTCACCAAGGCTGGCAATCCCAGCACCATCTTGCACCCCTTCCCTTCCCTTCCCTTCCCTCAAATCCATTTGGTCAATGAGTGGTGGTGACTCTTCCTCTAATATGTTTTCAGTCCTTATGCCTCTTCTTCTCCATTTCCACTGCCACTATCCTGGCTCAGTCTCCTATTCATCCATATTAGCTCTGAGCAATAGCGTTTCCTAACTTGCCCATCAGCCTACACTCATCACTCCCGCACCCACCCCTGCCTGCAAGTTCCATCCTATTACACTGATCTTCCTGAAAGACAGACTGATGACATCATTCCCCTACTTTAAGATCTTTGGTAGCTTCCTTAAATGACCTTCCATGTTCCCTAGAATGTCATCTTAAGGACTGCTATAGTCCATTCTGACTTGTGTTTCTAAGTTCACCTCTGGCCATAACACCCCCCTCCACTCCCTCACCTAGGCATCTGATACTTTATACCACATGTGAGCACTTTCGCCACACATCTGGACAAGGGAAAGAACATAAAGCTTGTTAGGCAGGCAACTTAGGAGTCAATATCTAATTCCACAACTTCTAGCTACGTGACTTTAGAACAATCTGTCTGTGCCTCCATTTCTTCATCTGCAAAATGGCTACAATGACATTTTTCTAACAAGGATGCTTATTCACTGAATAAATATTTACAGAGTATCTACTGCGTACCAAATAGGGTGTTTAGAACTCTTTAAATATTAGCTAATTTTCTCTATGTCTACTTCCTCCTCACCTTTGTCAATGTAATTCTTTCTTATCTGAGCAGAAGAAGCCCACTTCAAAGCCAAGTTCAAAAGTTATTTGTGACATTGGTGAAGCTTCTCCCAGCCCTCAAGTCAAGGCTCCACACACTCTCCTCAGTAGTTGGAACCAGTATCACGTAGTGTATTTTGTTACCTTTCTGATGTATCTGTTTCCTCCTATAGGCTCTTTGCAAGTAAAAGTAGTAAAAGTAAAAAAGTAACAGTAGTCTCTTATATATCTTTGCATCTTACACATCTAAATATGCACATAAATACACTGAAGAGGAAAAAAATACAGTGTTATCTATTGTTACCAAGACTTTCTGACCCAGCATGATTCTCTGGAAATTAATTATAAATATGTTTTGTGTTTAAGTGTCCCAGACATTTTCAAATTGCCTTTCATATTTTGCTAAATAACTTCCTGCCTTTGTTACAGGAAAGGGGTCCAGATCCAGACCCCAAGAGAGAGTTCTTGGATCTCATGCAAGAAAGAATTCAGGGTAAGTCCTCAGTGCAAAGTGAAAGCTAGTTTATAAGAAAGTAAAGGAATAAAAGAATGGCTACTCCATAGACAGAGCAACCCCAAGGGCAGCTGGTTGCCCATTTTTACGGTTATTTCTTGATGATACGCTAAACAAGGGGTGGATTATTCATGTCTCCCCTTTTGAGATCATATAGGGTAACTTCCTGACGTTGCTGTAGCATTTGTGAACTGTCATGGCGCTGGTGGGAGTGTAGCAGTGAGGATGACCAGAAGTCACCCTCGTCACCATTTTGGTTTTGGTGGGTTTTGGCTGTCTCCTTTACTGCAAGCTGTTTTATCAGGTTTTATGTTTTGTGCTGTTTTATCAGGTTTTGTATTTTGTGCTGACCTCCTATCTCATCCTGTGACTTAGAATGCCTTAACCACCTGGGAATGCAGCCCAGTAGGTTTCAGCCTCATCTTACCCAGCTCCTATTTAAGACAGAGTTGCTCTGGTTCACATGCCTCTGACACCTTGATAACAATAAAACCTTATTAATTTGACTTTTCTTCTAGAGAAGATAGGCTTTAAATTCACTGTGTTCGTATTTTTGAATATCTGTGTCAGAAAACAGTTGGTGATTTAGTTAGCTAGAAAATAGCCTTTATTTACGTTCGTGTATTATTTTGAATAGTTTTACATTAATGATGTTTAATTATACTTGTTTCTGCCACTATTACACACATTTCTGTTTCTGTTACTTTTTTTTCTGTCTCTCCCCACTAGAATGGACATATTCAAAAATGCAGGAATCTTGTGTACTGTATTCACTGTTGTGTCCCTAGAGTTTAAAATAATATTTATTTAAGATTTGTCAGCTAGAAGATGAAGAAATGAATGTATACTATATTTTAATTTTTAATAGAATATAAATTATGAAAATGTAAAACATTGTGCATAACACTCTACCAAATAAATTAGTTGAATTATAACTGGATGGTCTAATATTGTAGATATCTCCATTTGTGTGACCAACTAACACCTCAAGACTTTTTTTTTTTTTTTTTTTTTGAGATGTAGTCTCACTCTTGCTGCCCAGGCTAGAGTGCAGTGGCATGATCTTGGCTTGCTGCAACCTCTGCCTCCCAGGTTTAAGCGATTCTCTTGCATCAACCTCCCAAGTAGCTGGGATTACAGGCACCTGCCATCATGCCCAGCTGTTTTTTGTATTTTTAGTAGAGACGGGGCTTCTCCATGTTCGAGTCCCCCAGGTCTCGAACTCCTGACCTCAGGTGATCTGCCTGCCTTGGCCTCCTGAAGTGCTGGGATTACAGGCATGAGCCACCATGCCAGGCCTACAAGACCTCATATCTTAATGTCTTTGAGTGTCTAACCCTCATCCTACAGCCAAACCTTCTCCACACTCCTTCAGACCCACATTCCACTCCTATTCCTTTCCTTTTTTGAAGACAATCTTGTTTCTTTCCTTACTCAGAAGGTAAGGCCACCTGATGAGATCCTTTTCAAAGTCCCTCATTCTATTTCAAACTTTGTTTCAAACTCGTCGTAAACTTTATTCAAGATTTCCTTTCCATGCCTCACACTATTTCGTGTCTGTACATTTTCTATTTTCCTATAATTCTCTTTCCAGTTCTACATGCCTGGATCTTACTCATCCTTCACAGCCTGACACAGAAACCATGCTCTCCATGAAGCCTTCTTGGATTTCTCCAGCGAGAAGAAACCCATCCCTCCTGTGACTTTCCTCAGCACTTTATGTGCACTTCCTGTAGGACATTCTAAAAAATGAGGCCATTTTATGCAAAGTATTGTGGGCATTGGGAAGGTTAACAGATGGTTCCAGCCTTTGAGGAGTTTGCTATCTAGGAGTGTAGTCCAATAAACAACTATGAAGAAATATGTGAGAATGTTTGAGAGCCCTTGTTAGAATATAATGCAGCAAAACAGGTCTTTGGTTTTTTTTCATGTTTGTATTCCACAGAGTATGGTATAGATCCATGACTGAATAAATGCATATTTCAAGATTATTTAAGAAATTCTGACTTTTGGCTGCACACAGTGGCTCACACCTGTAATCCCAGCACTTTGGGAGGCCACGGTGGGTGGATCACTTGAGGTCAGGCATTTGAGACCAGCCTGGCCAACATGGTAAAACCCTGTCTCTACTAAAAATACAAAAATTAACCAGGTGTGGTGGCGCATGCCTATAGTCCCAGCTACTAGGGAGGCTGAGGCAGGAGGATCGCCTGAACCCAGGTGGTAGAGCCAAGATTGAGCAACTACACTCCAACTTAGGCAACAGAGTGAGACTTTGTCTGAAAATAGAAGAGGGGAGGAAGGAAGGAAGGAAGGAAGGAAGGGAGGGAGGGAGGGAGGGAGGGAGGGAGGGAGGAGAAGGGAAGGGAAGGAGGAAGAAGGAAGGAGGAAGGAGGAAAGAGGAAGGAGGAAGGAAGGAAAGGAGAGGAGAGAAGAGGAAAGGAAAGGAAAGGGAAAAGGAAAAGAAAAGAAAATTCTGGCTTTTTGCACTAAAAGTGCTTACCTGCCCTTCACATAACACTATCCAGAGAGGAAACCCTTCACTGTCATGCCCAGAAAAGGTAAGTATCCCTATGATCAGTCTGCAGATACAGAAGAGAAAGCTTTATGCTAAAAAAAGAGATTGTGTGTGTGTGTGTGTGCGTGTGTGTGTGTGTGTGTGTGTGTGTGTGTGTGTGTTTCAATTAGCCTGGAAGAAATGAGGCCTGGAGCAGAAAAGGGGAATGAGGTAAAGGACATGATAGTTAAGATGTACTAATGTTAGAGGCATCCTAACCAGAATGACTCCATCTGGATAAAGGCCAAATAAAGCCAAACCTGCTGGGTGACATTCCCAGGAAGTCAGGCACTCTTGGTCACAAGATGGTTATGGTTGAAGGAATGAGTTAACGATGCTAACTAAATAAGACCCAGAACTTAAGGAAATGTCCTGACATTTTAAGAACAAAGAGCATTATTAGTTTAAGAATAACTTTCGCTTTAAAAATAATAGTACACCCATAAATTCTTGCTGAAATCAATAGTGACACAAGAGATGAACAATCCTAATAGTTTGTCACAAGCTGATCACAAGCCTTTGTAATAAAGTACATTATTCTTAGCCTTAATATCCTATGTAAGCAAGCATTATGTTTGAGGTACGGGTGCTCCTCCCCTTGCTTTATGAGGATAACTTTCTTACTCTGTAATAAAAGCAGTCTCTACTAAACTATCTTAACTTCACTGTGTTCTGTGACTCACCCTGAATTCTTTCCTACGCAAGATCCAAGAACCCACTCCTGAGGTCTGAGATGAGACCCCTTTTTCAGTAACACTGAGACCTGGAGAACAATGAAGAACAGGAAGATAGTTATTTTCCATAAGAAAGAAAGAAGAAAGAGAGAGCAGAGAAGGGGAGGGGAGGGAAGGAGAGAGGAGAGGACAGAAGGGTAGCTAAGAAAAGAAGCCAGAATTTACCCCATAAAACAAGGCTGAGAAAAGGTACCTTTCTGGGAGGAATGCATTGTTGCTGTGACTGTCAGAAGCTAACTAGAAGTTGTATTTTTTTTTCAAATGAAGAAGATAAGTGGTTTTTGAAAAAATGCTTTCCGAATATATGCTACAAGATGAACAAACCTCAAAAAAAATCACACTAAGTGAAAGAAACCAGTCACAAAAGGCCACATGTTGCATGATTCTACTGACGTTAAATATACGTAGAATAGGCCAGAATAGGAAAATCCATAGAGACAATACTGCTAATGGGTATGTGGTTTCTTCGGGGGGTGATGAAAATATTCTAGAATTAGTGTTGATGGGTGCACTACTTTGTGAATATAATTTAAAAAAAAGAAACACTGAAATGTATAGTTTAAGGTGAATTTATGGTATGTAAAGTATATTTCAATGGGGCTGTGCTTTTTTTTAGAGTAAAAATGAATAATGTTTAACATCTCTAAAAGAAAATTTCCAAATATTTACAGAATGCAAAATATGAATGTCCTTGCTATATAAGCATCTCTTACAAATCAATAAGAAAACATAAATAAAAATATGCAAATAACATAATCCTGAATTGTACATAAGAGAAACATATTTGTATTAAGTATGAAAATATGATAAAATTCAAATGAACTACTAAATAATTTGGAATTATAATTATATACTATTTTTCACCTACCATATTGGCAAAGGCTTAAATAATATTGGTGATAAGTGGATGAAACAAACACTCTCTTATACTGGGGAGTATAAATTGGCCCAATTTTTATGAAAAGATATTTGAGAAGAATTTAAATTATTAACTACATGCCAATGAATTTCCACTTACGATTGATTTTAAAAATACAGCACTAGGATAAAAGGCCATATGCGCCTTTATAAATGAGAGTCTTAAAATATGTAAGGATATTAAGGAATGTTTCCTTGCATGTAAAAAGAACAAGTTATGAATAGTTTGTACTGAATGATCTGCATTTTATTTTAAATAAAGAAATATGTATTAAAAATTAGATACACAATAAAGTGTCAATCTAAACAAATATAGGGGTAAGATTATAAGTAATCTACTTTAATTACTTAAAGTATAATTTAAAAAAAGAAATGTAGCATCATTTTTTAAATGAAAAAATAAGTAGGGACTGTGCTTTTTAAAAAACTATTTCCTTTTTTTGTTTTTTTGTTTGTATTTGAGAGAGTGTCTCGCTCTGTCACCCAGGCTGGAGTATAGTGGCGCGATTATGGCCCACTACAGCCTCGACCTCCCCAGGCTCAAATGATCCTTCCACCTCAGCCTCTCTAGCAGGTGGAACTACAAATGCATGACACCACGCCAGACCATTAGTTTTGCATTTCTTTTTTTTTTTTTTTTTATGGTACAGATGGTATTTTACCATGTTTCCCAGGCTGGTCTTGAACTCCTAGGCTCAAGTGATCCTCCTGCCTTGGTTTCCCAAAGTGCAGAGATTACAGGCATGCACCACTGCCCCTGGCTGATTTTTTTCCTTTTTGCTTGAGAAACCGTGCTTAAAGTCTATGGAGATTTGTTCACTAGTTTGTATTTGTTTGTTTTTAATTGAACTGTTAGGTGATCTTTAGTGATCATTAGATGGTCTTTAAAAAAACAATTGGTGTAAGTATGACTTCTTTTCTCAAGGAGTTTACAATCTGCTTTGATAATGGATAATTCATTCACATGCAAAATGGTAAATAATACAAGAGTTAAACAGTACAGGAGATGACAAAAGGCACCACAGAAATACCTTTATTAATAAAGAGGGTATTTCTAACAACGTTACCAGCTGTCCAAAATACTGGGCACAACCTAAAAGTTCAATATTAGGAATGATTAAATTATGGCACATCCCTCCAAATGGAAAAAATATTTGAGGGAATTTGGAATACATGTAATATGGGAAAACACTCAAGATATTATTATACCATAATGGTCAAAGAAGGTACAAAACTATTTACAAAGTATAATCTCCACTTCATCAAATATATGCATGTATAAGTAGAGAAAAGACTAGAAGGAAATGCTCAAAATATGAACAGAAGTAGAATTACAGGCTTTAAGAAACTTTTTTATATGAGCCTGTGGTACTTTAATTTACATTTTTAAAAAATTATATTTCAAACAGGAAATACAAGCATATAGTAAAGAATATGAAAGGTATAAATCAATACGCAGTTTAAAAAAAAATTCTCTCCCATGACTGTCCCTGCCCCAGAGGCAAACACAGTTACAGGCTTCTTGTGTGTGCTTGGAGAAGTAGTCTATGTACATACAAGCCCGTATGACCTCCAACCACATTTGGGTTATGGTTTCCCGGGTGAGCAGTTACCCCGGGAAAGAAGAGACTAAAGACTATTTTTCCTAGCTTCCTACCTTCCCCACAAATTCACTCTGAGGATCATAATGAGACAGGAGAATAGGGTTTGGATACCAGGGAATATAAGGACTTCCTAGAACTTAATCAAATGGAAACATTTCAGGTACGAAAGGAAATATCCTCTCCATTTACATAGGGCCTATGCTGAGTAAATGACTTTGTAACTTTACTTCATCCTTTTCGTTTACATAGGGCATACACCAAGTAACCGATGGAAACCTCTAGAGGTTATTTAAACCGCAAAAAATTCTGTAACAAGGCTCTTGAGCCCCTATGTTCAGGCCCGCCCCCACCCTGTGGAGTATGCTTTCATTTTCAATAAATCTCTGCTTTTGTTGTTTCATTCTTTCCTTGTTTTGTTTGTGCACTTTGTCCAGTTCTTTGTTCGAGATGCCAAGAACCTCGACAACCTCAACTGGTAACAGTAGCATTTGTCTTCCCACAATAAAAAGGCCTGTCATGATATTTTGGGACTTCTCTGGTCCTACAAGTTTTCTCCATGTTGCTCCCCAATCCTCTGACTGAAGTTTTCATGCACCAGTGAAGATAAAAGGCTAGACATTAAGTTTGGGGTGAGCTGAGCACTGCAAACTTATTCGATCTGCCTGCACAGAGCTGGATCAAATGGCTGTTAACCAATAACCAGTCCCCTACTCTCTTGTCCTTCTGACCCAGTGTTTCCCAAGCTTTAGTCATTTACACGCCCGCTTCGGGGTTTTTCTTATCCACCTATTCTCTTAATTTTTTTTGCTAAATTAGCTAACTTTTTCTTCTGAAATAAATATTTTAAAGGAAAATTTTCTATTACGAAGTGATTTTTTCACATTAGTTTTTTAAATATATAACTTTTTAAATTCTTTTAAAAAACCCTTGAGTCCTTGGATTGAACTCAACTCAAGGAATCCTCCTGTCTCAGCCTCCTGTGTAGCTGGGACTACTGGCACACACCACTGTGCCTGGCTTCTACAGTAGTTTTCAAATTCACATTGGAATATAACTATCAACATTTTAAAATGTGTCTGCATACCTAGTGGTCATATTTGAAATATTTAACAACCCAGAATGGCGGAGGCAACATGAACAAGCAGTAGGGCTCTGTTGGTTCTTCCTGCCTGGGGGTCAGCCTGCACTGCCCATGTAAGATCACCCTGTATGCCACCAGTGTTGCACTTAACATATTTTAGAAACCCTGCTAGAATCCATGCTACTTTCTTTTGCTAAATTAATCTTCCTAAAATACAAATCTGATGTTGCTTTGCTGATCAAACATTGTCAATGCCAACTTCTCCACATCGCTTAGAGATAAAAGTTCAAACCCCTTCACTTGGCATTTAAAGCTTCTTAATTTGATTACAGCCTACCTTTCCTTTATTATGTAGTGGCTATTTATTTATAGAACATCTATTATGTGTCTTTCCAGCTTTATCTCCTACTGTTGCCTTTAACATATCTTAAACCCTAGCCATGCTTAAATCCCAGAACATACCCTACTCCTCATCTCTGTTCTTTTGCTCATATTATTCTATTCCTCCCTGCTATAGCACCCTTCCACATCCATCCATCTGCATCTGTCAAAATCCTACATAAACTTCAGGACTCAGCTCAGATGACTTCTCCTCCACGAAACCATCCCACACATTTCTGGACCAGAAATAGTCTCTCCCTCCTCTTTCCTCCTATAGCCTTTGGCCATCTACAAAGTATTAAAGCATTATCACAGTTACATTCATGCCTGACTTCACTTCCTTGCAAAAATGAGTATGTTCCCAAAAGTGATCTCTTCCCCTATCTAGCGTCTAGCCTACCCCCTTGCCTCATTTAATCATGTTTCTGGAACTTATATGAACAGTCTCCTAGCAACAGCCCTGCCTATCCTACAGTATCTCACATTTACAAATGGAAATTAGCCCTAGGAACATACATTTATTGGGTTGTCACTCGTGCAAACATACCTGCACTGGAAAGTTTTCCAAAACTTTGCAACTGCTTTGCAGGCCACCGTGTTGTGTTGTTCCATTGGGTTGCATATGTGACTAGATAGATTATTTCAAAAGACAAGGGAAGGAAAGTGTTGGAAATTGAAAGATTCATAAGTCTTATCTGTGCCAACAAGTTGCAACTAGCATTCCATGTAAAAGATGCCAAGAGAGGGAGTCGCTTGTGAGTCAACCATGGTGCCCATAAAAACAAGGGGAAAACATTTCCAGATGCTTGGGCCCTAGGAAACTACACTGTCATTCTCTCTTAATTTCTGATATAGCTGGGAAGACCATAAAGTATATTGCATGTCCATTTCTTGGGCTTTTACCCTAGGTATTTTTACTCTTTACCCTTTGTATTTTACCCTTTGTATTTTCTTTCCCAGTTAAACTTTTACCAGCTAAACACTACGAAACTCTCCTTTAATTAGGTCCTTAATTAGGCCTCAATAAATGGATATGGCATTTATTCAGAACTTCTTAGATATGCACCTGCCTTATAGGGGGAAAAAATCCAAAAACTCATAGGAAGAACAACATAAGCAAAACTACCATGCCTTCTTAAAGTGTCAAACTCTTTGAAGAGATCTCTAGGTGGGAAACAGCTCTGAGTTTCATTTTCCCTTAAGATTCTTCCACTTTGATTCCTATGACACCAACTCCAGCAGCTGCCAAGGCCTGCTTGTTCTTTCTTTAAGGATCTGGTTTATGCATATCCAAGAGACATTTCCTTACCCTTTAACACATTTAAGACAGGAAAGAAGTTTCAAAAAGACTTTGTAAAATGCCAAGGGGCACACAGAGGAAGTAAATATAGACAACATAAGAAATAGTTTGGGTAAGTAGTTCTCAACCAGTGCTCCTTTAGGGGGCATTTGGCAATGTCTGGAGACATTTTTGGCTGTAACAACTGGGTAGTACTACTGATCTCCAGTGAGTAGAGCATCCCATGTCTCCCTACTATAATACCTACAGCAGAGCTGCTGCTAGCCCTCCCACAATGCTCACAACAGAGCCCTGCAACAAAGAATTATGTCAATAGTGATGAGGTTGAGAATCCCTGGTCAGTTTATGTGATTCCTAACTCTAGGGAGCCACTTTCTGAGTCCCAGCCCTATCTTATTCTAATTGCCATCTGAGACAACTACATCCTGGCTCCAAAGGCCTGGGACCTCTTTTTTCTTGGCTCTTAACCTGTCCCCACATGACGGGTATCTTGTAAAGACATCCTTCTCATAACCTCTCCCCTAGTCATCCTCATGTCTCTCTGCTGAAGACCAGAAAAGGAACATCTTCCTGATGTTACTAACCTACACATTTTCCATGCAATTCTGGGATACAGACCCCTTGCCTAGTTGATGATGCCATGAATAATCTCATCCTTCAGGTATGACCTCACTCCTTACACCCATGACTGTGGCTTTACCCTCCTATCCAACAGCATAAACACACATTATGCAAAACGATCACAACACCCACTTAACATCAATGCTCCATATATGGCCCCAGGTAAATCATTCAGATATAAGCCCCCTCCAACATCAACAGTTCTTGCAGCTGACGAACAGTGGCCCAGATATTGTCATGGAGAGGAAGAGTCATTCAACAAATCCCAGCGCTGAGCCCTGTGCTTGGTGGCAGGGATAGCACCATGGAACAAGATAGATGCAGACTATACTATATAGATCAATCGATAAACTGGCAATTATAATGAACTCTATGCCAGGCCCAATGCTGTCCGTTTTATGTACGTAATCTCAATGATGATAATTATCCTGCAAGTTAGGTACTTTAAAGTTGAGAAAATAGGGTTTGGTGGTTAGAAACCTCTCCCCAGCCACACTTTTCTTAAGTTATGGAAGCAAAGTTCAACTTCATATCTATTTTATCCCTCCTGGGATATATCAAGAGGCATTTTTTAGAGCCCAAGCCCCATATTCTCTTCTGCCCCCTTCTGGCTAGCACAAATTTTATATCCTGCAGGAAGAAAAGTGAGAGTGGGAGAAAGATGCTGATTCATGTTTCTCCCTGCTCCCCCAGCAAATGCATTGGCTCATTTGCCTTGTGGAAAAATTGATTATTTGTACTGCAGATTGTATCACAAAGGAGGGATTGGAGATCTTCTCCCGCATGGACCTCCATCTGCTATCCACTTTGTTGGAGTCAAATAAAATATAGAGACAAATCTCTAAATCTAAAATATTTATTGGGAAGCATCAATTACAATTCAGGGCAGACACACAGACCAGGTGGTCTTCGGTATGTCCAAAGAACAAAGAGAAGGTTGGAAGTTTTATTAGAAAGACAATTGTAACATATTGTTTTGAAAGAAAAAACTCTCACTGACACTAAAGAAGCTTCTGGGAGCTGGCCAGCTCTGACTGGTGAGTGACAGTAGTAGTCTTACTGTCATGGCAGTTTGTTTAGGCAGCTACTAGGTAAAACTGATCACAGGGTTACAGCAGGCCATTTCATCAGCTGGGCTTGTGGAAAATTTAAATCTTGGAGCAGGTACTCTATGCCCCAAGTACTTTTCACCCAGACCCTCAAGTCTGATTTAGTTGGTGATATGGTTTGGTTCTGTGTCCTCACCCAAATCTCATCTTGAATTGTAAACCTCACGTGTCAAGGGAGGGACCTGGTGGGAGATGACTGGATCATGGGGGCAGTTTCCCTCATGCTCTTCTTGTGATAGTGAGAGAGTTCTCATGAGATCTGATAGTTTTATAAGGGGCTCTTCCCCCTTCACTCGCTGTTGCTCTCCTGTCGCCATGTGAAGAAGGTGCCTGGTTCCCCTTCTGCCATGACTGTAAGTTTCCTAAGGCCTCCCCAGCCATGAGGAGCTGTGAGTCAATTAAAGTTGCTTCCTTTATAAATTACTTAGTCTTGGATATTTCTTTATAGCAGTGTGAAAATGGACTAATACAGTTGGGTATGACAAGAATGATTCAATTTATATAATCAACCTTCACATCTACTAGCAAGAGTATAATGCTCTGCTGGAAGATCAGAAGATAAGAAATTAAAATGTCTTTAAATTATGACCAGACTCAGACAAGAGGAGTCATTAAAATGTCAGACAAGAGGAGAAAATGAAAGAATAGAGAATTGAATTTGCCAGCAAACACATTTATTAAATGGAGCCCAGGAGAGACTTGCAAAACTCCATCTTCACAAATGTTATAAGAATGTCCAACATGATCATCCGTGGTACAGGGAGCATGGAGCCGTCAGGTCTGGGCCCTGTTCTGAATCCCAAAGACGTCACAGTCAGGAGCAGTTAACCCTGTACACTGGACCAACCCAAGATGATACAATTGCTCCCTGTAATTGTGTAACTGCCTTTTCAACTCTGGAAAAGATTAGAATTGAATAGAGATGAAGAAGCAAATCAAAAGCTTAAAAAACTAATAGCTTTATGTTCTCTCTAGCAATCAGGTCTATAATCATTAGGACAACCTAAAGGTTTAATTAAAGGTTTTTGAGAATATAGCAGATTAGAAAATCCAATGGATTAGCTTGGTGACTTTCATTTGAAAGGTGTAATTGGCTTTGACTTCTAATTTTAGGTTGAAAAGCATAAGTAATCTTGAACAAATATTTAAACAGCATTGAATATTTAAGAGAACAAAGGGTAACTATATTTTATAAATGTGATTTATTGAATGTACAAGAGTTAATCTAAGTACTTAGAAAGGTTTTTGTTTGTTAAGTCATAAATTTTCCTTGTCAGGCATTTGAAGCACTTACAAAAATTAAATGTATTTATAAGTGTAGTTTCAAATGTTTAAGGAAATTTAATTAATCTTTTAAGTGGGAACAATGTTTAGGGGAACTTAATCTGTTAACGTTGAGTTACTCAACATTAATCTGAGGCCAATTAAAGGTGATTGTTCCTGTTTTGTTCGCTTTATAAAAAGTCTAACAAGATTTCTAAATTTAACATAAAGGCTTTAAAACTAAGTTTTGCTGGGCGCGATGGCTCACGCCTATAATCCCAGCACTTTGGGAGGCTGAGGCGGGCAGATCACAAGGTCAGGAGATCAAGACCATTCTGGCTAACACGGTGAAACCCCGTCTCTACTAAAAATACAAAAATTAGGCGGGCGTGGTGGCAGGTGTCTGTAGTCCCAGCTAGTCGGGAGGCTGAGGCAGGAGAATGGCATGAACCCGGGAGGCAGAGGTTGCAGTGAGCCGAGATCGTGCCACTGCACTCCAGCCTGGGCAACAGAGCGAGACTCCGTCTCAAAAAAAAAAAAACTAAATTTTAATATTTGTAATTTCTTTTAAATTTTTAATTTTAAGTACAAACAAGAAAATCCTAAAAATAGTTCTTTCCTGACAAAAAGACCCCTCCCTGAGCATTTTTTTAAAATGTAGGTGATAGATAATGTGACTAGGAATGCTTCCCAAACTTTTTCAAGGACTCTGGAAGGATGGGAGATTATTTAAGTGGCCAGCTGCAAACATATATTTGCTTTGACATCTGAAATATTATCTTTAAAAATAAATTTTGTACTCCATTCCATATTAACACTGTACTCTGAACAGACCCAAGATGGTACAATTGCTCATCTATTTAATATGAAAATATTTTCCCTAAACACCTTCCAAGTACCTTACAAGTACCCTTGCTAGAGAAGCAAAAGCTTAGACCATGAGCCCAGCTCAGCCGGAGAATATGATTCTTATGACACATGCTAACAGGTATTCTCCAGCCCCACCGCCCACCTCTCTATCTCCACCCCAGGGTTACTATTGTGAGAAAGCTGCCTTTCAGATGCCTTGAGATCTTAGATCTTTTGTATAGCAAAGAGGGAGTTCAAAATAAGCCAGCCCTCCCACCTCCCATTTCCTGCCACTGTTAGAGCCCTTCAAATGAGCTTGGGTTTCTCTGGTTTGCACTGGAAACCACCTGTGCTGGTTATTAAGGTACTGTTTCTCAGCTCCAAACCTGCCTTGCATAAACTGCTTTGCGATACTCTGGCTGAACTTGGCCAAAAAAAAAAAAAAAAAAAATCTGTTCTTTGGCCTGCTTGCTACCCTATTCGGTCCTGCCAATAGGGGGCACTAGAGAGGCTGCAAGATTAGCAGGACACTTGTTGCAGACTCCAGCTTTTGTCAACATACCCGGAGCCAGCCTCATTTTACCCTCGCAGTGGTGCCAGCACCACCCGGATATGGCTTCCTCCTCAGGGATCTGCATCCCAGCTCCAAGAGGCTCCTCCTCGAAATTTCTAGATTAAAATAATCCCAGCAACTTCCTTTTGTTCCCGCAGCCCTATGGAGCGGTAGCTACTTCTTGTGGTTATTTCTCTGTTCACACCGGTGTTCCCTTTGCTCCTTTAGCCCTCCAACACCGATTTCTCACATTATCTTCTGTCTGTTGTAGTAGCCAATGTGGTTTCTGCTTTCCTGACTAGATTCTGACTCATACATTAGATTCCACTCCCTGTTGTCCACTCCCTTTGTCCCATTGATCCAGGCTCACAAGGAGAAAGGGGGAGTCGCCTCAGGCTCGAGGCCTACATTGAATCCATCCTCATTGCCCAGCCATGGTCTGTGGGCACTTGGCAGCAAGCCCCAGTGTGTAGGGTGGTGCTCTGTTTGTTTTAATACTGCCATAGAGAAGTACTTTCTGGGCTTGGCGCCGTGGCTCATGCCTGTAATCCCAGCATTTTGGGAGGCAGAGGAGGGAGATCCCTTGAGTTCAGGAATTTCAAGCTGCAGTTGAGCTATGATCATGTCACAGCACTCCAGCCTGGATGACATAGGGAGATCTTGTCTCTAAAACAGAATATATATATATATTTATATATATATTATTTATATATATTTATATATATATTATTTATATATATTTATATATATATTATTTATATATATTTATATATTTTTTATATATTTATATATATTTATATATTATTTATATATATATTTATATATATTTATATATATTTTTATATATATTTTTATATATTTCTATATATATTTATATATATTTATATGTATATTTATATATATTTATATGTATATTTATATATATTTTTATATATATTTATATATATTTATGTGTATATATATTTTAAGAAAAGTTCTTTCTGTATATCTTTGGATGTACAATAAATTTCTCATTCAAAAACCCATATATTCTATTTAGAAGAATGCCTGAGAAGAATCTTATAAAAGTCCCTGAACTCATATTTTCATAAAGATTCTGTTCTTCCTGTCTTATGTTTATACCTCATTTGAATCTCCCAACAAATCCATGAGGGAGGTGGGGTGGGCACATCATCTCCATGACCAGGGAGAACCTGAGAGGGAGCTCCCTCTGCTGTCTGCTCTCACCTGGACCAACTAGTGGCAGAACTGAATCTCTTTATTTCTTCTCTCTTCTGTCTCCAACATGTGCTTAACACAATGGTTTTTCTATTAATTTTCTACCGATGCATGACAAATGCCACAAATGTAGTGGCTTAAAACAACACCCATTTATTAGCTTGCAGTTCTGTCCATCACATGTCCAGCACAGAGTGGCTGGGCTCTCTGCTCTGATATCCCAATGGTGAAATCAAGGTATCCGCTGGGCTGACACTGAGGAAAATTCATTTCCAAGATCATTCTTGCCATTGGTAGAATCCAGTTCCTTGCAGCTGTAGCCTGAGGTCCCCATTTCTTTGCTGTCTGCCAGGCAGGTGCCACTCTCCATTCCTAAAGACTGCTCAAGTTCCTTGTCATCCCTTCATCTTCAAGCCAGCAACAGCACATCGAATCCTCCTTGTACTTCTAACCTCTGATCTCTTCTTCTGCCATCAGTCAAAGAAAACTCTCTCCTCTTAAAGAGTTCATGTGCTGGGTACAGTGAATCACACCTGTAATTCCAGCAGTTTGAGAGGCCAAGGCAGGAGGATCACTTGAGCCCAGGAGTTCGAGACGAGCCTGGGCCACACAGCCAGACCCCCATTTCTACAAAAAAAAAAAAAAAAGGAAGGAAGGAGGGAGGGAGGGAGGGAAAGAGAAGGAAGGAAGGAAGGGAGAGAGAGAGAAAGAAAGCAAGAAAGAAAAAGAGAGAGAAAAAGAGAAGGAAGGGAGGGAGGGAAGGAGAGAGGAAAGAAAGGAAAGAAAAGAAAGAAAGAAGGAAAGAAAAGAAAGAAGAGAGAGAGAAAGAGAGAGAAGGAAGGAAGGAAAGAAGGAAAGAAGGAAGGAAGGAAGGGAGGGAGGGAGGGGGGAGGAAGAGTTCATGTGATTAGGTCAGGCTCCAGGCTTGCTGGGATAATCTCCCTATTTTAAGAGGAACTATGCTTATAACATAATCTAATCATGGGAGTAAAATCCACCAAATTCACAGTCCTGGGATTATGCAGGTCTTGTGCACCACAGGTGAGAAATCTTGGTGGCTTCTTAATTCTGCATACCACAGGACTTGTTTCCCATGGTGTTTTCTGCAGACTCCACCATCAGAATAGCTGAAGATAATGCATTAAAAATGAAGATTCTTTGGTTCAAACACAGACCTCTGAATCAATCTCCAGGAGACTGGATCTAAGAATCTGCACCTAACACAAACTTCTCACATGATTCTGATGCTCAAGAAAATTGGAGAACCTAGAATTTCAGAGTGGCATTTCACAGTCTGGGTTAGAACAGAGCATCGTCTCTACTCTGTGTGGTGTGCAGCCCAAATGCCATCAGGACCTATACACTCGCTTCTCCAGCTGGGGAAGGAGAGTATGAGCTCTTCCCAGCTCCCAGGTGAGTCCCTCCAAAGGGGTTGCCCTCCTGTGAAAGGAGCTACCTTGTCCTCTCTCTGGAAGCCACCCATTTCCAATGACTGGTCAATGTGGCAGGTACCAAGACCTACTCCCTCCTTGCTTCAATGTGGGCCATACCTGAAGGGCCATCCCAGCTTTCGCTTTCCCACTGAGATCACCTGAGGCCTCTCTTGTTCGTGCAGTTCAACTTTGTCTGCCCCACCTTGCACCCCTCACTCCTGTACAGGCATCCCAAGCGCTCTCCTCAAGAAACCTCACACCCAAATCTCCATCTCGGAGTCTGTTTCCAGGGAGCCTAATCTAAGACACACACATAGAGTTTATTGGAGATCTGTCTTTGTCGCTCTGTCTCAAATGATATACCCAATCTGTCATTATCTCCATGGCTACCTCATCTAAGCTGCCATTTCTCTTTCTTCTCCCCTCCCGCATCACATGCCATTCTCTACACACCAGCCCCAGGGAACCCTAATAGCCCTTGATGATTTCTTTGTTTGCTGCCTACTTCTTGCATTAGATGTAAGCTTGAGGAAGGCGGAGACTGTTTTTTGTGGTTGTTATTGTTCACCCCTGTCTCTTTGGCATAGAATAAAGGCCAATAAATGCTTGTTGGATAAATTAGTGGATTAAAGCACCAAACTCTCAATGATACAAAAAGACACCACCAGTCAGGTATAAGCAAATTCAAATTTTTTTTTCAGTCCACCACTACAATGAGAAGGTACAAGCAAATTAAAATTAGAAAATGGACCCTGTACGTTTTACCCCCAAATTAGGTATATGAAGTTCATCTGGAAACTTTCCTTAAACATGAGGATTTTAGGTTACTTTTGAAAAATGTGAGGGAAAGAAGAAACTGGCCTCTGAGTTATTTTGGATCCCACTATCCAACTGTCATATCTTTTCTGTTACATAACAGTTATATTCCAGCAATAATGAGTTATAACATTAATATCTGAAGAGTAAATCTCATTCTCTCTGTGACTACCAAAATTAGTGGTACATTTTCTGAGTGGGCAGGGAATAATAATTTCTTCATAGATTCAACTGAAAACTCTTTAGAAGACACATGAGCCTCGTTCTGCATAATTCTGTAAGTTCTAATGTAGGTCCAGTGGATTTATTTAAAATGAGGGATCTGTTACTTGCCAAGTGAGCTTGAGAAATGAAAAACACATAAATCATTCTTACCTATAGCTTCTTTTTTGGAAAGGTACTAATCTTAGCTGCAGTGATTAGTGAGGAAAGGGGTACATGTTCACTGAGCTAGTCATTCCTGAAACAGGATTCAGGAAAGGGCAGTTTTGTGACTCAAGTGCAGTTTTGGAATGACTTTTATGAAGGAAGAAAGCAATGTTCTCCAGGTAGTCAGAATAATTCAGACTCCAAAAGTATCACCTGATTTATAAGTAGTAATTTGCCAGCCTTGGCTTCTTCAGAGGAGAAAAATCCTTGAAGGTATGTGTATATATTATGTATATATTTTTAAGTGCCAAAAAGTGCATGACATCATTGTTAATTTAAGAGCAAAAATTCAAGATCATAAAAAGAGGGAGAAGACCTATTCGTTGACCAGAGCAGACTTATGTGACATGCAGAGAATGAACTCTTGCCATGTACATTTGGAGTCCAATCATTTCAAGCCCATCAATAGTGCAATTGAGTACACATGGGCACAGAGAGCCTTCCTAAGGTATTACAGCAAGTCACAAAATCATAAACAAAACCAAAAAAATACATATCTTTGTGTCTGTGTCTCATGGACCTAGTTATTCCTGCCTGATGCCAACATCAGATTGAGAACAATAAAAATTTATTCAAACCAATAGCCAAGGAAGAAACTGAAAATATTTTCAAGAATTGCCTCTACATATGGGTTTTGGCATCAAGTAGTCATACTGCCTATAGTCTCACACTTGCAAAGAATAATTAATTCCAATGCAATATAAAATGTTCCAGGATTTAAAAAAGAATTACCCAATTTATTTTACAAAGCTAAAATAAATTACAGCAAACCCCAAAATGACCAGCACAGAAAAGAAAAATATGAAAACAGCATTTATTTTGGAGAGACTTCTAGCATTACATAACCAAATTAAGTATGCAGGTGCCCTCTGACTCAGAAATTCCACTGATGAGCACATATCCTGGAAACATTCCCAGGCAGGCTGAAGAGGGAAATGTACATGGTGGATCATTGCAGCATGGTGGTGGCAAGGAGATGGCATCACTGGGAGAGTGAATGGGTAAAATGTGGTGCAGGTACACCACAGAGTATTTTGCTGTGGGTAGAAGCAATTAGTTGGACATACTTAGAGCAGTAGAAATTGATTTTAAAATATGGTACATAGTGAAAAACGCAAGAAACAGAACAATATAAAATACAATATCACTTAAACAATATGCAAACCAGTAATATATGCTTTTCAAAGACACATTCAAAGAGAAATAAACATACACATTAAAAGTATTACTGATTGGAGACAATGGGACTAGGATATAAAATAAAGGGAGTAAATAAATGTATGGCTGCATTCCAATTTCCGTGGGCCCGAGTCCCTTTCGCCTTCATGGGTCCTTTCCTCCATTAGAAAAGTATTTAAAAATCATATTTTACAACTGTGTTGGTATAAAGATAAATATATTAATATTATGTATTAAAACATTTTCTCTGGGCCAGGGATGGTGACTCACACCTGTAATCACACTTTGGGAGGCCAAGGCAGGAGGATTGCTTGAGGCCAGAAGTTCAAGACCAGCCTAGGCAACATAGTGAGACCCTGTATCTATTAAAAATAAATAAATAAATAAATAAATAAAATTAAAATAAAAACTTCTTTGCCCTAAAAGTACATTTTTACTTCTGACTTACAAGAAATTAAAACACTTTCCTGGGCCCCTTAATGTATCATGAGCCCTAAGATACTGTGCTTTCTGTGCCTGATTTGACTCTGAATAAATGAATGAATGAATGACAATGGGTCCTTGTAGGAACAACTGATAATTGTATGTCAGGAACTAAGGAGTATGATTCATTCAGTGCTCTGCATTTTAGGTCCAAAAACCTTTCCAGAAACAGCAGTTCCTTAGGTGTGTTGAAGAACTCTGACTTATGAAAGCAGGATATTACTAAGACTTATGAAAAAAAAAGGAAGCTTTCCCAAAAACGTATTCCATGTGGAAAATGCTGAGTTAAACAAAGCTAAGCAGGTTTTTATATCTTATGATCTGTCAGAACCTTTACTATATAGTGTAATATAAGTTATGAATCCGCAAGAAGGTGCGCAGGGAAGTTAACAAGCAGGGTTTCCCAAAGCCATTTAACAGTGACATTCTTCTGCTTTGATGGTAAAGGCACTGAGCGCTGAGAACTCCCTGAAAAGCTTGGCCCAGGTCAGTCCCTGCCCCAGGATCAGGCAGGTGAATTCACTCACAGCTGTCTGAGCCTGGACCCCCGTCTACCCTGCCTGCCCAGGCAGAGCTGTGCTTCCACTCAGGCTGGCAGACTGGGGCTCTTCAACCTCTAGGTTGCAGGACAGTCCCTGGGGACCACTGTGGCCCAGGTCAGGACCAAGCCAGAGATTGTGGGTATGGTTTAATTTACAACCTCTGAATACTTAGACATAAAGTATGCGGGCTTTCATTTGTACAATACACTTCCTTGTCTTTTTCAGTTTTAGAGGCTGCCTGCATTCCTTGGCTTGTGGCCCCTTCCTCACATCACTCCAACCTCTTGCTTCTGGGGCCACATCTTCTACTACTGCCTTTGACTTTATTCCCTCCTTCTTATAAAGACCCTTGTAATTACATTGGGTCCACCTAGAAAATCCAGATAGTCTCCCTATTTCAATATCCTTAATGTAATCACGTCAGCAAAGATCCTTTTACCATGTAAGGAAACATTCACTGGTTCCCAGGATTAGGAGGTGGATATCTTTGGGGGCTATTGTTCTAACAGTCCTTGAGAGATTTCAGTGAGCAGAGCTCCACCTGCTAAGCTGCATTAGACATGCAGTATGAGAAAAAAAATTGGGGGTGCATTGACTCACTGAGATTTAGGAGGTTGTCTATTACTACAGCAGAATTTAGCACACATTTATACCTCATTTCATTTTTGCCTCCTGTTTATATTTTGCAATAACTCTATGCATTAAATATGACTTTTTAAAATAAAGTACTTTTAAAATAATATACTAGGAATAATCAATCTATGAGCAAACCAAAGAGTGTTTTTGTTCTTGAAAAAGGTAACTTCAGATCTGTAGACTTAAAAATAAACATTGCCCACATTTAATATCCTAACAAAATTCTTTCCTGACTCTGAAAAATCTTCAGATTCCCTTTGTTCCAAAAAAACTAAGAGGTGGCCGGGCACAGTGGCTTATGCCTGTAATCCCAGCATTTTGGGAGGCCAAGGTGGGCGGATCACGAGGTCAGGAGGTGGAGACCATCCTGGCCAACATAGTGAAAGCCTGTCTCTACTAAAAATAAAAAAATTAGCTGGGCGTGGTGGTGCCTGCCTGTAATCCCAGCTACTCCGGAGGCTGAGGCAGGAGAATTGCTTGAACCCAGGAGGCGGAGGTTGCAGTGAGCTGAGATCGCACCACTGCACTCCAGCCTGGCGATATAGCGAGACTTCATCTCAAAAAAAAAAAAAAAAAAAAAAAAAAACTAACAGATTAGCAATGTTGATTTACTTAGATGTCGAACCAGGTGAAAGTAACAAAGAAAACAAACTTGATTGAAAGATTGTTAAATCTAGTCCCTAAATCTAGTCCTAGGAAAAACCTAGAAGTTGAGGAATGAGGATGGAGGGAGTTTTTCCTGATAATGGAAATGCAAATACACTTACCTGACTTTCTAAAGCACAATCCTTTCCCTAGTTCATGTAATCGTGTGTTATAGGTCATAAAACGTAGAGTGAGAAATGTTTTACAGTCTTGAATTACAGAGTCCAAGCTGTGCCACCATCCACATGTCTTCTTCATAAGTTGGATGGACTTCTGGACATGTCAGTCTCAGTACAAATCAGTGGTCACCAGCTTTTTGATTGTGACCCTCTAATCAGCAAAAAATGTTCAGCCCATACTTCCATTATGTATACTTACCAATGTATTACAAGCATTACAATACGTGCACAAAAAAAGACACTAAAAGATGATATAAAGATAAATAATATTATTATTTCTTTATTTTGGGGGTTAGGAAGTAGGCTTTATTGGTGGGTGTGAATAAGGAGGGGCAAAACAGTGGGAGCCCCCATAAGTACAGGGCCCACCACTTGTCCAGGGGGCCATGATTGGGGGTGTTCGACCTGATAGCTGTCTAGGATGAGCTGTTTCACAGCTACCATGTCTTCAAATTCATCCACATTAATCTTGGTAAAATCTCACTTCTTTGAAATATGGATCTTCTAGCAGCTAGGGAACTTGAACTTGGTCCTGTGTGGGGTCTTAATCACATACTCCTTGTTCTGCAGCTTGGTGCAGATGAACATAATGACTTGGCCAATGTGGATCTTTCCTCCCATGCCCTGGGGCTTTCAAAGGCACCCTGCGTACCTATCTAGAGCACAGACTGGAGACAGTGTCAGGTCAGGGACATGAATGTCCATTGGAAAGGGCTGTCTCCAAGGTCCTTAGGGCAATGCTTACAACATACAAGCAACACGGTGCACATACTACCGAGAAGGCTGCTGTTCGCAGCCATGGCACACCTGGCCCTTACAAGGAAAGGAACATGATTGGCTTAATTGACTGTAAGAAATACTATTTTAAATGTCTTTCAAATCATGCTACAATCATTAATATTTCAAGGCAAAATATTCCCTTAAGTTGTGGTTCCTCATTAATGATAATGGATGTAAATACAACTTGCAAGCCATCTCCTTGCTAATTTTGACTATTTTGTCAGACTTCTCATCAAATCTCATTTGAGCCTTATTATTTTGGCCTTTCAATGTGGGTAGCAAAGAGTTTTTTCTAGGAGTAGAACTGGTCTGCTCTTTTTATTGTTGTTTTTGTTGTTGTTGCTTCTTTGCTTCTACTCATGTTATTGTTTTCACGTCAATCCATGGTTTCTTTGCAGGAAATCTTTTTTTTTTTTAATACTTTAAGTTTTAGCATACATGTGCACAACGCGCAGGTTAGTTACATATGTATACATGTGCCATGTTGGTGTGCTGCACCCATTAACTCGTCATTTAACATAAGGTATATCTCCTAATGCTATCCCTCCCCTCTCCCCCCACCCCACAACAGGCCCCGGTGTGTGATGTTCCCCTTCCTGTGTCCATGTGTTCTCATTGTTCAATTCCCACCTATGAGTGAGAACATGTTGCAGGAAATCTTTTTAGGTCATTTGTCTGTTTTTACGAGAGTTAATTTAATTAAAATTAGAGACTATTATCTAAAAACCAGTTATGACAATATAGCTGACCATATATAAACTGTAATGCATCACACTGTGCTGAAAGCAAAAGAGTGAGGAAACCACCATCAACCCACCTTTTCTGGAACTCCCACTCTTCCCTCGGGTGCCTCCGTGTACGGTACAACCACCACACAAAGCCAGGTGACATCTGGATAAAGGGAGGGTGCCACTGTCAATCCACATATTTACTTTCATAATGCTTCTGGGAAGCATGTGCCATACTCTGTAGAACCCTAATATAAGTAGCTGAGGCCCGGCGCAGTGGCTCGCTCATGTAATCCCATCTGTTTGGGAGGCTGAAGAAGGTGGATCGCTTGAGTCCAGGAGTTTGAGCCCAGCCTGGGCAACATGGTTTTCATGTTGATGGGGGTTTCATGTAGAAACTCCATCTCTACAAAAAAAAAAAAAAATAGCTGGGCATAGTGGCGCACGCCTGTAGTCCCAGCTCTTCAGGAGGCAGAAGCAGGAGGATCACTTCAGTCTGGGAGGTCCAGGCTGCAGTGAGCTGTGATTGTGCCACTGCACTCCAGCCTAGGTAACAGAACGAGAACTGTTTCCAAAAAAATAAAACAAAATAAGAAGAAAGAAAAAAAATAAGTATCTGAAATGCAAGTTTCTAAAAAGGCTTTTACATGGGCAATCAGTTTAGGTATGTGGCAAAAGACCCATAATCTAGTCTAATAATGTTGCTATTACAAAACAAATTACAAAGAAACTGAAGCCAGAAAGCCTAATCCCACAGAGGGCTTTTGGCAATTAGGGCCAGAAACCAGATAGTCTGAGTCTGGGGCCTTTATTTCCATTACACCATGAGATTATGAATGAGTAAACTTAGAAATTTCATGACCAAATTAAGTCCTGCTGGCCTCCCTTCAGCATGCTGTGCTCTGTGATGAGGGGGAAAGACGCAAGCCAAGAACAGGGAGAAGCCAGGAGGTAACAGGTCCAGCCCTGGAGATGGAGGAGGATTTTTAGTTCCCTGCAAGATAATTATAAAGAAAATATATTTATTTATAAGAAAACATTGAAAGAATACAAGAAACTATTAGAAGTGGTTACCTTTAGGAGTGGGGTGAGGGTGGCAGGAATGTGGTGGACAAAAATAGGGCTGGGGACCAGACTTCACAGTGCATACCTTGTATATAGCTCTGATTTTTTTTTTTTTTTTTTCTGATGGAATCTCGCTCTGTTGCCCAGGCTGGAGTGCAGTGGTACAATCTCCACTCACTACAACCTCCACTTCCAGGGTTCAAGCAAATCTCCCATTTCAACCTCCTGAGTAGCTGGGATTACAGGTGCACTCCACCATGCCTGGCTAATTTTTGTATTTTTAGTAGAGATGGGGTTTCACCATATTGGCCAGGCTTGTCTAGAACTCCTGAACTCAAGTGATCCACCCGCCTCATCCCTCCAAAGTGCTGGGATTACAGGCATGAGCCCCTGTGTCTGGCCTAGCTCTGATTTTTGAGCCAGACTAGTGTATTACCTATAGAAAGGTATTTATAAAGGACATAGTTTGCCTCCCATTGTATCTCTAGCTGTATGTCTCACTGAAAAGTATACTCAGATAGATAGATTAAGGTTCTTCTGAAAAGAGTTATTTGTGCCTTCTCTACCAGAAATTCAAGGATATTATTAATATGGTTTGGATTTGTGTCCCCGCCCAAATCTCATGTCGAATTATAATCCCCCGTGTTGGAGGAGAGAGGGAGGTGATTACATCATGGGGGCAACTTCCCCCCTGCTGTTCTTGTGATTGTGAGTTCTCCCAATTTCTGGTTGTTTAAAAGCATGTAGCCCTTTCCCCTTCACTCTCTTTTCCTCCTGCTCCAGCCATGAGGACCTGCTGGCTTTCCCTTAGCCTTCCACCATGATTGTAATTTTTCTGAGGCCTCTCAAGCCACGCAGAACCATGAGCCAATTAAACCTCTTTTGTTTATAAATTACCCAGTCTCAGGTATTCCTTTATACCAGTGCGAGAATTGACTAATATATTCAGGGCTACATCGATTATATTGATATATATTAATTACATTCAAGGACAGCCAGCCAGGAAGATGTCTGGTGTGCCGACCTACAAGAAATGATAAAATGTTCCTGGAAATGTAATAAGATGAAGGCAATTATAGTTCCCTCCTGTACTGGTAAAGTTCAATCAGGGAAGCAAGACCATTATGAGCACTATGGGGTAAGTTATTTATTGTGGAGTTAGACTTTCCACAATCTGGGGAAAAGCTGAGGAAGAAAAGTCTGAAAAGCACCAGAAAAAAGCCACTAATCAGCCCTGGAGCCGGTGAACAAATCGAAGCTTGCTGGATGTGAGGTGCCACTGACTGCTGGAGGGCAACTATGAAAGTGCTGGCATAGAAGTCTATGGAAGGCTCTTTGTGGCTTCCGCCTCTGTGAGCTCACAGCAGAGCATCTTATGGTGGGCCTGGTTCATGGCTGGTCAGTAGGGCCAGCAGTCAGGAAGATCTGGACATTGAGCGGAAAAAATTGAAGACAAGGTGGCACTCACAGGCACTGTTGTTTTTTGTTTTTGTTTTGTTGTTGTTGTTGTTGTTGTTGTTGTTGTTGTTGTTGTTGTTTTGAGACGGAGTTTCACTCTTGTTGCCCAGGCTGGAGTGCAATGGCACGAACTTGGCTCACGGCAACATCCACCTCCTGTGTTCAAGCAATTCTAGTGCCTCGGCCTCCGGAGTAGCTGGGATTACAGGCGCCTTGCCTCGGCCTCCCAAAGTGCTGGGATTACAGGCGTGAGCCACCTCGCCCGGCCCCCACAGGCACTGTTAACCACACCTACCAATCATAGCCTTCAAAGTGCAATGGCTGCTGCTTCATTCCTGATCTCAAATTTCACACAAGGTGCTCACTTCAAAATTGGAATGATATAGAGAACATTAGCATGGCCTCCGGATGGGATGATGCACAAATTCATGAAGTGTTCCATATTTTCAGCTTTCTTTTAATATCATGCAGTTATTTAGGTAATAAGAAATATTAAGTAATTGGCTTTAGATTTTGTAATTTTCTCCCTGAGTTTCTGCTGGATCTTTACATTCTAGTAGTCAATGTATTTTCAGTGAAATGTAAAAATATTCCTGTTCTCTTTGATCAGTATTAATTTCTTGAAATCATATTGTCACTTGAATCCTGTAGCTGTCATTCGTCTCTGTTATAAGCAATGTTTGATTTTTGATGGGTGTAGACCAGCTCTTCTTCATTTTTTCATCATGTTTTCAAGATGTGATTTTACATTTCTGCATCTTAAAAACAGTTTGGTCATAATTCTAGATACACACTACTAACTTATGTACCTACACATGTGACCTTTGTGAACAGGAATTGCCATGCCCAATCTGTGTTTATACATAATTTTCTGGTTATATACTCCTTAGATTTGTGGATTCAAGTTACTGAAGTGAATACCATTAAAATCCTAGGCCATGTTAATTGATTATACATGTTTAGAATGTTAAACAAACAGGCCAGGCCCAGTGGCCCACACCTGTAATCCCAGCAATTTGGGAGGCCAAGGCAAGCGGATCACTTGAGGCCAGGAGTTCAAGTCAGCCAGGCCAACATGGTGAAACACCATCTGTATTAAAAATACAAAAATTAGCCGGATGTGGTGGCACGCGTGCCTGTAATCCCAGCTACGTGGGTGGCACAGAGGTTACAGTGAGCGGAGATTGTGCCACTGCACTCCAGCCTGGGTGACAAACAAACAAAATCACACAAGTTTCTCTTGTGGCAACTATAACTCTGAACCATACAAGGTATCTCTGTATCTAAGTTATCTGGGAAATGTCATTCCAATTTAGCTACCTTGACATTGTACAAAGTCTCCATGGCTCCTCACAGGGACAAATGCAGTGTGGCTAAAAGCAACTTTGATAAGCTGCTTGGCATAGAGTGTAAGACACTCAAGGCTCCAGCTCCAGCTTCAATTAACAATTGCTATGCTTCCTTCTAAGGATGCGGGGCTGTCTGCCTGCAGGGCTTTGGCTTTGTGGGTGAAATATGCAGGTTTGGAGCTAAACCTGAATTGCTGAGGACTGTGGAGGAGAGGCAGCAAGGTGCCCCCAGCAGCTCTATGTTGCTTTTGCCGGCAGAGGGCTCAGCTTTGCTAGAAATAAACCTAGAATCATTTGCAGAAAACAAGTTTAGAGGCTGGGTGTGTTGGTTCATGCCTGTAATCCCAGCACTTTGGGAGGCCAAGATGGGTGGATCACCTGAGGTCAGGAGTTCAAGGCCTGCCTGGCCAACATGGTAAAGCCCCGTCTGTACTAAAAATATAAAAATTAGCCTGGCATGGTGGTGGGCACCTGTAATCCCAGCTACTCGAGAGGCTGAGACAGGAGAATCACTTGAATCCAGGAGGCAGAGGTTGCTGGCAGGTAGAGGTTGCAGTGAGCCAAGAATCGTGCCACTGCACTCTAGCCTGAGCAATGCAGTAAGACTCTGTCTCAAGAAAATAAAAAAATAAAAAGTCAGAAGTTAGCAAGCTATAGAGGCACCAACGTGCCCCCATTGTGTAGTTTTTCTTTAACATTTTTCAGAAGCACAAGTACAGACTGAAAAGACTCCAGCCCTCATCATGGCTAAGATTCTGTTCCTGGAATATAGCCAGATGGACTCATTAAATTCATATTTGAATCTTCTGGAACTATGACTTGAAATGTCTACAAGTCCCTAGAAGAAGCAGCTTCATCTCCTGTAGTGTGTACTGCTAAGTCCTGCCCCGATCCCCTTCCCCAGGCCACCGCCACCTACTGCCAGCAACTCACAACTGCCCCTGCTAATGAGAACTGCCCTTGGCCAATGGGAGCCACCTCCCCCAACAGCCCTCTGCCAATGATTGGCTGAGGAAACAAGAAGCCAATCCATTTGTCTCAAGGGGGAACTCACTGTAGTGCAGTCCACACTCCAGTGCTCCCCTTGGGGCCAGGCTGTACCTGCCGGGGCCACATCCTTACTTAGCTCTTCTGCTCTCTCTTCCTTTCTTCCCTCGTTTTTTCCTGAGAGTACATCCTCAGGAAATCAATGGCATTTGAATTCCTGTCTTAGGTTCTACTTCTAAGGAGCCCCAATCTATGATCCCTCCTATTGTATTCTCCTCCCCAGCCACACTGCACACCTGTCAGTCCTAGAAGCGAGGCATGTGCCAACCTCAGGGTCTTTGCACTTGTCATTCCTTCTGCCTGGCACAGCTTACCACCAAATATCTGAGTGGCTGACTCCCTCAGCTCCTTTAGATCTTTACTTAAATGCCAGTTTGTCATCAAGATCTTGTTCCAGATTTTTTTTAACAAGGCATTTAAAACTACAAACCCATCCAACACTCCTTTATCCCATTCTTGTTCTTGTACCATTTAATATAATAATAGCAAGTACTACTAATGTAGTGCTTAAAGTGTGCTGGGCACAGTTCTAAGTGTTTAACACTGATTAAATGTGATCCTCATGGCAAATCTCAAAAGTTTTTATTAACCCAATTTTACTGATGAGGAAACCGAGGCACAGAGAGGTTGAGAACTTCCTCAAAGGCCATACAGCTTGTAAGTGATGGTGCCAGGCTTTGATCCCAGGCTGTCTGGCTCCAACACTGTGTCACTACACTGCACTATCATATTCACTTACTTTATTTATTTATTTGCTTATTTACTTTATTTACTTATCTGTGTTGATTAATGTATATCTCCTTCCACTAAAATACAAGCTCCTTGAGGATACAGATTTTTGTCTTCTTGGTCCACTGCTGTGTCCCACAGCACCTAGAGAAGTCTGGGTACCATACTCAGCCCTCAAATATTTATTAAACTATGTACCTTCTGTGTCCTCAAGCCCTTCTTCTTTCTGGATTCAAGAGAGAAACAAATTATTATAAAGTGGATTAGTTCTTCTACTTTCAGCCAATGTTCAGATTGATAAAATAAGAACCTCTTCCTTCCCATCTTGATTGAGCTCTGTAACAAATTAGATGCAATATTTCTTGGCTCACAGTGATAATGTTTAAATATCTGGCTTCCATTGTATAACCATGAGTGCCATGCAGCCATGTTATTGCTGTCTAAGATAACAATCTCTAGCATTCTGATCACCAGAGTTTGCAGTGATGTTGTCAAGTTTTTTACCAGGTCTTCTCTGTTTAGGGAGAACTAGCTTTTTATTTTCATGAAATTCAAGAAAACTAGATAGTTGTCTATATAAACATAAACTACAATATCCTAATGATATCTGCATTATATTATTTATACCTAGCTCAAATGTCCTGGGCAGTTTTTTAACTCCTACATTTTTATGAATCATACTGTAGCTTTTTTTCCAATGAATGATAGAAGAAATTAGTACTAGTCTCAGTATCTCAGAGGAGAGGGAAATCTTATTTCAAGATTCTTTCACTTTCTAGGCCATGCGCGCTGGCTCATGCCTGTTATCCCAGCACTCTGGGAGGCCTAGGTGGGTGGATCACTTGAGGTCAGGAGTTCGAGACCAGCCTGGCCAACATGGTGAAGCCCCGTCTCTACTACTAAAAATACAAAAATTAGCCAGATGTGGTGACGTGCTCCTGTAATCCCAGCTACTCGGGAGGCTGAGGCAGGAGAATCACATGAACCCAGGAGGCGAAGGTTGCAGTGAACCAAGGTTGTGCCACTGCACTTCAGCCTGGACGATAGAGCGAGACTCCATCAAAAAAAAAAGATTATTTCACTTTCTATAATGCAATATGTATGCATAAGGGCTTTAAAATAGGGCACAACGGCTGGGCGCGGTGGCTCATGCCTGTAATTCCAGCAGTTTGGGAGGTGGAGGAGGGCGGATCACCTGAGGTGAGGAGTTTGAGACCAGCCTGGTCAACATGGTGAAACTCTGTCTCTACTAAAATATAAAAATTAGCCAGGTGTGGTGGTGCATGCCTGTAATCCCAGCTACTCCAGAGGCAGAGGCACGAGAATTGCTTGAACCCGGGAGGTAGAGGTTGCATCAAGCCAAGATCGTGACGCTGCACTTCAGCCAGGGCAACAGAGTAAGATTGTGTCTCAAAAAAATAAAATAAAATAAAATAAGGCACAAATATAAAGATCAGGAATAACTGGGTTTGAAAATTAAAATAAGGAATGGATTTAGTATAAATATACAGTATGATAATAGTAATGGTTTTGATTTTATATATCCATGGTTACTGCTGAAGGTATTTCATTTCTTTGTTTATCCCCATACTTTTCAATTATGAAAAGCTAGTGCTATATTTCAAATTATAGAAAGTTTACATAAATACAGAAACTAAAGAGAATCTTAACTGTTTTAAAATTTCTTATTGAACTACTTGCCTGTAACTTAATAAGTAGCAACCTTGTTCATCCAACCCATGAATTGTGGGTTGGATGTACCCATGGCTGTGATGTAAGAAGATGAGGGTGCCTCTGTGTGCTTGCTCTGAACTGCCCAAATAGGTCAGGACATTCACTGAGGGAAGACAGCAATTTGGTTGCTAAAGTAATAAAAACCTTACCTGATGAACTACAGTCTCCACTAGCAAATTCAGTTTATTTTATTATGGAAATGCACTGTGGTGTTCCTTTGTGTGGCAATTGTTGCAGATATCTATAACAACAACAACAAAAAAAAATAGTCCAGCTGGCCTGGTGATCCTGAATTGTAAAAGGCATGGCCCCACATTTATAAAGTTTGCCTAGGATGAATGATGCTTCGAAAAGATATCAAGAAATGTGTGTGTGTGGGTCGGGGGGCAGGATTTAAGGAAATAGTTGCTTCAAAGAGAGTGTGGGGGGGTTTTGTTTTGTTTTTTGTTTTTTATTAGAGACAGGGTCTTACTCTGTCACCAGGCCGGAGGGCAGTGGTGCAATCACTGCAACCTCGAACTCCTGTGCTCAAGCAATCCTCCTGTCTCAGACTCCCCAGTAGCTGGGACCACAGGCATGAGCCACCATGTGGACTAGCTATTTTTTCTGGATGAGTCCAGATTTAGAGCCAAACTTCTACTCTCCAGGGACTTATGATCAGCTTTGAGACCTTTGTTTCTTCTGGAAAAACAAATCAGTTTATAGGGCTACATTTCTAAGTAGAGGGGCTAGAACACTGCCTAATCATAGAAAAAGTATTTACCAATTCTAACTGCTAACCTCAACTGTGTGCCAGTATTTCATAATATTCAGAGCAACGATTTTGACGTTTTATTCACATTACTATCCCCACACCTAGAACAGAGCCTGATGCCTAATAAATGCTCAGTGAATATTGGCTGGATGTAGATGTCATCATTGACTCTAAATTTCAGCCTCATCTTACCACAGCTGCAGTGTGACCTTGAGCCAGTCATTTGTCCTGTCCATTTCAGTTCTCTCAAGAGAAAGGAAAGCATGAGCAGGCCCTGGGTGGTTGTGAGAAGTAGAAGAGATATTTCATGTAAAGCACTTTAGCACAGTACTTGGCATTCAATGTCAGATTTTAAAAATTATTTATATGTTATTTTAAATAATGTTTTGCTTTTACAAAATTAAAATGTAAACCAGGCGCGGCGGCTCACACCTGTAATCCGAACACTTTGGGAGGCTGAGGCTGGCGGATCATGAGGTCAGGAGTTCGAGACCAGCCTGACCAACATAGTGAAACCCCATCTCTACTAAAAATACAAAAAATTAGCCAGGCATGGTGGTATACGCCTGTAATCCCAGCTACTTGGGAGGCTGAGGCAGGAGAATCGCTTGAACCCGGGAGGCAGGGGTTGCAGTAAGCCAAGATCACACCACTGCACTCCAGCCTGGGTGACAGTGCAAAACTCTGACTCACAAAAAAAAAAGAAAGAAAGAAATTATATTGTAGTAGCATCATAACAGATAATATTCTAATTTCCGAAGCTGTGATTTTGGTACTGCGGACCTTATAAGATAAATGGTTCTCATAACTTTTTATGACTGTAAACTTTAACTCAGCCATTTAGAATTTGCTCTAATACACACCCATCTAATCTTGAAAATTTCAATTCACTCTAAAATCAATCAATAATAAATGTGCTGTTGTAACAGGCCAAAAAGTCCTTGCAACTTCTAGAGATCAAAGAACTCCCTGTGTTTATATAAGGGAAAGAAAGGAATAGAAAAAATATTATTAATCTGTACTAAAAATCTAACATTGAAAAATGACATGGAGCACCAAAAGTCATTTGTAATCTTAATTAAAGTACAGCATTTCTCCAACTAAAAACCTAAGACACAGTTATAAAATCATATTTACCCTGTTTCTATTTTGTTGGTGACAAAGATAAATTTTAGTCCTAAATCATCGAGTGTCAGATTTGCTTGAAGGAATATATTTATAAAGGCATCTTATATTGTGTTTGTTAATTTTTTAAAAGAAAAGATAGATTCTAGACCAGTATTCCTAATGAAAATGTTAAATCTTCTGCCAGAATATTCTAGATCTAGGGGTATCTTCAATTACCTATTATTTAATTACACTTAAAACTTTAGGTTTTTGTTGGAGCACTAAGCCAAAAGCCCCATTACAACCAATAAGAGCAGATGTTTTTATGTCTTACCACTCTTCACCAGCCCCTAAAACATGGAGTGGAACAGTTCCCAATGTAGTGTAAGAGAAAACTCAAAAATGAGTCCCCAAAAATATGGAGTTCCCATGGCTACTAGCAATGTACCAGAAAACCCAAGAAGCTGCACTGATTGTATCAGTTTATGCCAACCCTGCTAGGATCATGTACCTGAATAACTAAAACAAAAACAATGATAATAGGTAAGTCTTATGTATTACTATGTGCCAGGAACTGATTTAATGGCCTTGCGTATATTAAGTCACTTATCCTCACAATCATCTTGTGGGGTAGGTCTACTAAGGATATGATTTGGCTGTGTCCCCACCCAAATCTCATCTTCAATTGTAGCTCCCATAATTCCTACATATTGTGGAAGGGACTGGGTCGGACATAATTGAATCATGGTGGTGGTTTCCCCCATACTGTTCTCATAGTAGTGAATAAGTCTCGAAAGATCTGATGGTTTTATTAGGGGGAGTTTCCCTACACAAGTTCCCTCTGGTCTACTGCCATGTAAGATGTGCCTTTCACCCTCCACCATGATTATGTGGCCTCTCCAGCCATGTGGAACTGTGAATCCATTAAATCTCTTTTTCTTTATTAATTACCCAGTCTCAGGTATATCCTTAACAGCAGCATGAAAATGGATGAATACAACTAATATACCTATCTTATGGTTGAAGAAACTGAGGCACAGACAAGAGAAGTACTTTGCCATGATCACATAGCTAAAAAAGGGAAAGACATAATCCGGATTTCATGCCCTTTCCCCACCCAAGTGTTCTCTGTACTCATATACTGTAGTAAAGCAGGCTTTGTGTTGGTTGGGTCAGCCAATCAGGATCTGACGTGTGAAATAATTCTGTTCTTTCAGATTTTGTTCCTTTACATTCGCTTTATTTTTTTATGCTGAAATACTGTAAACTACAGACATGACATTTCATCCCTAAATACTTTAGTATGCAGCTCTAAAAAATAAGGACAGCCTCCATAACCAAAATCAAAACTATCAAGCCTAATGAGCCATAATAATAATCTTAATGAGTTTTAATATCATTTATGACCCAAGCCATATTCCAATTTCCATAACGTTTCCCAAAATCATTTTTATAGCTATTTAAATCTACATAAACTGGAATCTAATCTAGGACCACATGTTATAATACATCTGATGGTTGGGTCACTTAAATTGGTTTTACTCTATAAATTCACTGTTTCTATGATGCTGATTTGCTAAGAGTCCAGGACAGTTGTCCAGTGGAATATCTCACCTTCAGGATTTGCCTGATTGCTTAATCATGGTGTTGTTTAGCTTGTTCCTACTTTTCCAGTTATTACCTGTCTTTTAAATACGCTTCGGATAGTTACAAGGTAAAGAAAATAAATCTACAACACCAAAGCTATGAACTATGAAAAATTGATAAATCAAACTTCATTAAAATTTAAAATGTCAAAGCCAGGCACAGTGACTCATGCCTGCCTGTAATCCTAGTGCTTTGGAAGGCCCAGGTGGTTAGGATCTCTTGAGCCCAGGGATTTGATGCTACAGTGAGCTATAATCGCACCACTGTACTCCAGGCTGGGTGACAGAGCAAGACCTTACCCTTAAAAAAAAAAAAAAAAAAAAAAAAAAAAAAAAAAGGCTGCCCTGGCACAGTAGCTCATGCCAAATCCCAGCACTTTGGGAGGCTGAGGCAGATGGATCACGAGGTCAGGAGATGGAGACCACTCTGGCCAAACATGGTGAAACCCCATCTCTACTAAAAAATACAAAAACATTAGCTGGGCCTGGTGAGGCGTGCCTGTAATCCCAGCTACTCGGGAGGCTGAGGCAGGAGAATGGCTTGCACCAGGAAGTCGGAGGTTGCAGTGAGCAGAGATTGTGCCGCTGCACTCCAGCCTGGCGACAGAGCAAGACTCCATCTGAAAAAAAAAAAAAAAAACCAACCTATTCTGCAAAAGACACTGTCAAGGCTGGGCACGAAGGCTCACGCCTGTAATCCCAGCACTTTGGGAGGCCGAGGCGGGTGGATCACGAGGTCAGGAGATCAAGACCATCCTGGCTAACACGGTGAAACCCCGTCTCTACTAAAAATACAAAAATTTAGCTGGGTGCGGTGGTGGGCTCCTGTAGTCCCAGCTACTCTGGAGGCTGAGGCAGGAGAATGGCGTGAACCCGGGAGGCGGAGCTTGCAGTGAGCCGAGATCGCGCCACTGCACTCCAGCCTGGGAGACAGAGCGAGACTCTGTCTCAGAAAAAAAAAAAAAGGCACTGTCAAGAAAATGAGAGCTCCGGTCTACAGCTCCCAGCGTGAGCAACGCAGAAGACCGGTGATTTCTGCATTTCCATCTGAGGTACCGGGTTCATCTCACTAGGGAGTGCCAGACAGTGGGCGCAGGTCAGTGGGTGCACGCACCGTGCACAAGCCGAAGCAGGGCGAGGCATTGCCTCACTCGGGAAGTGCAAGGGGTCAGGGAGTTCCCTTTCCTAGTCAAAGAAAGGGGTGACACACGGCACCTGGAAAATCGGGTCACTCCCACCCTAATACTGCGCTTTTCCAACGGGCTTAAAAAACGGCACACCAGGAGATTATATCCCACACCTGGCTCAGAGGGTCCTACGCCCACAGAGTCTCGCTGATTGCTAGCACAGTAGTCTGAGATCAAACTGCAAGGCGGCAGTGAGGCTGGGGGAGGGGTGCCCGCCATTGCCCAGGCTTGCTTAGGTAAACAAAGCAGCCAGGAAGCTAGAACTGGGTGGAGCCCACCACAGCTCAAGGAGGCCTGCCTGCCTCTGTAGGCTCCACTTCCCGGGGCAGGGCACAGACAAACAAAAAGACAGCAGTAACCTCTGCAGACTTAAATGTCCCTGCCTGACAGCTTTGAAGAGAGCAGTGGTTCTCCCAGCACGCAGCTGGAGATCTGAGAACGGGCAGACTGCCTCCTCAGTGGGTCCCTGACCCCTGACCCCCAAGCAGCCTAACTGGGAGGCACCCCCTAGTAGGGGCAGACTGACACCTCACACGGCCGGGTACTCCAACAGACCTGCAGCTGAGGGTCCTGTCTGTTAGAAGGAAAACTAACAAACAGAAAGGACATCCACACCAAAAACCCATCTGTACATCACCATCATCAAAGACCAAAAGTAGATAAATCCACAAAGATGGGGAAAAAACAGAGCAGAAAAACTGGAAACTCTAAAAAGCAGAGTGCCTCTCCTCCTCCAAAGGAACGCAGTTCCTCACCAGCAACGGAACAAAGCTGGATGGAGAATGACTTTGACGAGCTGAGAGAAGAAGGCTTCAGACGATCAAATTACTCCGAGCTACGGGAGGAAATTCAAACCAAAGGCAAAGAAGTTGAAAACTTTGAAAAAAATTTAGAAGAATGTATAACTAGAATAACCAATACAGAGAAGTGCTTAAAAGAGCTGATGGAGCTGAAAACCAAGGCTTGAGAACTACGTGAAGAATGCAGAAGCTTCAGGAGCCAATGCGATCAACTGGAAGAAAGGGTATCAGTGATGGAAGATGAAGTGAATGAAATGAAGCGAGAAGGGAAGTTTAGAGAAAAAACAATAAAAAGAAATGAGCAAAGCCTCCAAGAAATATGGGACTATGTGAAAAGACCAAATCTACGTCTGATTGGTGTACCTGAAAGTGATGGGGAGAATGGAACCAAGTTGGAAAACACTCTGCAGGATATTATCCAGGAGAACTTCCCCAATATAGCAAGGCAGGCCAACATTCAGATTCAGGAAATGCAGAGAACACCACAAAGATACTCCTCGAGAAGAGCAACTCCAAGACACAACTGTCAGATTCACCAAAGTTGAAATGAAGGAAAAAATGTTAAGAGCAGCCAGAGAGAAAGGTCGGCTTACCCACAAAGGGAAGCCCATCAGACTAACAGCAGATCTCTCAGCAGAAACTCTACAAGCCAGAAGAGAGTGGGGGCCAATATTCAACATTCTTAAAGACAAGAATTTTCAACCCAGAATTTCATATCCAGCCAAACTAAGCTTCATAAGTGAAGGAGAAATAAAATACTTTACAGAGAAGCAAATGCTGAGAGATTTTGTCACCACCAGGCCTGCCCTAAAAGAGCTCCTGAAGGAAGCGCTAAACATGGAAAGGAACAACCGGTACCAGCCACTGCAAAATCATGCCAAAATGTAAAGACCATTGAGACTAGGAAGAAACTGCATCAACTAATGTGCAAAATAACCAGCTAACATCATAATGACAGGATCAAATTCACACATAACAATATTAACTTTAAATGTAAATAGACTAAATGCTCCAATTAAAAGACACAGATTGGCAAATTGGATAAAGAGTCAAGACCCATCAGTGTGCTGTATTCAGGAAACCCATCTCACATGCAGAGACACACATAGGCTCAAAATAAAAGGATGGAGGAAGATCTACCAAGCAAATGGAAAACAAAAAAAGGCAGCAGTTGCAATCCTAGTCTCTGATAAAACAGACTTTAAACCAACAAAGATCAAAAGAGACAAAGGCCATTACATAATGGTAAAGGGATCAATTCAACAAGAAGAGCTAACTATCCTAAATAGATATGCACCCAATACAGGAGCACCCAGATTCATAAAGCAAGTCCTGAGTAACCTACAAAGAGACTTAGACTCCCACACAATAATAACGGGAGACTTTAACACTGCACTGTCAACATTAGACAGATCAATGAGACAGAAAGTCAACAAGGATACCCAGGAATTGAACTCAGCTCTGCACCAAGCAGACCTAATAGACATCTACAGAACTCTCCACCCCAAATCAACAGAATATACATTTTTTTCAGCACCACACCACATCTATTCCAAAATAGACCACATACTTGGAAGTAAAGCTTACCTCAGCAAATGTAAAAGAACAGAAATTATAACAAACTATCTCTCAGACCACAGTGCCATCAAACTAGAACTCAGGATTAAGAATCTCACTCAAAACCACTCAACTACATGGAAACTGAACAACCTGCTCCTGAATGACTACTGGGTACATAACGAAATGAAGGCAGAAATAAAGATGTTCTTTGAAATCAATGAGAACAAAGACACAACATACCAGAATCTCTGGGATGCATTCAAAGCAGTGTGTAGAGGGAAATTTATAGCTCTAAATGCCCACAAGAGAAAGTAGGAAAGATCCAAAATTGACACCCTAACATCACAATTAAAAGAACTAGAAAAGCGAGAGCAAACACATTCAAAAGCTAGCAGAAGGCAAGAAATAACTAAAATCAGAGCAGAACTGAAGGAAATAGAGACACAAAAAACCGTTCAAAAAATTAATGAATCCAGGAGCTGGTTTTTTGAAAGGATCAACAAAATTGATAGACCGCTAGCAAGACTAATAAAGAAGAAAAGAGAGAAGAATCAATTAGATGCAATAAAAAATGATAAAGGGGATATCACCACCGATCCCACAGAAATACAAACTACCATCAGAGAATACTACAAACACCTCTACGCAAATAAACTAGAAAATCTAGAAGAAATGGATAAATTCCTCGACACATACACTCTCCCAAGACTAAACCAGGAAGAAGTTGAATCTCTGAATAAACCAATAACAGGAGCTGAGATTGTGGCAATAATCAATAGCTCACCAACCAAAAAGAGTCCAGGACCAGATGGATTCACAGCCAAATTCTACCAGAGGTACAAGGAGGAACTGGTACCATTCCTTCTGAAACTATTCCAATCAATAGAAAAAGAGGGAATCCTCCCTAACTCCTTTTATGAGGCCAGCATCATCCTGATACCAAAGCCAGGCAGATACAACCAAAAAAGAGAATTTTAGACCAATATCCCTGATGAACATTGATGCAAAAATCCTCAATAAAATACTGGCAAACCAAAATCAGCAGCACATCAAAAAGCTTATCCACCATGATCAAGTGGGCTTCATCCCTGGGATGCAAGGCTGGTTCAATATACGCAAATCAATAAATGTAATCCAGCATATAAACAGAACCAAAGACAAAAACCACGTGATTATCTCAATAGATGCAGAAAAGGCCTTTGACAAAATTCAACAACGCTTCATGCTAAAAAACTCTCAATAAATTAGGTATTGATGGGACGTATCTCAAAATAATAAGAGCTGTCTATGACAATCCCACAGCCCATATCATACTGAATGGGCAAAAACTGGAAGCATTCCCTTTGAAAACTGGCACAAGACAAGGATACCCTCTCTCACCACTCCTATTTAACATAGTGTTGGAAGTTCTGGCCAGGGCAATCAGGCAGGAGAAGGAAATAAAGGGTATTCAATTAGGAAAAGAGGAAGTCAAATTGTCCCTGTTTGCAGACAACATGATTGTATATATAGAAAACCCCACTGTCTCAGCCCAAAATCTCCTTAAGCTGATAAGCAAATTCAGCAAAGTCTCAGGATACAAAATCAATGTACAAAAATCACAAGCATTCTTATACACCAATAACAGACAAACAGAGAGCCAAATCATGAGTGAACTCCCATTCACAATTGCTTCAAAGAGAATAAAGTACCTAAGAATCCAAGAATCCACCTTACAAGGGACGTGAAGGATCTCTTCAAGGAGTACCACAAACCACTGCTCAAGGAAACAAAAGAGGATACAAACAAATGGAAGAACACTCCATGCTCATGGGTAGGAAGAATCAATATCGTGAAAATGGCCATACTGCCCAAGGTAATTTACAGAGTCAATGCCATCCCCATCAAGCTACCAATGACTTTCTTCACAGAATTGGAAAAAACCACTTTAAAGTTCATATGGAACCAAAAAAGAGCCTGCATCGCCAAGTCAATCCTAAGCCAAAAGAACAAAGCTGGAGGCATCACGCTACCTGACTTCAAACTATACTACAAGGCTACAGTAACCAAAACAGAGACATAGATCAATGGAACAGAACAGAGCCCTCAGAAATAATGCCACATATCTACAACTATCTGATCTTTGACAAACCTGACAAAAACAAGCAATGGGGAAAGGATTCCCTATTTAATAAATGGTGCTGGGAAAACTGGCTAGCCATATGTAGAAAGCTGAAACTGGATCCCTTCCTTACACCTTATACAAAAATCAATTCAAGATGGATTAAAGACTTAAACGTTAGACCTAAAACCATAAAAACCCTAGAAGAAAACCTAGGCAATACCATTCAGGACATAGGCATGGGCAAGGACTTCATGTCTAAAACACCAAAAGCAATGGCAACAAAAGCCAAAATTGACAAATGGGATCTAATTAAACTAAAGAGCTTCTGCACAGCAAAAGAAACTACCATCAGAGTGAACAGGCAACCTACAAAATGGGAGAAAATTTTCGCAACCTACTCACCTAACAAAGGGCTAATATCCAGAATCTACAATGAACTCAAACAAATTTACAAGAAAAAAACAAACAACCACATCAAAAAGTGGGCAAAGGACATGAACAGACACTTCTCAAAAGAAGACATTTATGCAGCCAAAAAACACATGAAAAAATGCTCACCATCACTGACCATCAGAGAAATGCAAATCAAAACCACAATGAGATACCATCTCACACCAGTTAGAATGGCTATCATTAAAAAGTCAGGAAACAACAGGGGCTGGAGAGGATGTGGAGAAATAGGAACACTTTTACACTGTTGGTGGGACTGTAAACTAGTTCAACCATTGTGGAAGTCAGTGTGGCGATTCCTCAGGGATCTAGAACTAGAAATACCATTTGACCCAGCCGTCCCATTACTGGGTAGATACCCAAAGGACTATAAATCATGCTCCTATAAAGACACATGCACACGTATGTTTATTGCGGCATTATTCACAATAGCAAAGACTTGGAATCAACCCAAATGTCCAACAATGATAGACTGGATTAAGAAAATGTGGCACATATACACCATGGAATACTCTGCAGCCATAAAAAATGATGAGTTCATGTCCTTTGTAGGGACATGGATGAAGTTGGAAATCATCATTCTCAGTAAACTACAGCAAGATCAAAAAACCAAACACCGCATATTCTCACTTGTAGGTGGGAATTGAACAATGAGAACACATGGACACAGGAAGGGGAACATCACACTCTGGGGACTGTTGTGGGGTGGGGGGAGGGGGGAGGGATAGCATTGGGAGATATACCTAATGCTAGATGACGAGTTAGTGGGTGCAGCACACCAACATGGCACATGTATACATATGTAACTAACCTGCACATTGTGCACATGTACCCTAAAACTTAAAGTATAATAATAATAAAAAAATAAAATAAAATGAAATGAAAAGACAAGCCACAAACTGGGAGAAAATATTTGCAAGACAATCTGATGAAAGACTAAAAATATACAAAGAACTCTTAAAACTTAACAAGAAGAAAACAACCCAATTAAAAAATGGACTAAAGACCCTAACAGATACCTCACCAAAGATGATACATAGATGGCATCTTTATATATCTATATAAATATATAGATATACAAATCTTTGTGTGTGTGTGTGTATATATATATATATATGTATGTATGTATATATAAAGATGCTCAACCTCATATGCTTTCAAGGAACTGCAAATCAAAAGAACAAATGAGCTATCACTACACACCTATTAGAATGGCCAAAATCTAGAACACTGACATCCCCAAATGCTGGTGAGGATGTGGAGCCACAGAACGTCTCATTCATTGCTGGTGAAAATGCACAGTGGTACAGCCACTTTGGAAAATAGTATGGAGATTTTTTAGGAAGCTGAAGACACTCTTATCATTTGATTCAGCAATCATGCTCCTTGGCATTTACCCAAAAAAGGAAAACTTATGTTCACACAAAAACCTGCACATGGATGTTTATAGCAGTTTAATTTATAATTGCCAAAACCTGGAAGAAACCAAGATGTCCTTCAATAGGTGGATGGATAAATAAACTGTGGTCCAACCAGAAAAGAGAACATTATTCAGCACTAAGAAGAAATGAAAAAGCACCATCGGCACTATCAAGCCATGAAAAGACACGGAGGAAATTTAAATGCATATTAGCAAATGAAAGAAGTCAATCTCAAAAGGCTACATACTGTACAGTTCCAACTATATGACATTCTGGAAAAGGCTACAGTAAAAAGATCAGTGGTTTCCAGGGGTTGGGGGGAAGGAGGGACAAATAGGGAGAGCACAGGGGATTTTTAGGGCAGTGAAACTACTCTGTATGATTCTACAATGGTGGATACATGTCATACATTTTTCCAAAACCATAGAAGTACAACACTGTGAGTGAACTCTAATGTAGAATATGGACTCTGGGCAAAAATGTGACAGTGTAGGTCCAGTGTAGTTCCATCAGTTGTCACAAGTGTACTGGTCTGGTGAGGTATGTCGATAATGCAGAAGGCTATGCATGTTTTAGGGCAGGGTATTATGGGATATCTCTGTACCTTCTGTTAGATTTTTCTGTGAACCTAAGACTTCTCTAAAACAAAAATCTATTGAAAGCAGAAACAAAACAAACACAACAAAACCTAGATAAAAGAACACTGAAAGAAGTCAAGGGTGAATTCTTGAGGATTCTGGTGGGGGGCGGAAAGATAATAAAAGATAATAAATTGAATCTGCAGCTGGTATAGCAGCCTAGAAAAAACAGCTGAAGACTAGAGGGGAGAATGAGCAGAAACTAAGGACTAAAGGAATGTTGTTCAATTATCTCTAGATTTAATTCATTTAGGTGATCCCTGTATGAATAACCACAAGTAATTGAGACTAGAAAAAAATAATAGCCCAACTAACTTAAATTCTGAGCAAGGATTAGGAATTGTAGACACAAGGCAGCTTTGTGACATGGATACCAATATAAGAAGTAAGATTTTGGGTTTTTGCCTTTGAGGCTTTATCGTTTTAGGTGGGGCTTTGGGATGCAAGTTCTCATTGGAGACTTCAATCTATTCATAGACAAAGTGTAAAGTAGCAAGGCTTAGTCACATTAGCAACCAACAATGTAATACTGGGGAGATATAAATTCAGCGTGTTGCTAGCTTGCAGTGATAAAAGTCTTTTGAATCCTTGTTCAAAGACAATTCATTTGCATGTGCTTTAAAGACTCAGGAAATGGCCGTGGAAAACCTTTATTCAAGGTAGGTAAATAAAAAATGTTGCTATGGGATTATTAAAATAGACTGGAGAGATTTCAGGTACTTCCATTATTTACTTACTCACCAAATATTCTACATGACCTGCCTTAGCCAGGACTGTGGACATGCTATAGATGTGAATTTTAGTTCACTTCACTAGGGTTTCCAAAAGGCCATGTACTTTTGTGTCTCTAAATAAAGTTACATTTGTTCAGAGTCCCCTTTCACTCAGGAAGTTCAATCTCAAGAATTTGGTGGGGATGGGGGGCAGGAACCCTTTTTCCTAGGGTCAAGTGAAGGGATCTGGCACAATCTAGAACATTCTAGAAGATCCTCTGATCTCTTCTGGTCACACTGAACTGGTTGAGGTATTCAGTGTCAAAATCCACGTGGTCCCTTGAAAGCAGTGGCCCAGTCCCAGATCTTTTGGCGGCTGGGAAATTAAAGACTTGGTGAACCTTCTCTCTCAGGGGACCATGCAGCTTTTCTGCCATGAGGTCCTGCCACAGACTAGCTGTGGGAGGGAAGTGCTGGTCTCCAGTACCACAGGACCTGAACACCTCTGTCCCGCTCCCAGTCTTTTGAAAAGCTTTCAGAATCTTCCCTCCAGGGTTGGCCCACTTCCTCTCTTGGTTGGGGCTTCTTTTTTACAACAAAATTCTATATAGGGGTGATATTCCAGATGCCTGTTTCATGCTTTATCCCTGAACTCTTTGTTTATCCCTATAGTGCCAAAGTCATTAATCCTGAAATTAAGGACACTTGGTGACTTTCTTGGAATGGGGAAGAGAGAATCCTTACCATTTGTTCAGACTGCTGAAAGAGTATGTAACTCAAATTAAAATCTCAATATGGTTTTCTAGTCACAGAATTGAAGGTAAGAAAGACAGCCCCTGCCTTCAGGTATCTCACATCCTAGAATAGAGGCGAGTAAAGAGGTCATCAAAATACAGCACACAGGAGAGATTCCTGCCTCAGGGACCAGGGAGGGAGAGTTTCCCTGGAGGAAATGGTTATGAACACTTAAACAACACTCCCTATGTGCCAGGCACTGTGCCAAGCAATTATTTATATAAAGATATGGAGTGGGGCTATAACTGAGCCCAGGTAGTCTGGGTCCCTGCTTAAATTCCTAGGCTTTAGGGATATCTTCAATGGGACCCAAAGAAAAGTCATAAACTTGCCATGGCAGAGCATGTAGGTGCCTGTCAGAGGGTATAGGGTGGACACAGTGCAAAGATGCCCTGAGAGGCACTATCAAGTGGGAAGCTGGAATTGAACTGCCTGGAGCAGTTACAGCTTAGGCCCCTCCCCAAGTGGACTGCCAGGATACTGAAGCTTGTTTCCCTAATGCTCAGACAAGTGAATCAGAAAAAGTGGGCTGACTAGGGTAACACAGGGATTCTCAAAAATTCCTCTGTGAAAGCGAGTCTTCCCCCAACACTCTATCAAGATCTTGATTACTAAGCTTATTAGGTTTTGATTACTAAGCCTCTCATCTAAAATGGAATTATGCCCTGCAAGGAGCTAAATCTGTGGTTCGCATTTACATCTTGCTGTGAGTCATTTTCACCAGCAAATCAAATTGCTTTTCTCCCACCCTCACCATAGCCAGGTGAGAAGCTTGCTATCTAAAGAGAGGCTCAGTACAGATACTAGGACACAAAGCTGACAATGCACACTTGTCATGGGGTCAACACATTTGCCGTAAGATATCACTGTCCTCTGCTTAACCACATATTCTCTCTGCTACACCAGGAACATTCTGTTTTTTGCATTCAAAGGCTTTGCGTATCATGGACTACGGAAAGCAGTTTTGGAACATTAAAGTAGTAAATTTACTTTCAGGATGTCTATTGTGAGCAGTTGTGAGTTAAATAAAGGATAGCCTCTGGGAGGCCGAGGCAGGTGGATCACCTGAGGTCAGGAGTTCAAGACCAGCCTGGCCAATATGGTGAAACCTCCGTCTCTACTAAAAATACAAAAATTAGCCGGGTGTGGTGGTGCACGCCTGTAGCCCCAGCTACTCTGGAGGATAGGACTGGAGAATCACTTGAACCCAGGAGGCGGAGGTTGCAGTGAGCCAAGATTGTGCCACTGCACTCCAGCCTGGGCGACAGAGTGAGACTCCATCTCAAAAAAAAAAAAAAATGATAACAAAGGATAGGCCTGACGCAATGCAGACTGGAGACACAAGCAAATCAATATTCTCTCATCTTCATTCTTCAGCCTTTCCCCATTTGGGTCAAAATTATGATCATTGGGGCCTGTTTCACCTCTTGCTGAGTCTGGCATTCTGAACATCAAATCTAGATGAAGCTGAAGCAGCCAGAACTCTGGGTTGATGGCCCAAAAGCTCAGGCTGAGAACTGGCAACGTGCCTCACCCAACAGCCGTGCCAGCTCATAAGGGAAAGCAGAACCTGCAGTCCATCTTTGTGTGACACCTCATTTAAACCCAACTGCTCTGCTTTTGTGAGACTTGATATAATTTATTCCTCAGAGAGGGAATGAGTGACTCACGAGATCCTGTGATTCACAGAGCCTCTCACAGAGGTACGCAGATGGCAAGTTGAGCTGGAATAAGAAAAAGAATGGCAGGATGCCGAGGACTGCTCTTGCCACTCCATGAACACCCAAGATGTCCCCGACACACACATGAAACCTCTCCACACCAGGAATCCAGCCAGAGCCCCTTCTATAGAGCAGGAAAAGGTGGTTGTGGGTGAGCTCTGGGCTCCTGTGGGCATCAATCTAGATTTCCACTTGCTTTTTTTTTTTTTTTTTTTTGAGACAGGATCTCCCTCTGTCACCAGGCTGGAGTGCAGTGGAGCAATCATGGCTCACTGCAGCCTCAACCTCCTGGGTTTGAGCAATCCTCCTGCCTCAGCCTCCTGAGCAGCTGGGACTACAGGTATGTGCCAATACAGCTGGCTGATTTTTAAAATTCTTTTTGGTATTTTGTACAGATAGGGTCTCATGTGTTGCCCAGACTGGTCTTGAACTGCTGGCCTCACATGATCCTCCCACCTCAGCCTCCCAAGGTGCTGGGATTACAGGTGTGAGCTGCCTCATTTTGTTTTTAATCCATCTCCATCCCTCCCCTACTAGGGCTTGCTATTCAGCCAACCACACTGCACAGCACTCTCTCCTACCACACAAAGCTGCTTGTCCAGGTCTCTCCAGGTGTCTGTATCTATCTCTTGTTATGCATCAGTCTATGTGTGTCCTCTGCCCAATGAGGCTACTGGAGACATAACATACTGTAGAGGTTAAGAACATGAGCTCTGGGACCAGGCCACTGCAGTCTGAATCATGGCTGTGCCACTTCCCAGCTATGACCTTGGCCATGTTATTTAACTTTTCTCTGCCTCATTTTTCCTACCTATAACATTGGGATAATAGTACATATTTCTAGGGTTGTTTAAAAGGCCTTGCAACTAATCTGTTAAGAAAGAAAGGAAATTGTTCAGCTCCCTCTTACAAGTGAGAACATGCGGTGTTTGGTTTTCTGTTCCTGTGTTAATTTGCTAAGGATGATGGTTTTCAGCTTCATTCATGTCCCTGCAAAGGACGTGAACTCATTGTTTTTTATAGCTCCATAGTATTCCATGGTGTATATGTGCCACATTTTCTTTATCCAGTCTATCATTGCTGGGCATTTGGGTTGGTTCCAAGTCTTTGCTATTGTAAATAGTGCTGCAATAAACATATGTGTGCATGTGTCTTTATAGTAGAATGATTTATAATCCTTTGGGTATATACCCAGTAACAGGATTGCTGGGTCAAATGGTATTTCTGGTTCTAGATCCTTGAGGAATTGCCACACTGTCTTCCACAATGGTTGAACTAATTTATACTCCCACCAACAGTGTAAAAGCATTCCTATTTCTCCGCATCCTCTCCAGCATCTGTTGTTTCCAGACTTTTTAATAATCGCCATTTTTTTTTAATATGGAGTCTCACTCTATCGCCCAGGCTGGAGTGCAGTGGTGCGATCTCAGCTCATTGCAACCTCTGCCGCCCAGGTTCAAGCAATTCTCTTGCCTCAGCCTCCCGAGTAGCTGGAATTACAGGTGCCTGCCTCTGCGCCCTGCTAATTTTTGTATTTTTAGTAGACACAGGGTTTCACCATCTTGGTCAGGCTGGTCTTGAACTCCTGACCTTGTGATCCACCCACCTCAGCCTCCCAAAGTGTTGGGATTACAGGCATGAGGCACCGCGCCCGGCCAACAATCGCCATTATAACTGGCATGAGATGGTATCTCATTGTGGTTTTGATTTGCATTTCTCTAATGACCAGCAATGATGAGCTTTTTTTCATATGTTTGTTGGTCTCATAAATGTCTTCTTTTGAGAAGTGTCTGTTCATATCCTTCGCCCACTTTTTGATGGGGTTGTTTGTTTTTTTCTTGTAAATTTGCTTAAGTTCCTTGTAGATTCTGGATATTAGGCCTTTGTCAGATGGATTGACTGCAAAAATTTTCTCCCATTCTGTAGGTTGACTGTTCACTCTGATAATAGTTTCTTTCACTGAGCAGAAGCTCTTTAGTTTAATAAGATCTCGTTTGTCAATTATGGCTTTTGTTGCAGTTGCTTTTGGTGTTTTAGTCATGAAGTCTTTGCCAATGACTTCCACACAGGGAGGGGAACATCACGCACCAGGGCCTGTTGGGGGGTAGGGGGAAAGGAGAGGGAGAGCATTAGGACAAATACCTAATGCATATGGAGCTTAAAACCTAGATGATGAGTTGATAGATGCAGCAAACCACCGTGGCATATGTATACCTATGTAACAAATCTGCATGTTCAGCATATGTATCCCAGAACTTAAAGTAAAATTAAAAACAAATAAATAAATAAAATAAAATTTTAAAATGCCATTTTAACATGTAACGTTCCTATTAAAAGCTTTTATCTGGAAAAAAATTAAAAGGAAAGAAAGGAAAAAGGAAGTGAGGGAGGGAGGGGCACAGGAGGGATGGAGAGAGGGGAAAGAAAGACAGTGAGCCTCTTGAAATAAAGGACCATGTATTATTCACTTTTTATTTTGTGCCTCATTAAATTCATTCATCATCATTACCATTTGTGAGTTCATACAACGTACCAGTTACTGAAAAAGATCAGTGCTTGACTGCCCTCACCATTAAGGAGCTCACAGTCAGACAGAATGCCAATGAATGACATCAATGGTTGTAACAGTGTAAGGACAGCCAAAGGACAGTAGGGCCACACTGCTCTGAAACTCATCACTGTAGAGCCCAGGTTAAAATTCTACTGTCACTTCCTGGCTGCATGACTGAGTAAGTTATTAGCACCACTCATGGGACTGCTATGGGGATGAAGTTAAAAGATGATGAAAGCCTGGGCAATATAGCAAAACCCTGTCTCTACAAAAAAAAAAAATTAATTAATTAGCTGGTGTGGTGGTGCATGCCTGTAGTCTCATCCACATGGGAGGCTGAGGCAGGAGGATTGCTTGAGCCTGGAAGTAGAGGCTGCAGTGAGCCATGATTACATCACTGCTCTCCAGCCTGGGCAACAGAGAGAGACCCTGCAAAAAGAAAGGGAAGGGAAGGGAAGGGAAGGGGAGGGGAGGGGAGGGGAGGGGAGAGAGAGGAAGGAAGGAAGGAAGGAGGGAGGGAAGGAAGGAAGGAAGGAAGGAAGGAAGGAAGGAAGGAAGGAAGGAAGGAAGGGAGGGAAGGAAGGAAAGAAGGAAGGAAGGGAAGGGAAGGGAAGGGAAGGGAGGGAGGGAGGGAGGGAGGGAGAGCCAGGCATGGTGATACACACCTATAGTTCTAGCTACTCAGGAGGCTGAGGCAGGAGGATTACTTGAGCCCAGGAGTCCCAGGCTGTAGTGTGCCATTATTGGGCCTGTGAATAGTCACTGCACTCCAGCCTGAGCAACATAGCAAGACTCCCATCTCTAAAAAGAAAAAAAAATAATAAGGTCATGGGAGACCAGAAGCGCAGCTGACACATATGCATAACAGGTATCCCCTGCAGAGTGCGATGGGAGCACAGAAGGTGAGAAACTAAACTTGAGTCTGCAAGGCATCCACGAGGAGGTGACCTCAGAGCCCAGTCTTCAAGAATGAGTAAGAGAGAGGTGGAGAAGCAGAGGAAGGCTGATTCAGGCTGGCTCTCCAGTGCACATAAAAGCATGAAAGGAGAGAACATGAGTCACTCCAGAGGGCCCTGGGAGGGCCTCAGATAGCTGCATTGGAGAGGCAGGCAGGAGCTGAATCACTCAGGGCCCTGCTAATGAATTCAGATCTTGGCTAAGGTCAGTGTAGGGCTGTGGAAAGAGTTTAAGCTGAAACCTGCCATGGACGGTTTGGCACTTTCTAAATCAACCACATTTTTCATAGCATTAGCCAGTGATAATCAATTTTGGATCAGGTCATGATCCGGAGGCCCTGCAGGATGCAGAAGCAAAGCCTAAGAAAGGCTCTGTTGAGGGCCATAGACTTCTACGGCAATGTATATTTATTATAATTCTTTGGGAATTGATATATCCTTTGTGGAAAAGACTCATGTCTTTTTCTATTATCTTTGAAAGTGCTAGAACAATACATGGACACATCAGATTTGCCCAACAAATACCAATTGGTCATAACCGATGCACGTTACATATGATGACTTCTTGCTATTTAAGGTAGTCAATGGCCTATTTGGTGGAAAGTAGAGATGAGGGTGGGGGCCTGGACTGCACTCCAGCCTGAGCAACATAACAAGACTCCCATCTCTAAAAAGAAAAAAAAATAATAAGGTCATGGGAGACCAGAAGCGCAGCTGTCACATATGCATAACAGGTATAACATCTTGCATACCATAGCAAGATGTTAAAGGACAAATGCCACTTAGGTTATGTGTCCATTACACTGACTTCAGTGTAATGGAGGGTTGTTCATTTAAATCACAAAACCTGTTCTGTTCAAACCAGCTGATTTTTTCTGATTTCTGGTAATGCAATGTGAAATTAGCAATAGAATTATATTCCCTTTAATTTGGAGGTGGAAAAAGGAGTGAAAAGGAAATAAGACACACTTTGGTGGGGAGAAAACCAGTGAATCCATGGAGGAATGTGGTCTGGAGGATCTACTAGGGAAATGAACCATCCAAAACAACAGTATCTTGACAGTCATTGAACCTAGGCTCACTTATTCATTCATTCATTCATTCATTCATTCAACAAATATTTATTGAGCCCCTTCTATATCCAAGATGCTACACAATGGTGAACAAAACTGACACCATCTTGTTCTGAACCTCATGAAGATTACTCTGCAGCAGGGAAAATATGCTTTATATAAATGAACACACTAATAAGTACATAATGAGTTGTGATAAGTGCTATGAAGGAAAACAATAGTGTCCTGTGCTATGAAAAAGAAGAAAGGCCTGCCTTAGGCTGGGGTCAAGGAAGATTTTCCTGAGGAACAGTCAAAAAGAAGGAGTAGGAAAAAGCCAGGACAGGACCAATCGGGAGAGGCTGCAGGCAGGGGAGGGCCTCCAGTGGAAAAGAGCTGTGTGAATCTGAGAAACAACAAGTTGGAGGTGTGGATCGGGGAGGCGTGAGGAGGAAGCGGCCACAGGTACAGGGACCAATTCGCACAATAGGAAAAGGTGAGAAATGAAGAGGGCCTTCAGTGGAGATCCACAGCCTCTCTCCAAGTCAACACACTCAGTCAGTCCTGGCAGCTCAGCCCAGAAAACTTTGTCAGCCATGGCTGGGGTAACTGTGTCCAGAGGTGTTTGAACAAGAGCCACTCCATCTTGAATAGGGACTGAGTAAAATAAGGCTGAAACCTACTGGGCTGCCTTCCCAGGTGGTTCAGCATTCTTAGTCACAGGATGAGATAGAAGGTTGGCACAAGGTACAGGTCACAAAGACTTTGCTGATGAAACAGGACTCAGTAAAGAAGCCAGCCAAGACCCACCAAAATCAAGATGGTCATGAAAGTGACCTCTGGTCGTCCTCATTACTCATTAAATGCTAATTTTAATGCATTAGCCTGATAAAAGACCCTCCCACCAGGGCCATGACAGTTTACAAGTGCCATGGCAACGTCAGAAAGTTACCCTATATGGTCTAAAAAGTGAAGGAACCCTCAGTTCCGGGAATTGCCCACCCTTTTCCTGGAAAATTCATGAATAATCCACCCCTTGTTTAGCATAGAATCAAGAAATAACTACCAGTATAATTAGCTAAGCAGCCCACACAGCTGCTCTGCCAGTGGAGTAGCCATTCTTTTTTGTTGTTGTTCTTCTTGTTTTTTGTTTTTTTTTTGTTTTTTTTTTTTTTGAGACAGAGTCTGGCTCTGTCGCCCAAGCTGGAGTGCAGTGGCGCAATCTCGGCTCACTGCAACCTCTGCCTCCGGAGTTCAAGCGATTCTCCTGCCTCAGCCTCCCGAGTAGCTGGGATTACAGGCATAGAGCACCATGCCTGGCTAACTTTTCGTATTTTTAGTAGAGAGAGTGTTTCACCATGTTGGCCAGGCTGGTCTGAACTCCTGAGCTCAAGTGATCTGCCTGCCTTTGCCTCCCAAAGTGTTGGGATTATGGGCGTGAGCCACCGCACCCGGCCTGTTTTCTATACTTCCTTAATAAACTTGCTCTCACTCTACGGACTCACCCCGAATTCTTTCTTGCGAGAAGTCCAAGAACCCTCGCTTGGGGTCTGGATCGGGACCCCTCTCCGGTAACAAGTGATATCGGTATTAAAGGTACCCCCACATGTCAAAGGCTTCCCTCCACAAGTCAGAGTTGGGGAGGGACAGGAGGCAGCAGGGGACCGACAAAGAGCAATGGAAAGAGAAGGCCTGGGAGCCAAGCAGGCCTGGGGTTGACTCCAGGCTCCCTTAGTGGCCTGCACAACTCAGATGACCCGTCTGTGAAGTGCAGGTCACAGTGGGCACCACACACGGCTGCAGAAAGGAGTGCAAAGGTGATGCCCACGCCTGGCCTAGGGCGGGGGCGCAATACATGGCTGTTGCGGCTGTGATTGCTGGAGGAAGGGAGTCATTTGGAAGGCACAAAGGAACTAGAACCTACTCGGTGTCGGGACAAGCCTCAAGGATGGGGCAGGGGTTCCGGCAAGAGCTGGGTTCCAGCCTGGGTTGCCACCAACAGCGAAAGTGACTGCCAGGTGGCAGTAGGGTGACTTCACCAGCTTAAGTGCTTAGCGGGCAGGCGAGGGGGCGGAGCAAGAGAAGAAAACACAAAGGGCCGGAAGGAAGCCGGGGAGACAGGTGGGGTACTCGGGAAGCTGGAGCGGGCCGGCGGTGCAGTCACGGGGGAGCGAGGCCTGCTGGGCTTGGCAACGAGGGACTCGGCCTCGGAGGCGACCCAGACCACACAGGTGAGCCCCCGCCCCGGGGAGTGTTGACGGCGGGAGGGGGTGGCCTCGGGGGAACGCGGCGCCGCAGGGCAGTCCTTCGAAGGCCGCGCGGTGCAGCGGTGGCCGCCCCCCACTCTCCCCTAACTCGGACCCCGGCGGCCCCGGCACGGGCGAGGGGCTGGGGAGCTTGGGGTGGCGCTGGCTGCTTCTGGCCAGGGATGGCAGCGGACTCCAGTAGGCTGACTCCCGGCTTCCCCGACCGCATCAGAAAGTGCAGTGTCCCCCGTCCGCCGTCCAGCCCTGCAGGCGCCCCCCTCCAAGCCATCCTAAGAAGCACCCCCGCCCCCCATGCTGGGGCGCGCCCTCCTCCGCACATTCGTCGGTCAGCACCCACGAACCCACGGGTCCCTTCCCCACCACTGAGGAAACAGAGGGTCCCCGGACCACCCCAGCGTGGGGGGTGGGAGCTACACCTGCAAGGCAAGACCCTCGGAAGGCTTGCTTTTAGGTGCAGACTGAGGACTAAGTGGGTGCCAGGGGACCTGGCCACCGAAGCTGAGAGGTATATTTGCCTCCCAATATAGGGCAGCGGCCTAATGGCTAAGCAAAGATAATCTAATTTGGCGTGGTCAGCAAAGACTTCCTGGGAGTGCTCAGGAAATGGAAGGTGTGCAGGGGCTTTATGGACGTATCCCTCATCCTCATCCTCATCCTAGTCTTCATTCCTGCAAGAGCCCCTCACCATTGTTGTGTCCATTATGCCCAATTAACAGTGGAGAAAGCTGAGGCAGAGACGGATTAAGTCATTTGCACCAAAGGGATCGCAGGGGTAAAGAGTCACGATTTGAACTCTGGTCTCTCTGACCCCAGTACTTTCCCGTGCAGGGCACCGTGCTGCCCCTGTAATCACATTAGACACCTGTGATGAAACTTGGTGCGAGTACGGGTCCCCTTGGCTCAAATGCCTCAAAGTTTAGTAACTGATGTAGGAAACAGAATTGTATATAAGAGGTTCATTTTGCAGAAGAAAAGCAGAGGTAGAGGTAGAGTTCAGGGCTGCAGAATGCAGTGGCCACTGGGGGCAGGAGGAGGCTCAAAGTCCACCTGGATTATGTCCATCATTGCCAAATCCAGGGTCCACTTTTCTAAGCCATGTGATGGTGTTGATGATTCACTCCCTCCTTCAGAAATTCCCTCCCCTCTGTATCAGCTATTCCTTCTCAGTCATTTCCTTGGCCTGCTTTTTTTTTTTTAATCTTTCTTCTCTTTTCGATATTCCCTTGGGCTCAGTGTTCATATTCTCCAGTACTGTTTTTAGACACATTTATTAAAGTTCCCTGCTTTAACTCTCATCTCTATGATGGCAGCTCCCAACTTCATCTCTCTAGCCTACCCCTGTTCTGGAACTCTAGACCCAAATCGTCAAATATTAACAGTGGCTAATTCCACTGTTTGCCCCCACAGGCACCCAAATCCAACATTTCCAAACCCAAATTTAGCATCTCTATCAAAGATGCTAAATTCCCACCAGGGTCTTTGTTCACGTCCCTGTAACTCCTTGTCTGGACTAGTGTACCACCTTCCAACCTGGTCCTCCTGCCCCAGAGTCCATCTACCCTCCACAGATCCTCCTGAAAGCTTAGGAGTCCTAGTTCCTTTGTGACATGACTAGATGGAATGGACCCTGCTTTCTTTTCTTCCTTAGCATCCCATGCATACTTTTCATGTTGTGTAACTGTTGACTTGTCTATCTCCCCTTTTGGACTGTGAATTCCTTCACAGCGGTGATCTTGTCTTATCCTTCTTCATATCCCCTGGCCTGGCACATAATCGACACTCAGTGCACAGTGTGGTATTTCCACTCTATTCTAAATCTGATCTGTCCCCATTAGTGAGTGCATGTATGTGTGCTGGTGGAAGAGGAGCACTGGAAGTTGAGTTTGCAGATGGACTAATGACAAAAGGAAAAACACATTTTCCAAATAACTCCAGTGGATCCTCAGGATGCTTTTAAGCTTGATGCAAACATTTAGTCATGGCATAGTGATTCTCTTCTACCTTCCTTAGACACTGGGTCAAGGAGTAAGCAGAGGATAAACAACTGGAAGGAGAGCAAGCACAAAGTCATCATGGCTTCAGCGTCTGCTCGTGGAAACCAAGATAAAGATGCCCATTTTCCACCACCAAGCAAGCAGGTATACTTTTATATTTATTGATCGATTCATTGATTGAGACACGATCTCACACTGTCACCCAGACTGGAGTGCAGTGGTGCAGTCATGGCTCACTGCAGTCTCGAACTGCTGGATTAAGTGATCCTCCTACTTGAGCTTCTCACTTAACTGGGATGACAGGTGCAGGCCCACATGCCTGGCTAATTTTTTTTGTGGTTAGACATGAGGTCTCACTATATTGCCCAAGCTGGTCTCAAACACCTGGCCTCAATTAATCCTCCTATCTAGGCCTGCCAAAGTGCTGGGATTACAGGCGTGAGCCACCATGCCTGGTCAGGTATACTTTTAATTGCAGGACCTGCCATCTGAAAAAATATATATCATAGGATTTTTATTAAATTTCAACTTTAACCAGTCATCTTATTTTTTTCAGTCTGGCACTTTGTTGGATGGGCTTAGGGAAAATAGGATGGGGAAGGAAAGTGTGTTTTCAGCTGCTTTGAAAAGAAGCTGAAATTTAAAATTTAAAATTTAAAATTTTATTTACAAAACTCTTTCTTGGCTGGGCGCGGTGGCTCACGCCTGTAATCCCAGCACTTTGGGAGGCCGAGGCGGGTGGATCACGAGGTCAAGAGATCGAGACCATCCTGGCCAACATAGTGAAATCCCATCTCTACTAAAAATACAAAAAAATAGCCGGGCATGGTGGCTGGTGCCTGTAGTCCCAGCTACTCAGGAGGCTGAGGCAGGAGAATGGCATGAACCCAGGAGGCGGAGCTTGCAGTGAGCCGAGATCAGGCCGCTGCACTCCAGCCTGGCAACAGAGCGAGACTCTGTCTCAAAAAAAAGAAAAAAAAAAAAAAAAAAAACCCTTTCTTTACTCTTTCCTGTTTGTAATCCAGCCTTACTAACTCTTAGATGAACTGTCAGTGACTGAAGAGGTTTCTGATAGCAGAGCAAAACTCTTAATAGACTCTAACAGAGTGATACATGTTGCTTATTTATTTTTATTTATCCTTTCATTTATTTTTTAGAGATGGGGGTCTCATTATATTGCCCAGGCTGGTCTCAAACTCCTGAGCTCAAATGATCCTCCCACCTCAGCCTCCCAAAGTGCTGAGATTACAGGCAATATTTTGCTTATTTTTTTACATTTATATTACTGTAAGTAATCACACTAATCCTATGCTGCTGACAGGTGTTCCTGTTCAGGGTGGCAGAGTCCTTTATTACTAATTAGCTAGCAGATTGAGAACCCAAGTGTTAACATGGAAACAATTTTTCAACTTGTTAGGAATGGATATTGTGTATTTCAGGAATACATCAATGAAGAAAAGAGAAAGCATTTGATGGGTCAATGGCGTTCATGTTCAAGCTAAAAATAGTGTAATAGCAGTAATGTTTAAGGAGCAAAGTTTAGGCGAGGCAAACAGACAAATGATAGAAAGTCACAAGGAGAATTATTTGGACACCTGAGTTGCCTCTGTGAAATGGAGAGTCATCAAACATTCATGGCTATACAGAAAATGATAACCAGAGATCCTTTTTTTTTGAGATGGAGTCTCACTCTGTCATCCAGGCTAGAGTGCTATGGAACAATCTTGGCTCACTGCAACCTCCACCTCCTGGGTTCAAGCAATTCTCCTACCTCAGCCTCCCGAGTAGCTGGGATTATAGGCACCTGCCGCCATGCCTGACTAATTGTTGCATTTTTAGTAGAGATGAAGTTTCACCATGTTGGCGAGGCTGGTCTGGAACTCCTGACCTCAAGTGATCTGCCCGCCTCAGCCTCCCAAAGCCTGGGATTACAGGCTGATGGCAGGACTGGAAGCAATTGTGATAGCCAGGGTGTGTGCATTTGTTTATTAAGGGGAGGCAGTCCTTATTTCTGCCCCAGGCACAGCCAAGAGCAAGAGCAAATATTCACCCTGGGCATCTGGAGGCATGCCTGTGCTAAGTAAGGAAGGTAAGTGGAGACTGAGAGCAACTCCTTCTCCTGCTGCTGTGACTCACCCTGGGACTTACTGCATCTTTGCACTGTGCCTTGGGGAGTTGCAGGGAAAGAAGAGGGAGGTTGCCCATTTGGACTGTTTGTAGAGCTCCACAGACACTGGTGCCAGAGGGTTTCTCCACCCCTTTTATTGACATCATGCATGTAAAGTGCTTGGCACAGGACCAGGCCCATACAAAGTGCTCAAGAAATGGTGACCATCTGTACATTGACATCTATTACACAGAAAGAGTCTAAAAAAGACAGTGGCAAGATCAGCACAATCAAACTACACTTCAAGAGTTAAGGAGCTGCACCTCAACCAGAAAAACACTAAAACCTTGGAGATAAATGGCAAATAACACACATAAATAATTCACAAACAAGGAAATATGAGTGTGACTTCTATAGTAAGGAACAAGTTAAATTTAAAAAAAAAACTTAATGGGGCTAGGCATGGTGACTCATACCTGTAACCCCAGCACTTTGGGAAGCCAAAGCGGGACAAACACTTGAGTCCAGGGGTTCAAGACCAGCCTGAGACACATAGTGAGAACGCCCCCCCCACGCCTCCCCCAGCTCTATTAAAAAAATGGTTTTTTCAATTAGCTGGGCATGATGGTGTGCACCTATAGTCCCAGCTACTCAGGAGGCTGAGGTGGGAGGTTAACTTGAGCCCAGGAGTTCGAGGCTGCAGTGAGCTATGATGGCACCACTATACTCCAGCCTGGGTGACAGAGCGAGACCCTGTCTCTAAAAAAAATAAAAATAAAATGGTCAAAATGGCAAATGTTATATGTATTTTTCCACAAAAAAATTAATGAGCCAATATATAACAAAAGATTACAACCCAGATCCAATTACAGGAATTGCCTGACAACTAGAGGAGAAGGGCAGTGTAGCTGAAAAATATGTAGAGATAGTCAAACACATTCGTTATCAAAGAAGTACAAACAGGATAATAAATGTTACTTTATACCTATCAGCTTAGAAAACTGGATAATTCCAAGTGTTAGAAAATTCTTTCTTTAACTTGCTTGGAATCTTCTTTACCCATACCTAGCTCTTACACAGGCTGCGGAGCCATAAGGGAATGTTCAGGCCCTGCGGGTAGGAGTGGAGACTGCAACAATTGAGAGCGGTCTAGCAAGACTCTGTCACAGTGAGAATATGCACACCCTGAGCTTTACTTCTAGTTTCATGTCTGAAAAATGTTCTCTCATGGGTCCATAGGGGAACATGAGGTGGTAGGAACTCAGAGACATTGTGCACAGTTATGCAGCAGTTAGAAGCAGCAGACTAGATGAATACAGCAACATGGGTGGATCTTAAAAGCATAGAGCTGAGTTGAGAATATTTGAAGAATAAAATATATAAAACAGTGCTATTTACATTAAAAAGATACATTCACCCAAAATAATGAACATTTTGCAAGAATGGATAGAAATAAAAGAACCACATTAAACACTCAGAATGGTTGTGATGGGCAGAGGGGAAGGAGTGGAGAATGTGGACAAGAGCGAGTGATTAAAGCATATGTACCTACAAAGCCAAAGGAATGGTAAGAGATGGGAGTTGGTCTAGATGATAGCATATGAACTTGATTAAAAAAACACCGCAAGGCTGGGATCAGTGACTTACGCCTGTAATCCTAGCACTTTGGAAGGCCGATGAGGGCAGATTGCTTGAGCTCAGGAGTTTGAGACCAGCCTGGGCAACATGGCAAAACCCCATTGTCACTATAGTCCTAGCTTCTAGGGGAGCTAAGGTAGGAGGATTGCTTGAACCTGGAAGGTAGAGTCTGCAGTGAGCCAAGATCACGCCCTTGCATTCTAGCCCAGGTGACAAAATGAGACCTTATCAAAAAAAAAAAAAACACTGCAGAACCTACTATGTACCCACAACGATTAAAATTTTTTTAAATTTTTAATAAATAATTCCCAAAAAATACTACAGAACTAATAAAAAGTTATGTCAACCATGTCAATAGTTGCACCAGAAATTATGTGCACACCACTTATAAATGTGTAAAAAAAAAAGCATCCAGATTGAAAGTAAACTAAACTATGTCAAATAATAAAAAGCAGTCCACAGTCTAAAAATGCATACAGAAGTGCATATATACATAGGTTCTCTGAGTGTGATGCTCAATGTCTAAATATTGTGCTATAGGGAAAATCTCTTTCCTCACCCAGGAGACAATGTTCAGCTGGGTGTTAAGGCCAGTCAGGCGAAGGGAGTGAACAGCATTCTAGGTATAGTAAACCACATAGAGGCATGGAGGTAGGGAAGGAAATGTGGCCTCAGCAGGGATTCAGCCTGATCGCAAATCTGCTGCCTGCAAATCTGCTGCCTGCGCCAGTCAGTGAATCACTCCCACTCTCCGACTAGAATTCTTCTGTTGCCTAAGTCCATCAGTGTTCCCAGTGAGAAAGCACTCTTGGAAACTGATAATTGCTTTGGGCTGCCTCTGGTAGAGAACACACACTGTGTAACAAGTGAAGAGACCTCCCTGTTCTCTTCTGTAGAAAACAAAGTGGGTGATTTTTCAATGACCTCAGTTAGCTCACCATATAACTTTCCTTACAGAGCCTGTTGTTTTGTCCAAAATCAAAACTGCACATCCACAGAGCAGAGATCTCAAAGATTATGCGAGAATGTCAGGAAGAAAGTTTCTGGAAGAGAGGTAATTGCACCTAACACTGTATTTGTGGCAGTAAACTGCCTAAATATCATATTAGAATTGTGGTAATGACTTACGTTTGAGCAGAGACTTTGCATAAATATCTGATGAACTCTGATATTCAGGGATGTTTAGAGTTTAAATCCAAGTTCAGACCTTTTTTAGGGCAGAGATAATATCTGATTAAGGAGCACTTTACCTCACTTAGCAAAAAGTGATGCACACTTAACTCTTCCCTTTACCAAGAATATGTGACCAAGAACGTGTACCAAGACAATTATTTAGAATTTGCTGACTCCCAAAGAGTGGACCTTCCTACATTCTACCAGACTCTAAGTTTCATAGGGTTCAGAAATAATGTCAAGTTCATCTGAAACTTCATTCTAGAGCCTAGCACAGTGCCCTGTTCATAGAAAATTCCTAATCGATATTTCTCTAATGAATGAAGAATGGCCGCGTTCCATTAATACTTCGCTTACACTGTCTCTGAAATAACATTTTCAGCTGAGTCACTTCCTCTTTCTGAGCCTGCCTCACATAAGACAAGAGTGTGAGTGAATTCAGGCTGTGTATTAAGGTCCCTTCCAATTAAAAAAATGTGTGATATAGCATTTGAAAATGGCAGAGTAGAACCTGTAGATACAGTCTTGATATTTTGCAACATTGCTGATGTGTGGATAATTTATACTTTGAAATACTCATTTTGATTTCTTAAGTCATTCAAATTTAGTGTCACCTGTTTTAGAAATAACACTTTCTAGAAGTTGATATTCTTTATACATTATGGGATTACTGACTGTGCTTCCAGAAATTCATGTGTTTTCTGACAACTTATGAGTTGTCAGAAAATTTAATTGGGCCCTAGTAGATTAACACTTCACTATGACCAATTTGCCCACTATGGGGTAGCTATGAGTGGAAAAATTGGTTGCTATTTGATTTGTCTTTGTTGAACTAGAAAGAGCTACATGTTTATCACTACTCTCTGCTTTTGAAAGAAGTCATTTGACACATATTGATGGACAGAACTAGAAATTGCCTTTCCCAGACTAAATTTCCTGTTTTAAAATTATAGCTAAACATTACACATGTTTAACGTGAACATAGTCATCTTGTAATCTTTAATTTGGATTTTCAGCAAATCCAAATTGTAAGACAAAATGTCATGAAAAAGAGAAAGAAAGGCAAGGAACTGTCCTAGACTAAAGCACATAGGAGAGTATGTGTAACGTATGACTCCTGAATTTCTGAGTTGGAAAAAACCCACAGCTATTGGGCCAACTGGAGAGATTTGAATAACTATTGTGTATAAGTTAATATAATTTTTCTTGAGTATGAGTGTTCAAGAAATATAAATGTTTTGACCATGCTAATGGTGGTGTAATTGTGTAGGGAAACATTCTTGTTTTTAGAAGACAACTGCTGAAGTATTTAGTGACAAAGAGTCATAATGTTTGCAAATCTCAAATGGCTCAGACAAAAAAGGAAAAATTAGAAAGAGATAAAGCAAATTTGGCAAAATGTTCACAATTAATGAATCTAGATGAAGGGTATGTAGGAGTTTATTGTATTGCTTTTTATCATTTGTGTAGGATTGAAAATTTCAAAATATACACATAGCTAAAGGCAACTCCCAAATTCAACAGGTCAATGTACATATACCCTAAGATGCCTTTATTATATGTAGTGCTTAGAATCTGGTGCATGTTGGCATTCAGTACAAGTGGATGTCAGACATGAAGTAGAATAGGGTTCAAATTAATGCTGTGCCTCAGGGTAAGTGACTGGAGAAGATTCCAAGAAAATTCTCCATGCTGCACTTAATAAATATTTGTTGAATAAGTAAAATAACAAATGAATAAAAATTCACTGCCAAGGAAGGTAAGAGAAAAAGCTCAGAATAATTTTCCCTAACTTCTAGGTGAGGTGCCAATTTTTAAAATACCAATATTGAAGGACATTTTTGCTTTACAGCTCTGCCTTTTTCTCTTGTAAGCATGCTTGTCACCCAGGGACTAGTCTACCAAGGTAAGATTCAATATTTGTTAAATAATCTAATTTCAGAGAGCCCAGTTTACTGTGACCCTCCTGGCAGCTTTTTGGCCCTTGACATTTATTTTTTGGTGAAGGATGTATTTATGCAGACTTCTGCCTATTTTCAGCCTAAGTCCCCATCTCCCCAGAAAGCATCCTAATCCCCAGAATTAGTGAATATATTGGGTTACATGGCAAAAGGAAATTAAAGTTGCAGATGGAATTAAGGTTGTTAATCACCTGACCTTAAAATAGGGAGAGTATCCTGGGTGATCCAGGTGGGCCCAGTGTAATTGAAAGGGTCCTTACAAGTGAAAGGCGGGATCTGAAGATGGAATCAGAGAGGCGGCAATGTGAGGCCTCAGCTCAACATTGTTGGCCTTGAAGATGGAGGAAGGGACCATTAGTGGAGGAATGTGGGCAGCCTCAAGAAGCTAGAAAGGCAAGAAACCCTTGAGCCTCCAGTTAGGAATGCAGCCCATTTAAGGAACACAGTTAAAACCTTGGTTTTCATCCGGTAAGACCCATTTTGACCTCAAGAACTGTAAGATAATAAATTTGCTTTGTTTACAGGAACTACAGAGAAGCAATCCTGTGCCTTTCTCTGTGCCGGAGTCCTGTGTCTCCCAAGGCCTCTGTATATGGTTAGACAGATGGTTCCCTGTACAAATAAGGATGTTGCAGGGAGGAGGTGGGGGGAGCTAAAATCCACCCTAAGCTGTGTCCACCACACCATTTCTTTTGGCAAGAGGCTGCATCTGCCTGAGGAGGGCACCCTGTCTCCTCCATACAAGAGACCGTAAGGACCAGCAGCTGCCTTGCATCTCACCACATAACCTCTCCCTGCCTCTTAGCGTTTTCCTGTTTTCCTCTCTGTTCTTCCTTCTTCATCTCCTCCCTGTCTCCACCTGACCAGAGAACCCAGAGACATTCCTTAGTCCACAGGTGGCAAGAAGGCACCTTATCTTGTTTAAGCCCATTTTATCAAACACTGCTGATTAACAGGATTTTGCTATTTTTTTTTTTAAATGAGACGAGGTCTTGCTATGTTGCCCAAGCTGTCCTCAAACTGTTGGGCTCAAGCAATCCTCGCCACTAGACCTCCTGAGTACCTGGGATTATAGGCACGTGCCACCATGCCTGGCTTCTGATTATCAGGACTTTATGGGGATCTTGGGGTTTTGTTTTGTTGGTTTTTGGTTCGTTTGTTTGTTTTTGAGACAGGGTCTCACCCTCATCCAGTGCAGTGATATAATGGCTCCCTGCAGTCTCAACCTCCTGGGCTCGAGTGACGCTCCCATCTCAGCTTCCCAAGTAGCTGGGTCTATAGACACATGCCACCACACCCAGCTAATTTTTTTTTTAATTTTTGCAGAGACAGTGTCTCACTATATTGCCTAGGCTGGTCTCGAACTCCTGAGCTCTTGTGATCCTCCCACCTCAGCCTCCCAAAGTGCTGGGATTACAGGCATGAGCCATCACACCCAGCCTTGATTACCAGGATCTTAAAAGGAACATTTGTACCAGTAAATATGAGGGAAGAAGTCCTAGTTCTTTTCTGGGTCTCAAAAACCACATGTCACATATCTAGGAGAATCCCACTTTGACCAATATCATTCTTGTCCATAAAGGTCATATATTAAATATGATTTTATTTTTATAATTTGAAGATAGCATTTTTCAGATCATTTTTGACACATAAAAATATTGGGGCTGGGACATCTATGGGGATTATGGGTTTTTTGTTTGTCTATTTGTTTGTTTTTTAGATGGAGTCTCACTCTGTCGCTCCGGCTGGAGTGCAGTGGTGTGATCTCGGCTCACTACAACCTCCACTTGCTGGGTTCAAGCAATTCTCCTGCCTCAGCCTCCCTAGTAGCTGGGATTGCAGGCCTGTGCTACCACATCCAGCAAATTTTTGTATTTTTAGTAGAGACAGGGTTTCACCATGTTGGCCAGGCTGGTCTCAAACTCCTAACCTCAAGTGATCTGCCCACCTCAAGTGATCTGCCCATCTCAGCCTCCCAAAGTGCTGAGATTGCAGGCAAGAGCCACCGCACCCAGCCAGGATTATGTTTTATAAGTATTAAAATACTCCAAATCTACTGCTTGTGGTGTGAATGTCTCCTTCAAAACTCAGGGTGAAATTTAACTGCCATTGTAACAGTATCAAGAGGTGGGGCCTTTAAGAGGTTAAGTTATGAGGGCTCCACCCTCGTGAATTGATTACTACCATTATCATGGGAGTGAGTTCCTTATAAAAAGGATGTGTTCAGCCTCTCCTCTTGCTCTCTGTTTCATGCACTTCCTTGCCATGGGATAACCCTCACTACATGCCAGCTCTGTGCTCTTGGACTTCTCAGCCTCCAGAACTGTGAGCCAAGTGAACTTCTGTTCTTTATAAATTATCCAGCGTATGGTATTCTGTTATAGCAGCAGAAAACAGACTAAGACATCTACCATTTTTTGCATCTATGCTAATACATTTTTTTCAGAGTTTGATATCAGTTTTCTATAACTTCTCTAACAAATTACCACAGAGTGACTTAAAACAACACAAATGTATTATCTTACAGTCCTTGGAAATCAGAATGCTGAAATGGGTCTCACTGGGCTAAAATCAAGGCGTCGCCCCAGCTGTGTTCTTCTGGAGGCTCTTGGGCTTCCTTTTCCTTTCTCGTTTCTAGAACCATGCATATTTCTTAACCGGTGGCCCCTTCCTATGACTGTAAAGTCAGCAACATTGAGCCAAGTTCTTCTGTTGCTGCCATCTCTCTGCCTGTCACCAGTTTCCTCTTCCACACTGAAGGATGACATTGGGTACACCTTGATCATCTCTCTCTTTTAAAGTCATCTGATTAGCAACATTAGTTCCATTTTCTACCTTAATCCCCCTTTTGGGACATAATATATTCACCTTTTCCAGGAATTCGGATGTGGGTATCTCTAAAAGGCCATTATTCTAACTACCATGAGTTGTACTGTTTGCATTGTAAAATAATGATATACACTGTGAATCTCCAAATGGAAACTTTCTATGTTAAGTTACTTAAAAAGAAAAGAGGGTGCACATGTACCCTAGAACTTAAAGTATAATTTTAAAAAAAAGAGGATGATGACTAATCTCTTTGAACACTGTTGTTAGCCCTACCTTTGCTTGATGTCTTTGAATCAGTCTTGAACTGTCTTTTTCATATTATTTTTCTACACATTACAGCTAATATTTGTAATTTGCCTAAAATGACTATCTGGGAGTTCAATTCAACTGAGAATTGAATCATAACTCCTTTAAGATCTTTTTTTTTGAGATGGAGTCTCGCTCTGTCACCCAGGCTGGAGTGCATCGGTGCCATCTCAGCTCACTGCAACCTCCGCCTCCTGGGTTCAAGCGATCCTCCTGCCTCAGCCTCCTGAGTATCTGGGATTACAGGCACCCACCATCATGCCTGGCTAAGTTTTGTATTTTTTTAGTGGAGACGGGGTTTCACCATGTTGGCCAAGCTGGTTTCGAACTCCTGACCTCAGGTGATCTGCCCGCCTCGGCCTCCAAAGTGCTGGATTACAGGCGTAAGTGACTGCGCCCAGCCAAGATCATCTTTTTAAAGTCAGAATATGTATACATTTAAGAAATTTTATGTCTTAAATTTTGGAGGTTTCTTTATACTTTAAGAATAACTTATAATTTATAACTTATAATTTAATTTATGAAATGAAATAATAATGTTTTTCTTTATTACTCCTTAGGTTATTTGGCAGCTAATTCTAGATTTGGATCATTGCCCAAAGTTGCACGTAAGTCATAGAAATAAAAAAGCAAGCCAAGTGTGGTGGCTCACATCTGTAATCCCAGCACTTTGGGAGGCTGAGGTGGGTAGATTGCTTGAGTCCAGGAGTTCGAGACCAGCCTGGGCAGCATGGTGAAACCTTGTATCTATTTTTTTAAAAAGTAATAAATAAATAAAAACTTTGAAAAAAAGACATTACTAGCAACTGGAGATACGAATGTCCAGCCTAACTAAACTGCCTGTATTGACTTTTGGAAAAATCAGCCCCTATTTTCTGCCACTCTGCATTTCTTAGTTCACTCAACACTTTCTGATATACAGCTTAGCAGTTGGGACTTCTTCTTAGACCATCCTTAAAGCATGGACTAAGAGGGACTGGCAGGATATATAATGAGATTATCAATAGCAGAGCCTCTGCATGATAGATCATTTATGGATTTTTATTTTCTTCTTTTGCCCTGGCCAGTCTTTTCAAAATGTTTTCTACGATGGATATAAAAAATGAGTAATTTTTAAGAATCAGGGGATTTCTAATAATAGAGTAACCACAAACTTGGGGTTTCATCTTCCTTCACCTGGTATCAATAGATCTTTTATGTACAAAAAGGACACATTTTAGTTGATAGTCTGAAACCACATTCATTCCTAGCAGGAGGAACAGATTCGAGATCTCTTCCATAGGAGGGTCCCTCTCCTTTGTGACCTCTCTCCTATAGGCAAGATGGACTGAAGCTCTCCACTACTCCAAGGCCATAAGGAAGATTAGGGGCATTTCTACCCAGTGATTTGGAAGCTACCTATAGCCACAACCCAGCCACCTTCCCCTGCCCCCGTGGCCTCAACCGTTTGCTTGACAGGTGGGCCCTCTCTGGCCATCTGTCTCCAGGACAGCACTGTGGCTTGCTCTGTCCTGGCCCTTCCACCACCAGTGCAAAGTTGAGATGGGGAAGTCTCCAGTTCCCAATCCTGTTCTTTTTAAATAGAGACTTCATTCTCAGAGTCTTCATTCATTGATTTAGCGTGGTCCTTTTAATTTTAAAATTACCAGCGTTGATTTTTAAAGCTCTAGAAAATAACTAATGGAGAAGATTCTCAACTAATCTCTCCCAACCTGCTTTTACAGTTGCTGGTCTCTTGGGATTTGGCCTTGGAAAGGTATCATACATAGGAGTATGCCAGAGTAAATTCCATTTTTTTGAAGATCAGCTCCGTGGGGCTGGTTTTGGTCCACAGCATAACAGGTTTGTAATCTGTTTGGTTGAGGGATTGTAATGTAATTATAAGAAATTAAATGAAAGATTACTCACTATTTATAATATTAAACACAATTTTTTAAATTCACATGTAAAAAAAGTTTTAACCCTCAAGTTTAGCGTTGTTGTTACCCAACTTCAATAATAACTTTGTTATTACACTTACTTACCAATTTCATTTGTTTGATAAATATTTAATGGGAATCTACTGTGTTCAAACATTGTGCAAGTTACTAAAGAATTCCTCAATGAGCAGATATGGCTTCCACCATCACAGAGTCACACAAAACTTTAACAGGTTTCTTTACTGCAGGGCTTCTCAGAGCTTTTTCTATGTTAATACTGTATATATCATGATTCTAAATAGGGGAAATAGGCAGTACGACTTTGGAGTTAATGGCATCACCTCTGCTGTTATAGTACTTGGTTTAAAAACCAGTTCTACCACTTACTAAGTTGTGTGACCCTGCAAGTTTCTTAAGCTCTCTGATCTTCAGTTTCCTTATCTGTATAAAATAGTGATCAAGATAGTTTTTATGAGATGTAAAGAATAGAAATGATTATTCATGACACTCAGTAAGTGCTCAGTAAACATTAGCTATTTCTACTATAGAAGTTACAAGACTAGTGTTGGGGACACATTTCTCTAAACACCCCTCACTGGTCACAGTGGGTTCTATCTGAGAAGCAGCACAATATGGTGAAAACAAACTGGACTAGAAGTCAAAACACCCAAGTTCTTTTTCTAACTATGTGACTTTGGAAAGCCACATTCCCTAGTCCTGTAGTGATAGATGGGGCCTTAATACTGTCTCTTTCTGATGAGCTGCATGAGACCCAAAGAGCTGCAGAGACCTTCTGAAGGTGACACCATTAGCAGTGGGTGGAAAATGGTCTGTCACCTCAGATCATCTGTTTTCCAAACCCTTACTCTTCCCATTACAAGAAGCAAGGCCACCAAAGAATCTATAATTCCATATTTACAGACAACACCAACTTCAGTCCATCCTTGCAAAGTTGTGTTTTAGAGTCAGCTTGCTGAGGAGGAATTGACCACATGATTCCGGTCTGTGCAGGAAAAGAAAGAAAAAGTAGCACAAGTAAAGGAAAGGACTGCTTCCTCTTCCTCTTCCTCTTCAATTTCAGGAGTGTCTTTTGCAATTAACCCACTTTGGATTCCAGAATAATTATGAACACAAGACTGAAATCTACATTTTTCAGACAATGTCTGTTATGAAAGGAGGTGACTGAAGTAACTAGTTTCCAGGGCTCCTTTAAGCTCTGTGTTCTGGGGTTTCATTTTGCCTTCCCACTGCCAGCCATGGCAGCCCCACTCTGGGCTTGCATTCATAGCTGATAATGAATTGCTATGCCCTATGTGAAGGGCCATTACCAGCAAATCTGAGAGGCAATAATTCACAAAGCTATTTGATTTTCTAATTAAAGGAAAGTAGAGTGGGGCACTTAACTCAGTTGAGGTGGAGGGGAGGGTTAAGGAATAGGCATTAAGGACTTCTTGGAGCAAGTGATGATGCTTGACTTGAATCTTAATAGATTCAAGTAGTAGGAGCTACAGCAGAAGCTATGACAAGAGGAGATATAGCAGGAGCTATGGCTATAGTAGGAGCTATAGCAGGGTTGAAGAAGGGGATTCTGGGCCAGGAATAGTATGTAGAGAGGGGAAATTTTCATTTTTAAAGGGAACCATAAATACATCCTATGGCTGGAGCATAAAGAGCTATTGGGAAAGGCAGAGAACAAGCTGGAAGTCCAGGCAGGTAGAGGTCAGCTCCTGAAGGAATTTATGCCATGCTAAGGATTTTCACTTTATTCTCAAAGCAATGGGGGGAAATAAGTGAGAGAAAGGGGTTCCTCCTCCATGTCTTCAGGGTTTTACAATAGCAGTTGCTGGCCTTGCTACCTTCGAAGTAATCCTTCCCACCCAAGCCAGATTGAATGAGTTTTCTATCATTCAAAACACATCCTATCACTGTCCTGCATAAACAAAGTTATCCTGTTGCCAACTCCTCATAGCAGTAAATGTTTGTTGAATTTGTAAGATTATAAAACTTTAATGCAAGAAGGGACTCAAGGACATCTATTTCATATTCAAATGCGAATATTATTCTAGAACGAACCTGTGCATTTTCCTTGGTATCCTAAGGAAACTGGGACAAGTTAGGCAAACTATAAGCCAGAAATTCTGGAAGTATCATGATTTTTTAATTTAAAAAATTATGTGTATATATATGTGCACATATGTGTCCAAATCTAACTCCATAGTCATATAGTTTAATCCTGGATCAATGCACTGTGTGTTTATAATTTTTATGCTATTGTTAGAAATTACTTGAATTCAAAAAGAATCAAGATGTTCAAACTCTGCCTGACCCTGACCACAAATACAACCATCTGTTTCAACATAAAGCTCATTATTGGCTCTTTGAGGGGTGAAATTCTGGGGGTCATAAACCAAGCAACAACTCCTATTATTTCTTTTTTTTTTTAACTTTAAGTTCTGGGGTACATGTGCACAACATTGCAGGTTTGTTACATATGTATGCATGTGCCACGTCGGTGTGCTGCACCCATTAACTCATCATTTACATTAGGTATATCTCCTAATGCTATCTCTTCCCCCTCCCCCCACCCCACAACAAGCCCCGGTATGTAATGTTCCCCTTCCTGTGTCCAAGTGTTCTCATTGTTCAGTTCCCACCTATGAGTGAGAACATGCGGTGTTTGGTTTCTTCTCCTTGCAATAGTTTGCTGAGAATGATGGTTTCCAGTTTCATCCGTGTCCCTGCAAAGGACATGAGCTCATCCTTTTTTATGGCTGTATAGTATTCCAAGGTGTATATGTGCCACATTTTCTTAATCCAGTCTATCATTGTTGGACATTTGGGTTGGTTCCAAGTCTTTGCTATTGTGAATAGTGCCACAATAAACATACCTGTGCATGTGTCTTTATAGCAGCAGGCTTTATAATCCTTTGGGTATATACCCAGTAATGGGATGGTTGGGTCAAATGGTATTTCTAGTTCTAGATCCTTGAGGAATTGCCACACTGTCTTCCATAATGGTTGAACTACTTTACAGTCCCACCAACAGTGTAAAAGTGTTCCTATTTCTCCACATCCTCTCCAGCACCTGTTGTTTCCTGATTTTTTAATGATCGCCATTCTAACTGGTGTGAGATGATATCTCATTGTGGTTTTGATTTGCATTTCTCTGATGACCAGTGATGGTGAGCCTTTTTCATGTGTCTGTTGGCTGCATAAATGTCTTCTTTTAAGAAGTGTCTGTTCATAACCTTTGCCCACTTTTTGATGGGGTTGTTTTTTTCTTGTAAATTTGTTTGAGTTCTTTGTAGATTCTGGATATTAGCCCTTTGTCAAATGTGTAGATTGTAAAAATTTTCAGGAGATAGAGACATAAAAAACCCTTCAAAAAATCAATGAATCCAGGAACTGGTTTTTTGAAAACATCAACAAAATTGATTGACTGCTAGCAAGACTAATAAAGAAGAAAAGAGAGAATAATCAAATAGATGCAATAAAAAGTGATAAAGGGGATATCACCACTGATCCCACAGAAATACAAACTACCGTCAGAGAATACTATAAACACCTCTATGCAAATAAACTAGAAAATCTAGAAGAAATGGATAAATTGCTGGACACATACACCCTCCCAAGACTAAACCAGGAAGAAGTTGAATCCCTTCAGTAGACTAATAACAGGCTCTGAAATTGAGGCAATAATTAATAGCTTACCAACCAAAAAAAGTCCAGGACCAGACGGATTCACAGCCAAATTCTACCAGAGGTACAAAGAGGAGCTGGTACCATTCCTTCTGAAACTATTCCAATCAATAGAAAAAGAGGGAATCCTCCCTAACTCATTTTATGAGGCCAACATCATCTTGATACCAAAGCCTGGCACAGACACAACAAAAAAAAGAGAATTTTAGACCAATATCCCTGATGAACATTGATGCAAAAATCCTCAATAGACTACTGGCAAACCAAATACAGCAGCGCATCAAAAAGCTTATCCACCATGATCAAGTGGGCTTCATCCCTGGGATGCAAGACTGGTTGAACATACGCAAATCAATAAACATAATCTACCATATAAACAGAACCAAAGACCAAAACCACATGATTATCTCAATAGATGCAGAAAAGGCCTTTGACAAAATCCAATAGCCCTTCATGCTAAAAACTCTCAATAAATTAGGTATTGATGGGATGTATCTCAAAATAATAAGAGCTATTTATGACAAACCCACAGCCAATATCATACTGAATGGGAAAAAACTGGAAACATCCTTTTGAAAACTGGCACAAGACAGGTATGCCCTCTCTCACCACTCCTATTCAACATAGTGTTGGAAGTTCTGGCCAGAGCAATCAGGCAGGAGAAAGAAATAAAGGGTATTCAATTAGGAAAAGAGGAAGTCAGATCGTTCCTATTTGCAGATGACATGATTGTGTATTTAGAAAACCCCATCATCTCAGCCCAAAATCTCCTTAAGCTGATAAGCAACTTCAGCAAAGTCTCAGAATACAAAATCAATGTGCAAAAATCACAAGCATTCTTATACACCAACAACAAGCAACAGAGAGCCAAATCATGAGTGAACTCCCATCACAATTGCTTCAAAGAAAATAAAATACCTAGGAATCCAACTTACAAGGGATGTGAAGGACCTCTTCAAGGAGAACTACAAACCACTGCTCAATGAAATAAAAGAGGATACAAACAAATGGAAGAACATTCCATGCTCATGGGTAGGAAGAATCAATATCGTGAAAATGGCCATACTGCCCAAGGTAATTCATAGATTCAATGCCATCCCCATCAAGCTACCAATGACTTTCTTCACAGAATTGGAAAAAACTACCTTAAAATTCATATGGAACCAAAAAAGAGCCCGCATTGCCAAGTCAATCCTAAACCAAAAGAACAAAACTGGAGGCATCATGCTACCTGACTTCAAACTATACTACAAGTCTACAGTAACCAAAACAGCATGGTACTGGGTACCAAAACAGAGATATAGACCAATGGAACAGAACAGAGCCCTCAGAAATAATGCCGCATATCTACAACTATCTGATCTTTGACAAACCTGAAAAAACAAGAAATGGGGAAAGGATTCCCTACTTAATAAATGGTGCTGGGAAAACTGGCTAGCCATATGTAGAAAGCTGAAACTGGATCCCTTCCTTATACCTTATACAAAAATTTATTCAAGATGGATTAAAGACTTAAATGTTAGATCTAAAACCATATGAACCCTAGAAGAAAACCTAGGCAATACCATTCAGGACATAGGCATGGGCAAGGACTTCATGTCTAAAACACCAAAAGCAATGGCAACAAAAGCCAAAGTTGATAAATGGGATCTAATTAAACTAAAGAGCTTCTGCACAGCAAAAGAAACTACCATCAGAGTGAACAGGCAGCCTACAGAATGGGAGAAAATTTTTGCAACCTACTCATCTGACAAAGGGCTAATATCCAGAATCTACAAAGAACTCAAACAAATTTACAAGAAAAAAACAACCCCATCAACAAGTGGGCAAAGGATATGAACAGACACTTCTCAAAAGAAGACATTTATGCAGCCAAAAGACACATGAAAAAATGCTCATCATCACTGACCATCAGAGAAATGCAAATCAAAACCACAATGAGATACCATCTCACACCAGTTAGAATGGCTATCATTAAAAAGTCAGGAAACAACAGGGGCTGGAGAGGATGTGGAGAAATAGGAACACTTTTACACTGTTGGTGGGACTGTAAACTAGTTCAACCATTGTGGAAGTCAGTGTGGCGATTCCTCCGGGATCTAGAACTAGAAATACCATTTGACCCAGCCATCCCATTACTGGTTATATACCCAAAGGATTATAAAGCCTGCTGCTATAAAGACACATGCACACGTATGTTTATTGTGGCACTATTCACAATAGCAAAGACTTGGAACCAACCCAATGTCCAACAATGATAGACTGGATTAAGAAAATGTGGCACATATACACCATGGAATACTATGCAGCCATAAAAAAAGGATGAGTTCATGTCCTTTGTAGGGACATGGATGAAACTGGAAACCATCATTCTCAGCAAGCTATTGCAAGGACAAGAAACCAAACACCGCATGTTCTCACTCATAGGTGGGAACTGAACAATGAGAACACTTGAACACAGGAAGGGGAACATCACACACCAGGGCCTGTTGTAGGGTGGGGGGAGGGGGAAGAGATAGCATTAGGAGATATACCTAATGTAAATGATGAGTTAATGGGTGCAGCACACCAACGTGGCACATGTATACATAAGTAACAAACCTGCACGTTGTGCACATGTACCCTAAAACTTAAAGTGTAATAATTTAAAAAACTATACTACAAGGCTACAGTAACCAAAACAGCATGGTACTGGTACCAAAACAGGAGATATAGATCAATGGAACAGAACAGAGCCCTCAGAAATAATACCACACATCTACAACCATCTGATCTTTGACAAACCTGACAAAAACAAGAAATAAGGAAAGGATTCCCTATTTAATAAATGGTGCTGGGAAAACTGGCTAGCCATATGTAGAAAGCTGAAACTGGATCCCTTTCTTACACCTTATACAAAAATTAATTCAAGATGGATTAATGACTTAAATGTTAGACCTAAAACCATAAAAATCCTAGAAGAAAACCTAGGCAATACCATTCAGGACATAGGCATGGGCAAGGACTTCATGTCTAAAACACCAAAAGCGATGGTAACAAAGGCCGAAATTGACAAATGGGATGTTATTAAGCTAAAGAGCTTCTGCACAGCAAAAGAAACTACCTTCAGAGTGAACAGGCAACCTACAGAATGGGAGAATACTCCTATTATTTCTGAAAAAACAAGGCTAGTGAACTTTAGCATAGACTATATTTCTAATATTGTGTTAAAGCCAGGTGCAGTGGTTCATGCCTGTAGTCTCAGCTACTCAAGAGGGTTGGGTGGGAGGATCCCTTGAGCCCTCGAGACCAGCCTGGGCAACATAGATAGACTCCCCCCACATCTCTATTAAAAAGATTATGTTAAAATAATAAGAATAATATGTTATGTAAAGACTAGGGCTTCCAGTGTCAAAGTACAAACCGCTGTCTATTTTTGCTTCTCTTCTAGGCACTGCCTCCTTACCTGTGAGGAATGCAAAATAAAGCATGGATTAAGTGAGAAGGGAGACTCTCAGCCTTCAGCTTCCTAAATTCTGTGTCTGTGACTTTCGAAGTTTTTTAAACCTCTGAATTTGTACACATTTAAAATTTCAAGTGTACTTTAAAATAAAATACTTCTAATGGAACAAAAACATTGTGTCTGTCACTCACTGAAATGTATTCCGTGGAAGGCTTTCAAGTGAACTAAGCGTTACATGTTTTTCTGCTCTTTAAGAACATGTCGGGGCATGGCGCAGTGGCTCATGCCTGTAATCCCAGTACTTTGGGAGGCCGAGGCAGGCAGATCATTTGAGGTCAGGAGTTCATGACCAGCTTGGCCAACATGGTGAAACCCCATCTCTGCTAAAAATATAAAAATTAGCCAGGCGTGGTGGCACATGCCTGTAATCCCAGCTACTGAGAGGGAGGCTGAGGCAGGAGAATCACTTGAACCCAGGAGGCGAAAGTTGCAGCGAGCAGAGATTGTGCCACTGCACTCCAGCCTGGGTGCCAGAGCTAGACTCCATCACACACACACACACACACACACACACACACACACACACACACACACACAACATGTTAGGAATCCTCACACACACACAAATGACATTGCACCCCCACCCCAACTTGCTTACAGCTAAATAAGAGAATTAAGTCTTCTCAGATTAGCCTCTATTCTTTCTTTTACTCTGCTTTTTTTTTCAGTGTTTTAAGTTATCTGATAGAGAATTGGAATTAATGTTGAAGAAGTTAGGAAGTCATGACCCCAAGAAAATTAATGTGTATGGAGATAGAAACAGGACAAGACTGACTTACAGGTATGAGAAGGGCTTCCTAAAATGTAGGGGCAACATTTTTAACTTAGTGAAAAGTGTTTTGTTGGAAAGGGTCAAAATATGAATCAACTATCCTTTCAGTGCTCCAGGTGACCTTATGGTTCAACAGTATGGTTCAACAGTGGAGTTTTGGAAGTGACCATTGTCTTTTTTTGTTTTTGTTTTTGTTTTTGTTTTGGTTTTTGTTTTGGTTTTTGTTTTGGTTTTTGTTTTTGTTTTGAGACAGGGTCTTGCTCTGTCACCCAGACTGGAGTGCAATGGCATGATCATAGCTCACTGCAGCTTCGACCTCCCAGGTTCAAGCCACCCTCCCACCTCACCCTCCCAAGTAGCTGGGATTACAGGTGTGTGCCATCATGCCCACTATTTTTGTAGTTTTTGTAGAGGGGGGGTTTTGCCATGTTTCCCAGACTGGTGTTGAACTCCTGAGCTCAAGCAATCCACCTACCTCTGCCTCCCAAAGTGCTAGAATTATAGGTGTGAGCCACCATGCCTGGCCTCTTTGTCTTTAGGTTATCTGCTTAGCAAATGGGCACATGCTTATGGGCAGCCCTCAAGAATGGGGTTCTTTCATATACTACTAGTGGCCTGAAACAAGAAACACAACTTCCCAAATTGTCTCTCATTTTCCCCAAGGAACAACTTATTTATGGGAGGAATCACTGGAATAATTAATACATGGAATGATAAATTTAGAATTCTAGGGAGTTCAGAGGCAGCCAATGCAACTCCAGGGGTTGGACTCCTATTCTCCTGTCAGATTTGTTGCATGAAAACAACAATAACAAAATCTGGCCAAGTGCAGTGGCTCACACCTGTAATCCTAACACTTTGGGAGGCCAAGGCGGGCAGATCACTGGAGGAGTTTGAGACCAGCCTGGCCAACATGGTAAAATGCTGTCTCTACTAAAAATACAAAAATTAATCGGGCATGGTGGTGCATGCCTGTAATCCCAGCTACTGGGGAGACTGAGGCACGAGAATCTCTTGAATTGGAGAGGTGGAGGTTGCAGTGAGCCAAGATAGTGCCACTGCACTCCACTCTGGGCAACAGAGTGAGACTCTGTCTAAAAAAAAAAAAAAAAATTAAGAAAGAAAGGAAAAAAAAAGAAACCCTTCCATGTGGGAACCTTTTGTTTTATGTATGACAGGTTGTCTGAGCCCTACAGAAAAACTACTCTTGCATCTTTGCAACTTCTCAGAAGAATGCTTTATATATGTATCATCATTTATATCAATATATAGGCAAGGTGCAGTGGCTCACACCTGTAATCCCAGCACTTTGGGAGGCTAAGGTAGGTAGATCACTTGAGGTCAGGAGTTTGAGACCAGCCTGGCCAATATGATGAAACCCCACCTCTACTAAAAATGCAAAAATAGCCCGGTGTGGTGGCACATGCCTGTAGTCGCAGGTACTCAGGAGGCTAAGGCAGGAGAATTGCTTGAACCCGGGAGATGGAAGTTGCAGCGAGCAGAGATTGTGCCACTGCACTCCAGCCTGGGTGACAGAGCGAGACTCTATCTCAAAAAAAAAATATATATATATATAGATAGATAGATAGATGATAGATAGATAGATAGATAGATACATAGATAGATACATAGATAGATAGATATATAAGAGGTTTGTGTATGTACACATTTGGGTTTTACTTAATACATCTTGAACATGTATCATGGAAGTTAAAAGAGAAACTTCATTAAAAGTTAATCGTTTACATGAAATATTTTATTTTAAACATCAAATTATACAGAAGTTTTAATTTTTACATGAACATTAAGAGTAAGCCTCTTTTTATATTACGTATGCTATTTTTTCAGTCCATAAAGTTTTATTTCTGTAAATCAGAATGCAAAGCCAATATCCTATCATCTTAAATGCAAGTTTAACTCTTGTCTCTGATAACTAGCAGTTGGTGACTCTTTGTTATCTCAGCTATTGGCAAAAATTCAGAATTGGGCACATTTATTTCCTACTCCCCAGAAAATGATTTCCTAGGGATCAGAACATTTCACATTGCTTAGCACAGCAAGTCAATGTAAAAAATCTATCCCAAGGTACTGGGGAAAGATACATTTATTTTATTTATTTTTATTTTTATTTTTATTTTTTTTTTATTTTTTTGAGACGGAGTCTTGCTCTGTCACCCAGGCTGGAGTGCAGTGGTGCGATCTCGGCCAACTGCCTCCCGGGTTCATGCCATTCTCCTACCTCAGCCTCTTAAGTAACTGGGACTATAGTCACCCGCCCCCAAGCCTGGCTAAGTTTTTGTATTTTTAGTAGAGATGGGGTTTCACCGTATTAGCCAGGATAGTCTCCATCTCCTGACCTCGTGATCCACCTGCCTCAGCCTCCCAAAGTGCTGGGCCACTGGGGTGAGCCACTGCACCTGGCCAATACATTTATTATTGTTGAAAGGAGCATTGTTTTTACAGATGACATCTTCATAGTTCTTCTCAATCAAATTGGGTTTATTGCTTGGGCTTTCTACATTTCCTACGTAGAGAAGTTATTCATTGAAGCAGTTTATCATGACGATCTATCTTAGAGTGAAAGAAAATCAATAAGGAAAAAACTGGAAGTTCATCCAAGAGGCTTTGATTATTCTGCTGCTATTTTTTTGGGTTTCTTGTTCGTTTGTTTTGTTTTGTTTTGCTTGTCTGTCGCCCAGGTGGACTTCAGTGGCACAATCTTGACTCACTGCAACCTCTGCCTCCCAGGTTCAAGTGATTCTCCTGTCTCAGACTCCTCAGTAGCTGAGATTACAGGCATGCACCACCACGGCTGGCTAAATTTTTGGCATTTTTAGTGGAGACAAGGTTTCACCATGTTGGCCAGGCTGGTCTCAAACTCCTGACCTCAAGGGTTCCACCTGCCTCAGCCTCCCAAAGTGCTAGGATTACAGGCATGAGGCACCGCACCCAGCTGCCTATCTATTGTACATATTAGAAAGCTAGTACCTGGGGGAGAATGTCTGTTTCTTGTGTTAAAGGAACAGCACCTGCCTTTTGACATTTCACCATTACCAACACTCATCACAAAGCTGGTCACAAGCTTATGAAAGCAGTACCTTCATGATAAAAAAAAAAAAAGAAAAAAACTTGGAAAAGAACAGCAAGATAAAATCGTAGATAGACTCACGTGAAAGAAAGAACTGATGAGACTACACGGTAGTAAAAGTTGGATGTCTAACCAATTTTATTGGCAAACTTTCCCTAGGATGATATGGACTGATATTCTACAGTGACGAGAATGCAAACCTTCCCATTATTTTGAATTTGATTAATGGAATTTAAAATGTAACATTAGTTTGTCCACGGATGCACCTGTAAGAAGAGACAAACTTGATATCTGAAATCAGCAAACCTTGTCTAACACATTTGTAGTTCCTCTAGACAACATAATAAAATGTTTTTAACAGCGGGTAATGACACTAATGAAAATAAGGAAGATCCTTACTCGACCAGAAAAGATCAAAATGATTTCCTTAATTCCATGCACCTCCATGGCACTCCAGTGATGCCTAGAAGTGTGTTTCTTTCTTGGCTTACATACAAGTGGATGACTAGAAAGGATGCTTTCAAGATATTTTTAGTTTCAAAGGCATTAACCAAACATTCCACCATTAGCTATGGTGATCATTTGTTCTAAATTTTGCCTCAGTTTGTGTGATCCTGGAGTTCAAAAGTTATTACTATAAACTGTATTCTAATGAAATGTATGTTTTATAATTTAAAAAATAGTGGAATAATCCTTTTGTGTTTGTTTCTCTTATTAAAATAGATCAGTTTCCAGAAAGACTCATATGTTATAGATATTATACTGTATATTATTACATATATAAATATGTAGCATATAATATACTGTATATAATGCTTATTATATATTTTAAAATTCTCATTTAAACAAAGATATTCTCTTCCTTTGCTGTCAGAATGGTTTGTCTAGTTTAACATTATGAAAGTAATAAAAATGTATCTTGCGTGATTTGATTAAGTAATAGCAATAAAAATGTATCTTGAATGATTTGATTAAGTAATGAAATGTAATGCAAATGTTGTGTAGGCAATTTTCTTGATATTCAAACAATGCAAACTGTTAATTGACAGAAAACCTCTCCATTTTGGAACTCTGCTCCCAAATTTCAACTATAAAATTCAGTTTTGTAGACACTTGGAGTTGGCAGAGATTTCAGTGATTAACTCAGAGGCTGCAAAGAACAGGACCAGACGGACAATGTAATTGAGTGAAGCTGAGCTAGTGGCATATTAAACAAAGGTGTATTCTTCACTTCCGTACACAAAAATAGATAAGCCCACTGTTGCCAAATCTTCCACTTGTTCAATATTCAGTGCAAGCAAATGCAGGTTTTTATGTGAAATCTCCCGGTTTTAAAATATTCACATTCTTTCATATATTTAAATATTGAGCACTCATTCTGTACTAGGAACTGTCCTAGGTCCTAGGAATATAGCAGTGAATACAACCAACAAAAATCTCATCCTCCTGGAGCTTATATTCTCATCACCAGTTCTTGGCTTGGGATCCAATCCAACCCCAACCCCGCCCCCCCACAACCGGCAGCACTCACTGTGGAAGTCTCCTCCGTACTGTCCCAGGAGGTGAGATTTCAGGACCCCCCACATACATACTTCCGAGGGAAGGACACCTACTGCTCAACAATGCAGCCCAGTACACTGCCCAGCTGTTAAATTCTTCAGAAAGTCTTATGGGGAGCCCAAGTTTGCTTCCCTCCTGTTCTAAACTGGAAATTCCTCCAAGATAGACAGTGTACTCATTTTTTCTTATCTCTGAATCCTCAAGCAGCATACTTGCAGAGATGGGCATTTCATAAATGCTTTTCAGCTTAAACCTGTAATTTGCCGGTGGCTACAAAATACAATTCTCATTCCTCTTTTACAAAATAGCATTGAAATACTGGAAAGCATGCTTCCTGGAATTTGGCTAAAGGGCCCTAGTTTTATTTACCATTGGAGTGGGTTTCCAACCCTGTCACAACCTGGTCTTGGGATAGCTTTCGGCCTGTGGTGTCCTCATACACAAAAACTCCAAAAATGGATTGACCAGTTCAGAAAAGGGCAGGATTATTATAATTTTTGCTTTAGGGACCGGAACTGTTAGCAAGAGAGGCTCTGCATCAGGCCCTGTGCTTCAAATCCAGGCTTCACCACTTACTATCTACTTGACTTTGGGTTATTATTTATCTGCTCCAGGACTCAGTTTCCTCATCTGTAAAATGGAAATAATATTAGACTTACCTGATAGGTTTCTCAAGAGAATTAAATGGGCTGATACTTACAAATTACTTAGAATAGTGCCTGGCTCAGAGTAACCACTCAATGGATGTTAGTTATTACTACTACTACTATTACTGAAATTTAAGAATACATAATTAGATTGCATAGTAGATTGTTACTGGCCCTAATTATTAATACTTACCTCTCCTATACCCATGCCTTTTGTCATGCAATTTTGCATTACCTTCCTACTGTGAACAGGGGCATATTTACCTATCTTCTTGACCTTCAGCTTGTGGATATGACTTTAGGCAAAATATAAGCCCAAAATGAAGGTGTGCTGAAGTTCCAAATTTAGGCTTAAAGAGGCCTTTTCTGTTTCCATTTCTGTCTCTATCATGGCCATAAGAAAAACATGCCCAATACTAGATACAAAAGCAATAGCCTGAATGCTGATCCATCAGCTGTTGCCTAAGGTCTAATCCCTGTAATAAATCCCTTACTCTATATCATTGATAGCAGTTCTGCTTTTCTATAAAATCTTAATTAAAAAATGTGGTAGGAGGGCAGAGCAAGACGGCGAATAGAAGGCTCCACTGATCATCCTCTCATCACAGGAACACCAAATGTAATAACTATCTACACAAAAAAAGCATCTTCATAAGAACCAAAAATCAGGTGAGCACTCATAATACCTAGTTTTAACTTCATATCGCTGAAAGAGGCACTGAAGAAAGATGAAAGATAGTCTTGAATTGCCATTGCCACCCCTCTCCTATACCCCTGAACCATCTGCATGGCACAGAGAGAAAATCTGTGTGCTTGGGAGAGGGAGAGCACAACTGTGAGACTTTGCATTAAACTCAGAGCTGCTCTGTCACAGCGGGAATTGACTGAACTCAGCTGATGCCTGCCCATGGAGGTAGCACTTAGACCATCCCTAGTCAGAAGGGAATCATCCAAACAAGCAGAGTTCCAGCAAGCCTTCCCACCATGGGCTGAAGTGCTCTGAACCCCTAAGTAAACTTGAAAGACAGGGTAGGCCACAAGGACTGCAACTCCAAGGCAAGTCTTAGTGCTAGGCTGTGTTTGAAGCCAGCAGATGTCAGGGGAGTGCAACTACTGAGATACCAACAGAGCAGCTAAAAGAGTGCTTACACCACCTCTCCCCAACCCCAGGCAGCACAGCTAGTGGCTCCAAAAGAGACACTTTTCTTCTGCTTGAGGAGAGGAGACGGAGGAGTAAAGAGGACTTCTGTCTTGCATCTTGGATACCAGCTCAGCCACAGTAGAATAGGGCACCAGTCAGAGTCAGGAGGCCCCCATTCCAACACCTAACTCCTGGCCTACATTTCTAGACACACCCTGGGACATATGAGATCACACTGCCTTGAAGGGAAGGACTCAGTCCTGGCAGGATCCATCATTTGCTGACTAAAGAGCCCTTGGGCCCTGAATAACCAGCAGTGATACCCAGATAGTACACCATGGGGCTTTGTTGAGATGCTGAGACATGTTGGCTTCAGGTGATACTCAGCATATTCTCAGCCACAGTGGTTACAGTAAGAGACTCCTGCTTGAGGAAAGCAGAAGGAAAAGTAATGGGGACATTGTCTTACATGTTAGGTACTAGCTCAGCCACAGTGGAAAGGAGTACTGAGCAGGCTCTTGGGATCCCCACTTCCAGGACTTGGCTCTTGGACAAAATTTCTGGACCTTCCCTGGGCCATAGGGGAGCCCACTGCCCTGAAGAGAGACTCCCAGGCCTGGCAGCATTCACCACAAGCTGACTGAGAACCATTGATGGTAGTCTGGCAGTATCTCTTGTGTGCCCATGGTGGTGGTGGCCATGAGGTGAGGGTCCTCTCCCTGTGGAAATGGGAGGGAAAAGTGGAAAGGACTGTGTCTCATGGTTTAAGGGCCAGCTCAGCTGCAGTAGAACACAGGTACACTTTTATCATTTTTAACTGCAGTCCCTGGTTCCTGGACAGCATCTCTGGACCTGCCTAGGGCCTCAGGGGACTTGCCACTCTGAAGGGAAGGATACACACCTGGCTAGATTCACCATCTGCTGATTGTAGAGTCCTAATGCCTTGAGCAAACATTAGCAATAGCCAAGTAGTGGCTACAACAAGCCTTGGATGACACCTAGGACTGTGCTGGCTTTAGGTATAACCCACAGACAGTGGTGGTGGCCACAGGGGTGCTTGTATCATCTCATCCCCAGCCCCAGGAGGTTCAGCACACACAGAGAGACTCCATTTGGGAGAAAGTAAGGGAAAAGAACAAGAGTATCTACATGGTAATCCAGGTAATTCTTCAAGATCTTATCCAAGACCACCAAAGCAATACCTTTATGAGTCTGCAAGAACCATAGCATAACTGGGCTTGGGGTGCCCCCTAATGCAGATATGGCTTAGATCACAACACCCGAGTCCTTTTGAATACCTAGAAAGCCTTTCCAAGAAGAACGGGTACAAACAAACCCAGACTGCAAAGACTACAATAAATACATAACTCATCAATACCCAGAGACCAGTGAATATCCACAAGCATCGAAACCATCCAAATGAACTAAATAAGGCACCAAGGACCAATCCTGGAGAAACAGAGATATGTGACCTTTCACAGAGAGAATACGAAATAGCTGATTTGAGGAAACACAATGAAATTCAAGATAACTCAGAGAAGGAATTCAGAATTCTATCAGATAAATTTAACAAAGAGATAAAAATAACTTAAAAGAATCAAGCAGAAATTCTGGAGGTGAAAAATGCAAATTTTGACATACTAAAGAATGCATCAGTCTCTTGATACCAGAAAGAATAAAGCAGAAGAATTAATAAGCATGAAGACAAGTTATTTGAAAACACATAGTGAAAGGAGACAAGAAAAAAGAATAAAAAACAATGAAACATGCCTACAAGATCTAGAAAACAGCCTCAAAAGGGCAAATCTATGAGGTATTGGTCTTAAGGAGGAGGTGGAGAAAAAGATAGAGGTAAAAAGTTTATGTGAAGATGTAATAACAGAATTTCCCAAACCTAAAGAAAGAGATCACAATATCCAAGTACAAGAGGCGATAGAACAATAAGCAGATTTAACCCAAAGAAGACTATCTCAAGGCATTTAATAATCAAACTTTCAAAGGTCAAGAATAAAGAAAGGATCCTAAAAGCAGCAAAAGAAAAGAAACAAACAACATACAATGAAGCTCCAACACCTCTAGAAGCAGACTTTTCAGTGTAAAACATACAGGCCAGGAGACAGTGGCATGACATATTTAAAGTGCTGAAGGAAAAATACTTTAGCCTAGATTAGTATGTCTGGTGAGAATATCCTTCAAACATGAAAAAGAAATAAAGACTTTCCCTGACAAAAAAAAGCTGAGGGATTTCATCAAAACCAGACCTGCCCTATAAGAAATGTTAGAGGGAGTACTTCAATCAGAAAGAAAAGGATGTTAATGAGCAATAAAAAATCATCTGAAGGTACAAAACTCACTGGTAATAGTAAGGACACAGAATTTTATAATACTGTAACTGTGATGTGTAAACTACACTTATGTAGACAGACTAAAAGATGAATCAATCAAAAACAACTTTTCAAGACATAGGCAGCACAATAAAATATAAATAGAAACAACAAAAACTCATAAAATATATTTTCTATATTACATATATATTTTTATATATTATATATTTTTATAATTCATTATATATATTTGAGACAGTCTCACTTTGTTGCCCAGGCTGAAGGGCAGTGGTGTGATCAATGGCTCACTGCAGACTCAACCTCTCAGGCTCAAGCGATCCTCCCACCTCAGTCTCTCAAGTAGCTGGGAGTACAGGTACACACCACTATGCCCAGCTAATATTCTTCTGTTTTTTTGTAGAGCTGGGGTCTCACTATGTTGCTCTGGCTGGCCTCAAACTCCTGGGCTCAAGCAGTCCTTCCACTTCTGTCTCCCAAACTGGTGGGATTACAAGCCTAAGCCACTGCACTGGGCAAAACAATAAAAATTTAAAAAGCAGGGGGATGAAGTTAAAGTGTAGAGTTTTTATTAGTTTTATTTTTAATTTTTAGTTTGTTTATGCAATAAGTGTTGTTATTCACTGGAAAGAATGGGTTATAAGATAGTGTTTGCAAGCTTCATGGTAACTGCAAATCAAAAAACATATGTTAAGCTCCTAAGATCTGGGTTAATTTAAAAAATACAATGAATACACATACAAAAAAAGCAAGAAATTAAATCATGTCACCAGAGAAAATCACCTTCACTAAAAGGAAGACAGAAAGGAAGGAAAGAAGGAAGAGAAGACCACAAACAACCAGAAAACAAATTACAAAATGGCAGAAGTCTTTACTTACCATAATAATATTGAATATAAATGGAATAAACACTGCAGCCAAAAGACACAGAGTGGCTAAATGGATTTTTAAAAAGACCCAATGATCTGTTCCCTACAAGAAACTCACTTCATATAAAGACCCATGTAGACTGAAAATAAAGGGATGGAAAAAGATATTCCATGTCAATGGAGACCAAAAAAAGCAGGAGTAGCTATACTTATATCAGACAAAATAGATTTCAAGACAAAAACTATAAAAGAGACAGAGAAGATCATTATATAATGATAACGAGGTCAATTCAGCAAGAGGATGTAATCATTGTAAATATATATGCAACCAATGCTGGAGCACCCAGATATATAAAGCATATATTATTAAAATTAAAGAGATAGACTATAATATCATAATAGCTGGAGACTTCAATACCCTACCTTCAGCATTAGAGAGATGTTTCCAGACAGAAAATCAACAAAGAAACATCAGACTTAACCTGCACTATGGAACAAATGGACCAAATAGATATTTACAGGCTGTTTCATCCAACAGCTGAAAAATATACATTCTTTTTCTCAGCACATGGATCATTCTCAAGCATAGACCATATGTTAGGTCACAAAATAAGTCATAAAACATTTTTTAAAAATTGAAATAATATCAAGCATCTTCTCTGACCACAATGGAATAAAACTAGAAATCAATAATGAGGAATTTTGCAAACTATATAAACACATAAAAATTAAACAATATGCTCCTGAATCAGTGGATCAATTAAGGAATCAAGAAGGAAATTGAAAAATTTCCAGAAACGAATGATAATGGAAAAACAACACACCAAAACTATGAAATACAGCAAAAGCAGCACTAAGAGGGAAGTTTATAGCTATAAGTGGCTAAAACACACACACACACACACACACACACACACACACACACACACATATATAATGCACCCAATACTGGAGCTGTGATATGTAAACTACAATTATATATATAATAATAACCTAATGATTCATCTTAAAGAACTAGAAAAGCAAGAGAAAACCAAACCCAAAATTAGTAGAAAAAATAATAAGGATCACAGCAGAAACAGAGATAAATGAAATTGAAACAAAGAAAACAATACAAAAGATCAATGAAACAAAAAGATTTTGTTGAAAAGATATAATTGACACACCTTTAGGCAGACTAAGAAAAAAAGAGAGAAGACTCAAATAAAATTAGAGATGAAAAAGGAGACATTACGACTAATACTGCAGAAATTCAAATGATAATTAGTGGCTACTATGAGCAACTATATGCCAATAAATTGGAAAATCTGAAGGAAATGGATAAATTCCTGGACACATACACAACTACCAAGATTGAACCATGAAGAAATCCAAGACCTGAACAGAGTGATAACAAGCAATGAGACTGAAGCTGTAATAAAAACTTCCCAGCAAAGAAAAGCCCGAGACCCAGTGGCTTCACTGATGAATTCTGACAAACTTTTTTTTTTCAGATAGAAATACATTTATTCCACTGGCTTCCCGCCTCAATCCCAAACAGCAGGTCATGTGGAACAGGAAAACATCTGAGGGATTCTGCCAAACATTTAAAGAAGAACTAATACCCATCCTACTCAAAATATTCCAAAAAATAGAGAAGGAGGAAATACTTCCAAACTCATTCTATGAGGCCAATATTGCCATGATACCAAAAGCAGACAAAGACACATCAAAAGAACTACATGCAAATATTGCTGATAAATACTGATGAAAAAATCCTCAACAAAATACTAGCAAACCAAATTCAACAACACATTAAAAAGATCATTATGACCAAATGGGATTTATCTCAGGGATGCAAGGATAGTTCAACATATGCAAATCAATCAATGTGATACATCATATCAACAGAATGAAGGACAAAAACCATATGATCATTTCAACTGATGCTGGAAAAGCATTTGTCAAAATTCAACATCCCCTTCATGACAAAAATCCTCAAAAAACTGGGTATAGAAGGAACGTACCTCCACATAATAAAAGCCATATAATATAGAACAAACACATAGTATCATACAGAAAGGAAAAAGCTGAAAGCCTTTCCTGTAAGATCTGGAACATGACAAGGATGTCCACTTTTATCACTGTTACTCATTGTTATACTGGAAGTCCTTACTAGAGCAACTGGAAAAGAGAAAGAAATAAAGAGCATACAAATTGGAAAAGAAGGAGTCAAATTGTCCTTGTTTGCAGATGACATGATCTTATATTTGGAAAAATTGAGAGACTCAACCAAAAAACTATTAGAGCTGATAAACGAATTCAGTAAAGTTGTAGGATATGAAATCAACATACAAAAATCAGTATCATTTCTATGTCCTGACAGAAAACAATCTGAAAAAGAAATCAAGAAAGTAATCCCACTTACAATAGCTACAAAGAAAACAAAATACCTAAGAATTAACCAAAGATGTGAAAGATGGTCAGGCTTGGTGGCTCACATCTGTAATCCCAGCATTTTGGGAGATGGAAGCAGGAGGATTGCTTGAGGCCAGGAGTTTGAGACCAGCCTGGACAACATGGTGAGAACCTGTCCCTGCAAAAAATGTAAAACTTACCTGGGCGGCCAGGCATGGTGGCTCACGCCTGTAATCCCAACACTTTGGGAGGCCGACTGAGGCAGGCAAATCACAAAATCAGGAGATTGAGACCATCCTGGCCAACATGGTGAAACCCTTTCTCTACTAAAATACAAAAAAAATTAGCCAGGCTTGGTGGCACGCAACTGTAGTGCCAGCTACTCAGGAGGCTGAAGCAGGGGAATCACTTGAACTCGGGAGTCAGAGGTTGCAGTGAGCCTAGATTACACCACTGCTCTCCACCCTGGCAACAGAGCAAGACTCCATCTATGAATAAATAAATAAATAAATAAATAAATAAATAAATAAAAATTAGCTGGGCATGGTTGTGTGCACCTGTAGTTCTAGCTACTCGGGAAGCTTAGGTGAGAGGATCACTTCAGCCTTGGAGTTCAAGGCTGCAGGGCACAATGATTGTGCCACTGCACTCCAGCCAGGATGACAGAGTGAGATGCTGTCGCAAAAGAAAAAAAAAAAGTAACAGATCTCTACAATGAAAGCATTAACACAAGAAACTGAAGAGGGCTTGGTGTGGTGGTTCATGCATGTAATCCCAGCACTTTGGGAGGCCGAGTTGGGCAGATAACTTAAGCAGGACTTCAAGACGAGCCTGGCCAATGTGGTGAAACCCTGTCTCTACTAAAAATACAAAAATTAGCCTGGCTTGGTGACACACACCTGTAATCCCAGCTACTCAAGTGGCTGAGGCATGAGAATCACATGAACCTGGGAGGTGGAGGTTGCAATGGGCCAAGACCATGCCACTGCACTCCAGCCTCAGAGAGAGAGCAAGACTCTGTCTCAAAAAAAAAAAAAAAAAAGGAAAAAAAGTAAGGTAAAGAGGACAACACAAAAATATAGATAAATATTCCATGTTCATGGATTAGACAAATCAACATTGTTGAAATGTCCATACTCTCCAAAGCAATCTACAGATTCAATGCAATCTCTGTCAAAATACCAGTGACATTCTTCACAGAAATAGAAAAAAACAACCCTAAAGCTTATATAGAACCACAAAAGACCCAGAATAGCCAAAGCTATCCTAAGGAAAAAAAAAAAAAATACTGGAGGAATCACATTGGCTGACTTCAAGGTATACTACAGAGCTATAGTAACCAAAACAGCATAGTACTGGCATAAACACAGACACATACACCAGTGGAACATAACAGATAACCCCAAAACAAATGCATACATCTACAGTGCACTCAATTTTCAACAAAGTTGCCAAGAATATAATGGGGAAAGGACAGTCTCTTCAACAAATGGTGCTGGGAAAACTGGATATCCACATGCAGAAGAATGACACTAGACCCATCTCTTACCATATACAGAAATCAAATCAATATGAATTAAAGAGTAAATCTAAGACCTCAGACTATGAAACTACTAAAACATTGAAGAAACACTCTAGGACATGGGACTGGGTAAAGATTTCTTGAGTAATATCCCATAGGCACAGGCAACCAACAGAAAAATGGGCAAATGGTATTACATCAGGTTAAAACCTTCTCCATAGCAAAGAAAATAATCCACAAAGTGAAAAGACAACCCATGTGATGGGAGATAATATTCGCAAACTATCCATCTGACAAGGGATTAGTAACCAGAACATAAGAGGAACTCAAACAACTCAATAGGAAAAAATCTAATAATCCAATTAAAAAAATGGGCATCCTCTGGTGGATGCTGAGATTTAAAATACTAATAATAGGCCAGGTGGGAGGAGCCAAGATGGCCGAATAGGAACAGCTCCGGTCTACAGCTCCCAGCATGAGCCACGCAGAAGACTGGTGATTTCTGCATTTCCAACTGAGGTACCAAGTTCATCTTACTGGGGAGTGCCAGAGAGGAGGTGCAGGACAGTGGGTGCAGCGCACCATGTGTGAGCCGAAGCAGGGCGAGGTATCACCTCACCTGGGAAGTGCAAGGGGTCAGGGAATTCCCTTTCCTAGTCAAAGAAAGGGGTGACAGACGGCACCTGGAAAATAGGGTCACTCCCACCCTAATACTGAGCTTTTCCAACGGGCTTAAAAAACGGCACACCAGGAGATTATATCCCGCACATAGCTCAGAGGGTCCTACGCCCATGGAGTCTCACTCATTGCTAGCACAGCAGTCTGAGATCAAACTGGAAGGCAGCAGTGAGGCTGGGGGAGGGGTGCCCATCATTGCCGAGTTAGTTGTTTGATTAGGTAAACAAAGCGGCCGGGAAGCTCGAACTGGGTGGAACCCACCACAGCTCAAGGGGGCCTGCCTGCCTCTGTAGGCTCCACTTCTGGGGGCAGGGCACAGACAAACAAAAAGACAGCAGTAACCTCTGCAGACTTAAACGTCCCTCTCTGACAGCTTTGAAGAGAGTAGTGGTTCTCCCAGCATGCAGCTTGAGATCTGAAAACGGGCGGACTGCCTCCTCAAGTGGGTCCCTGACCCCTGAGTAGACTAACTGGGAGGCAACCCCAAGTAGGGGCAGACTGACACCTCATAGAGCCGGGTACTCCTCTGAGACAAAACTTCCAGCGGAATGATCAGGCAGCAGCATTTGCAGTTCACCAATATCCGCTGTTCTGCAGACACCGCTGCTGATACCCAGGCAAACAGGGTCTGGAGTGGACTTCTAGCAAACTCCAACAGACCTGCAGCTGAGGGTCCTGTCTGTTAGAAGGAAAACTAACAAACAGAAAGGACATCCACACCAAATACCCACCTGTGTGTCACCATCATCAAAGACCAAAGGTAGATAAAGCCACAAAGATGGGAAAAAAACGGAGCAGAAAAACTGGAAACTCTAAAAATCAGAGCATCTCTCCTCCTCCAAAGGAACACAGCTCCTCACCAGCAATGGAACAAAGCTGGACGGAGAATGACTTTGACGAGTTGAGAGAAGAAGGCTTCAGACAATCAAACTACTCCAAGCTACAGGAGCAAACTCGAACCAATGGCAAAGAAGTTAAAAGCTTTGAAAAAAAATTAGATGAATGGATAACTAGAATAACCAATGCAGAGAAGTCCTTAAAGGACCTGACAGAGCTGAAAACCAAGGCACGAGAGCTACGTGATGAATGCAGAAGCCTCAGTAGCCGACGCGATCAACTGCAAGAAAGGGTATCAGTGATGGAAGATCAAATGAATGAAATGAAGCAAGAAGAGAAGTTTAGAGAAAAAAGAATAAAAAGAAATGAACAAAGCCTCCAAGAAATATGGGACTATGTGAAAAGACCAAATCTATGTCTGATTGGTGTACCTGAAAGTGACGGAGAGAATGGAACTAAGTTGGAAAACACTCTGCAGGATATTATCCAGGAGAACTTCCCCAATCTACCAAGGCAGGCCAACATTCAAATTCAGGAAATACAGAGAACGCCACAAAGATACTCCTTGAGAAGAGCAACTCCAAGACACATAATTGTCAGATTCACCAAAGTGGAAATGAAGGAAAAAATGTTAAGGGCAGCCAGAGAGAAAGGTCGGGTTACCCACAAAAGGAAGCCCATTAGACTAACAGCGGATCTCTTGGCAGAAGCTCTACAAGCCAGAAGAGAGTGGGGGCCAATATTCAACATTCTTAAAGACAAGAATTTTCAACCCAGAATTTCATATCCAGCCAAACTAAGCTTCATAAGTGAAGGAGAAATAAAATACTTTACAGACAAGCAAATGCTGAGATTTCGTCACCACCAGGCCTACCCTAAAAGAGCTCCTGAAGGACGCACTAAACATGGAAAGGAACAACCGGTACCAGCCTCTGCAAAAACATGCCAAATTGTAAAGACCATCCAGGCTAGGAAGAAACTGCATCAACTAATGAGCAAAATAACCAGCTAACATCATAATAACAGGATCAAATTCACACATAACAATATTAACCTTAAATGTAAATGGGCTAAATGCTCCAATTAAAAGACACAGACTGGCAAATTGGATAAAGAGTCAAGACCCATCAGTGTGCTGTATTCAGGAAACCCATCTCACGTGCAGAGACACACATAGGCTAAAAATAAAGGGATGGAGGAAGACCTACCAAGCAAATGGAAAACAAAAAAGCAGGGGTTGCAATCCTAGTCTCTGATAAAACAGACTTTAAACCAACAAAGATCAAAAGAGACAAAGAAGGCCATTACATAATGGTAAAGGGATCAATTCAACAAGAAGAGCTAACTATCCTAAATAGATATGCACCCAATACAGGAGCACCCAGATTCATAAAGCAAGTCCTGAGTGACCTACAAAGAGACTTAGACTCCCACACAATAATAATGGGAGACTTTAACACCCCACTGTCAACATTAGACAGATCAATGAGACAGAAAGTTAACAAGGATACCCAGGAATTGAACTCAGCTCTGCACCAAGCAGACCTAATAGACATCTACAGAACTCTCCACCCCAAATCAACAGAATATACATTCTTTTCAGCAACACAACACACCTACTCCAAAATCGACCACATACTTGGAAGTAAAGCTCTCCTCAGCAAATGTAAAAGAACCGAAATTATAACAAACTATCTCTCAGAACACAGTGCCATCAAACTAGAACTCAGGATTAAGAAACTCACTCAAAACCGCTCAACTACATGGAAACTGAACAACCTGCTCCTGAATGACTACTGGGTAAATAATGAAATGAAGGCAAAAATAAAGATGTTCTTTGAAATCAACGAGAATAAAGACACAACATACCAGAATCTCTGGGACACATTTAAAGCAGTGTGTAGAGGGAAATTTATAGCACTAAATGCCCACAAGAGAAAGCAGGAAAGATCTAAAATTGACACCCTAACATCACAATTAAAAGAACTAGAAAAGCGAGAGCAAACACATTCAAAAGCTAGCAGAAGGCAAGAAATAACTAAAATCAGAGCAGAACTGAAGGAAATGGAGACACAAAAAACCCTTCAAAAAATTAATGAATCCAGGAGCTGGTTTTTTGAAAAGATCAACAAAATTGATAGACTGCTAGCAAGACTAATAAAGAAGAAAAGAGGGAAGAACCAAATAGACGCAATAAGAAATGATAAAGCGGATATCACCACTGTTCCCACAGAAATACAAACTACCATCAGAGGATACTATAAACACCTCTATGCAAATAAACTAGAAAATCTAGAAGAAATGAATAAATTCCTCAACACATACATCCTCCCAAGAGTATACCAGGAAGAAGTTGAATCTCTGAATAGACCAATAACAGGCTCTGAAATTGAGGCAATAATCAATAGCTTACCAACCAAAAAAAGTCCAGGACCAGATGGATTCACAGCCGAATTCTACCAGAGGTACAAAGAGGAGCTGGTACCATTCCTTCTGAAACTATTCCAATCAATAGAAAAAGAGGGAATCCTCCCTTACTCATTTTATGAGGCCAGCATCATCCTGATTCCAAAGCCTGGCAGAGACACAACCAAAAAAGAGAATTTTAGACCAGTATCCTTGATGAACATTGATGCAAAAATCCTCAATAAAATACTGGCAAACCAAATCCAGCAGCACATCAAAAAGCTTATCCACCATGATCAAGTGGGCTTCATCCCTGGGATGCAAGGCTGGTTCAACATACTCAAATCAATAAATGTAATCCAGCGTATAAACAGAACCAAAGACAAAAACCACATGATTATCTCAATAGATGCAGAAAAGGCCTTTAACAAAATTCAACAACCCTTCATGCTAAAAACTCTCAATAAATTAGGTATTGATGGGATGTATCTCAAAATAATAAGAGCTGTCTATGACAAACCCACAGCCAATATCATACTGAATGGGCTAAAGCTGGAAGCATTCCCTTTGAAAACGGGCACAAGACAGGGATGCCCTCCCTCTCTCACCACTCCTATTCAACATAGTGTTGGAAGTTCTGGCCAGGGCAATCAGGCAGGAGAAGGAAATAAAGGGTATTCAATTAGGAAAAGAGGGAGTCAAATTGTCCCTGTTTGCAGATGACACGATTGTATATCTAGAAAACCCCATAGTCTCAGCCCAAAATCTCCTCAAGGTGACAAGCAAATTCAGCAAAGTCTCAGGATACAAAATCAATGTACAAAAATCACAAGCATTCTTATACACCAATAACAGACAAACAGAGAGCCAAATCATGAGTGAACTCCCATTCACAATTGCTTCAAAGAGAATAATATACCTAGGAATCCAACTTACAAGGGATGTGAAGGACCTCTTCAAGGAGAACTACAAACCACTGCTCAATGAAATAAAAGAGGATACAAACAAATGGAAGAACATTCCATGCTCATGGGTAGGAAGAATCAATATCGTGAAAATGGCCATACTGCCCAAGGTAATTTATACATTCAATGCCAACCTCATCAAGTTACCAATGACTTTCTTCACAGAATTGGAAAAAACTACTTTAAAGTTCATATGGAACCAAAAAAGAGCCCACATCACCAAGTCAATCTAAGCCAAAAGAACAAAGCTGGAGGCATCATGCTACCTGACTTCAAACTATACTACAAGGCTACAGTAACCAAAATAGCATGGTACCGGTACCAAAACAGAGATATAGACCAACGGAACAGAACAGAGCCCTCAGAAATAATGCCACATATCTACAACCATCTGATCTTTGACAAACCTGACAAAAACAAGAAATGGGGAAAGGATTCCCTATTTAATAAATGGTGCTGGGAAAACTGGCTAGCCATATGTAGAAAGCTGAAACTGGATCCCTTCCTTACACCTTATAGAAAAATTAATTCAAGATGGATTAAAGACTTAAATGTTTGATGTAAAACCATAAAAACCCTAGAAGAAAACCTAGGCAATACCATTCAGGACATAGGCATGGGCAAGGACTTCATGTCTAAAACACCAAAAGCAATGGCAACAAAAGCCAAAATTGACAAATGGGATCTAATTAAACTAAAGAGCTTCTGCACAGCAAAAGAAACTACCATCAGAGTGAACAGGCAACCTACAGAATGGGACAAAATTTTTGCAACCTACTCATCTGACAAAGGGCTAATATCCAGAATCTACAATGAACTCAAGCAAATTTACAAGAAAAAAACAAACAACCCCATCAAAAAGTGGGTGAAAGATATGAACAGACACTTCTCAAAAGAGGACATTTATGCAGCCAAAAAACACATGAAAAAATGCTCATCATCACTGACCATCAGAGAAATGCAAATCAAAACCACAATGAGATACCATCTCACACCAGTTAGAATGGCTATCATTAAAAAGTCAGGAAACAACAGGGGCTGGAGAGGATGTGGAGAAATAGGAAAACTTTTACACTGTTGGTGGGACTGTAAACTAGTTCAACCATTGTGGAAGTCAGTGTGGTGTTTCCTCAGGGATCTAGAACTAGAAATACCATTTGACCCAGCCATCCCATTACTGGGTATATATCCAAAGGATTCTAAAGCATGCTGCTATAAAGACACATGCACGCGTATGTTTATAGTGGCACTATTTACAATAGCAAAGACTTGGAACCAACCTAAATGTCCAACAATAGACTGGATTAAGAAAATGTGGCACATATACACCATGGAATACTATGCAGCCATAAAAAATGATGAGTTCATGTCCTTTGTAGGGACATGGATGAAACTGGAAACCATCATTCTCTGCAAACTATTGCAAGGACAAAAAACCAAACACCGCATGTTCTCGCTCATAGGTGGGAATTGAACAATGAGAACACTTGGACACAGGAAGGGGAACCTCACACTCTGGGGACTGTTGTGGAGTGGGGGAAGGGGGAGGGATAGTATTAGGAGATATACCTAATGCTAAATGATGAGTTAATGGGTGCAGCACACCAACATGGCACATGTATACATATGTAACAAACCTGCACGTTGTGCACATATACCGTAAAACTTAAAAGTATAATAATAATAAAATTAAAAAAATAAATAATAATAACAATAGGCCAGGTGCAGTGGCCCGTATCTGTAATCCAAGCACTTTAGGAGGCCAAGGTCGCCAAATCACTTGAGCTTAGGAGTTTGAGACCAGCCTGGGCAACATAGCAAGGCCCTGTTTCAATAAAAAGAAGAAAAAAAGAACAAAATAGTAATATTATTATAATAAATGGGCAAAAGCTCTGAATAGACATTTCTCAAAAGAAGACATACAGATGGCAAATAGGTATATGAAAAAGAGCTCAACATTATTATCAGAGAAGTGCACATCAGAACTATTATGAGATATCATCTCATGTCAGTTAAAATGGCTTTTATCCAAAAGACAGGCAATAAGAAATGCTGGTGAGGATATGGAGAAAAGGGAATCTTCATACACTGTTGGTGGGAATGCAAATTATTACAACTATGATGGAGAAGAGTTTGGAAGTTCCTCGAAAAACTAAAAAAAAAAGAGCTATCATATAATCCAGCAGTCCCACTGCTAGGTATACACCCAAAAGAAAAGAAATCAGTATATCAGAGATATCTGCACTCTAATGTTTACTGTAACACTATTCACAATAGCCAAGATTTGGAAACAACCTAAGTGTCCCACAAACAGATGAATGGATAAAGAAAATGTGGTACATGTACTCAATGGAGTACTACTCAGTCTTAAAAAAGGATGAGATCCTATCACTTGCAACAACATGGATGGAACTGGAGTTCATTATGTTAAATGAAATAAGCCAGGCACTGAAAGACAAATTTCACGTTCTCATTTATTTATGGGAGCTAAAATTTAAAATAATTGAAGTCACGGTGATAGACAGTAGGATGGTTACGAGGGGCTGGGAAGGGTAGTGAGTTGCAAGTGGGACAGGCAGGTGCAGTGGGTCTATGGTTAATGGGTACAAAAAAATAGAGTAAGACCTAGTATTTGCTAGCACAACAGGGTGACTATAGTCTAAAATAATTATATATTTTAAAACAACTAAAAGAGTATAATTGGATCATTTGTTACACAAAGGATAAATGCTTGAGGGGATGAATATCCCATTTATCCTGATGTGATTACACATTGCATGCCTGTATCAAAATATTTCATGTAACCCATATATATTCGTGTGTACCCCCCAAAATAATAATTTTAAAATAGAAATTTTGTACCTGGAAGTGAGGTCCTGCCACAACAAGAACCTAAGACATATGGCATTCACTTTGGGACCAAGTAGCAGATGGATGCTGCCAGGATCATGAAGAGATTGCTAGTTAAATCCTAAAGGGCCTCGAGGAAGGCATTAGCAGAAGCCCAAAGGGCTTCCAAGGAGGATGTCAGAGGGAGGAAAATGTTATTGGAAGCTAGAAGAGCCCCTTTTTAAGCAGTAAGTTTAGCAAAACTGTTACCTGTGCTATCACCAAAAATAGAAAATGTGCCTAATGATCTAGCTAAGATTTCCTGGCAGTGTTGAGTCTGGGGCCATTTGGCTTTTTCTACCCATCCAAAATAAAATGAGGAAGAGGTATAAAGAACAAATTATTCCACTCCCAAATGGAATTTGGAAGACATATTAAGGCTCAGAATAGCCCTTTCAATGGCTCTCAAAGACCAAATCCAAAGTGGGGCAAAAGATACTTTGCTCAAGACCTCAGGAAGATGAGTGCATCTTAAGACATTTCAGACATGTAAATTGCCTACGTGTCTTACCAGCATGCCTTTTAGACCCTGTCCAAGGCTTAGAATCTGAAGTATGTTGTTCATCAGCCTCACAGGGAGCCCAACATAGAAAAAGGACTATTTCCAATAGACTTTATGAGTGGCTCTTGTGTAATAGAATGGATTATAAATTGATACATGAGAAATACACAGGAAAAAAATATGAAAAAATATGTCAGCTTGGACAGGGGTAGTAGTAAAAATAGGCCTTTGGACCCCCAAATTCTGTGAGGGAGTAGGCTTTAAAAAACAAACAAAAAAAACTACTCAGCTGCAAACACAAGTGCCTCAATAGAAAAGGAAAAATCAGAGGGCAGGGTCAAAAGCACCAGAGAACAACCCCCAGGGAATATACCTAGGCCCCAAAGAACAGCCACATTAGGCTGGCTAGACTTCAGAATTGCAAGCCAAGCCTTTCCTTTTCTCTTTTTGAATGGGAATCTCCAGAGTAGTGATGTTATGCCTAACAGGTGAACAAAGCAGATAAGTTCTTAAGTTCAGGCCTTCAGACAGAGAAATGGTATTCATGACGCTTTTATTCATGAAGCTTTACCCAAGGAGCCTCATCCATACCTTATCCTGATTAGATGATCAGCTCCTAGACTTTGAGCTTTTGTAATGGCATAGGAAACAGAGGTCCTCAGGAAAGGGATGTGAATTACAGCTGCCAAATGATAGACTGAAAGATGGCTGCGGTATCTCCCATCCCATGTGTTCTTTCTAAAATGTGACTAGGTGGGGGTCTATTGGTCCAGGTTCCTAACGTCCACTATAAAATGGTGTAGTATTTACATATAACCAATGCACATCCTCCTATATACTTTAAGTCATTTATAGATTACTTGTAATGCCTAATGTAAATGCTATGTAAATAGTTATTACAATGTATTGTTTGGGAATAACAAGAGTTCAGTACAGACAACCATCCATTTCTCTCCCTCAAATATTTTCAATCTGCAGTTGATTGAATCTGCAGATACGGAACCCACAGATACGAAGGGTCACTGTACACCAATTTTTCTTTTTAACATAATATCAGTCTCTGTGATGTATACCAAATTTTTATTGTTTTAGAATTTACAAATTCTTTAAAAATGCTTTTTAAGGCATTTACCTATTTACTATATTATCAATTTATCTACATAAATCACATTCATTATATTTTTATTTTTTTAGACACAGGGTCTCACTCAGTCGCACAGGCTGGAGTTCAGTGGTGTGACCACAGCTCACTGCAACCCAGAACCACTGGGTTCAACTGATCCTCCCAACTCAGCCTCTTAAGTAACTAGGACTACAGGCACACGACACCATCGCCAGCTAATTTTTATTTTTTTGTAAAGACAGGGTCTCGCTTTGTTGCCCAGGCTGGTCTCAAACTCCTGGACTCATGCAATCCTCCCACTTCGGCCTCCCAAAGTGCTGGGATTACAGGCATGAACCACTGCCCACTGCCTCCAGCCATATTATAGATTTATAGCCATATTATAGCCATATTATAGAAATATTATAGATGACTTTATTTCCTATACCTACATGATTATAACTAGCTTAAAAATAAATCAATAAATTACAAACAATAAAACCATAAAATCAAGGAAGATGAGGGCTGTTGCATGTTCCTTTACATTTTATTTGCCATAAACATTAAGATAATACAGAAAATACTGGAGAAAAAAAGCTTTTTAATAATTTCTTGATGCAAAGCTTCACACTTAAAAATTATGCTTGCTCCCCCCATCCACCCCAATTCAACATGCAGATATCATTTATTTTCTTATATGCTGATTCTAGAGCATTGTAATCTCGACGGTTTTTTAAGAGTTATCTTTGCCCTTGCAACAATTTCACAAACTGTATACAATCATGGTATAATACCATCATTCAAATGAATCCCTAAGGTGAGTACATTTACACAATATTAACACTAAAAATCTGTGTTTTTTTAAAACACCATAGAAGTCAAACCACAAAAACCCAGGATCTTGTTTTAAATGTGTTTATGAAGACTGCTGCTGAGCTCAAAGCATGCAGGTAATCATGACCACCTAGATGAAGCTGGATGTTGAAACTCCTTCATGTCCAATGATGTAATTTTTCACTCATCCCAAGTATCTCCATACTTGTTTACTTTGACTAGGAAAAAAGCATAAATAATTGATGATTCCAAGCAATAATAAGTAAAAGACATTATTTTAAGTTTGTTGCTATGATGAAAAGTTATGTTTCTCTCTCATTTGAATAAAAGCACATGAGAGTCAAATTATAATTACAAAAAGGGGATGACCAGACTTTTGTGAACTTGGGGTTGGACAAATGCATTGTATCTAGAATTTTACATAAATAGTTAGTCCTCATAACAAACTTCTAAACACAATTCTCATTTTAATGGTGAGAAAAAAGATTAGTAACTTGCCCAAGGTACAAGCCCTAACAAGAACTGAGATTTGAGTATAGGTCTGTTTAGATCCAAAGCCTAGGTACCTTTACATCTTTACCATACTACCTAAGTGTGGCACATATTAAGCCATATACAAAAAAAAAAAAAAATAGTGGGAAATAATAAAACAAACATTTGAATTTTCGTTTTTCACAAAAAATACAGCAGTAGAAATGGTCAAGTGTTCAAGTTGTAATTAATTCAATCTTCTCTCTCAGGGCTGTAAATACTACTATAAGAAGAAAATACTACTACATTTTACAGGTACTCTATATTTTACATTTTAAAACATGCTCCGCTGTCTATTCTACTCCTTTACTTTTTTGCTTCTCTTCCACATAGCTTCTGTCTGTGAGTAATCATAACAATATAAAGCAGCAGTTATCACAGTGTGGACTCTTCAGGGAATACATGAAGTCAAAATTATTTCATTATTATACTAAGACATTATATATCCTTATGTTTCACATTTTGCCTTTTCCCCTTGCTCTCATTCCCTCATGAGTATATGTTACATGGTTTTCTAGAAGCTACAGGATGTGTGGTGACATTGCTCTGGCAGCTAATGGAATATGTGCTTGAATTTTTTAAATTTCTGGGTCTTAATTTCTAATTAGATAAATATCAACCACATAAGCTAAAGGTGAAAACTTTAAGTGACACTTTCTGACCATGTGAATCTACCCTGTACTAATTTCAACAATAATTCAGAAAATGACTGAAACTATTTCATAACAAGTCTTTTCTTTAAATTATATAAAGCACACAAAAAACCAGCTTTTCCCAAAAAAAGAAAAAATCATTTCACATTCTTGTGTCATGTAACAGAACTTGAAGACTTCAGTCAAAAATCAAAAATGTCAAAATCCAGCAAATGTTAAAGGTCTACCAAATTTCCTTTCTTAACCTCTATTACCATAGAAGCCTAAACCAAAATACTCAATTTCTGATACAGTGTAAAGTACTATGCTATGCAGACAATAATAGAAAAGATTACAAAAATGAGAAAAATATTACTTTCTGCCCTCACAGAGCTTACAATCTAAATCCTCAAATTAATTAGCAGGACAAAGTACCGACAAGTCTTTACATATTACAGAGCAATGGCCACTAGATGCAGTTTATGCTAAATGTTGTTTGATGACAAACATTCAAAAGTATGGTACATCCCTAATTCATTTCAAAGGTAGATTTTTTTTACATCAATAATATGATGCAGATATTATCTATCATTGTTATAAAAACAGAACTCCAAACGAAGCAACCGCTAATGATTAAAAATAAAATTAGCTCTAAAAAATGACCATAACAACAAATACTAAGGACTTTCATGTATTTTTGCATTCTTTGTGGCATATGACCTTCAAGAAGGTACCAAAGACCTATTATTTCCATTTTTAAAGTAGTAAATAGAAAATCTTGAAACAATGACACATACTCTGAAATTCCTTAAGAGAAAATCATAAAACCCTATACTGAAATAGCTATAAAACCCTATTCGAATGTCCTCTTCCTTTAGAGGTAAACTTGTATCAAAAAATTTACTTTGGCTAATGTATAGCTATTCCAAAAAGACTTAAAAGAAACCAGGATTTAAAAATTCATCTTTAAGAAATGCCTTAGAAGCTGGCATATAACTCTTTCAAATTCACAAATGTACAAGAAAGGTCAGGCACAGTGGCTCCCACCTATAATCCCAGCATTCTGGGAGGCCAAGGTGAAAGGACTGGTTGAGCCCAGGAGTTTGAGACCAGCCTTGGCAACATAGGGAAAAACCCACTGCACCAAAAAAAATTTTTAACAGCCAGGGATGGTGGCATACAACTGTAGTCCCAGCTACTCAGGAAGCTGAGGTAGGAGGACTGCTTGAACCCAGGAGGTCAAGACTGCAGTAAGCCATGATTACACCACTGCACTCCAGCCTGGGTGACAGAATAAAACCATCTCAAAAAGAAAAAACAAACAAACAGAACAAAAAAACACGAGAAAAACCCAAATGTACAAGAAAATCAATCTCATTACTCAATCATTCTGTGGTTAGGCCACAAGTGGTATTACAGCGCAACGCCAACCTCAGGTCACTACAGCAACTTATGCGATAGATGTATCATTAGGAAAATAAGACTATCAGATCTCCAAGGAGATTTGTTGTAAGAGAGAAACAGTCAAATGAGTATGTCTCTACCCTGTGTTAAACTAATCTTGCTGTCTTAAGACTTACTATTTGGACTTCACTATTTTCTTCCTTTTTTTGGCGGGGGGAGGGGGGAACAGAGCCTCGCTCCGTCATCCAGGCTGCAGTGCAGTGGCGTGATGTCGGTTCACTGCAACCTCTGCCTCCTGGGTTCATGCAGTTCTCCTGCCTCAGCCTCCCGAGTAGCTAGGATTACAGGCATGCACCACCATGCCCAGCTGATTTTTGTATTTTTAGTAGAGACAAGGTATCGCCATGTTGGCCATGCTGGTCTCCAATTCCTGGCCTCAAGTGATACACCCAGCTTGGTCTCCCAAAGTGCTGGGATTTCAGGCATGAGACACCACACCTGGCCTTGACTTCATTATTTTCTAACACAAAATGGCCTTTGGAACACCTTAAAAATGGAAAACTGGCCGGACACGGTGGCTCAAGCCTGTAATCCTAGCACTCTCAGAGACTGAGGCAGGCGGATCACAAGGTCAAAAGATCGAGACCATCCTGGCCAACATGATGAAACCCCATCTCTACTAAAAATACAAAAAATTAGCTGGGCGTGGGGGCCTGTAGTCCTAGCTATTTGGGAGGCTGAGGCAGGAGGATTGCTTGAATCCAGGAGGCAGAGGCTGCAGTGAGCCAAGATCGTGCCACTGCACTCCAGCCTGGCGACGGAGCAAGACTCCGTCTCAAAAAAAAAAAAAGAACTGATAACTGTAAAGTACTATTTTAAAAATATTTTACTTTGGTTAATTGCTTGAAGAGTTAAATCACATATTAATTAATTTTTTATAGTATTGTTTTAAAGTAATGTTTTAGTTTCCAATCCTCAACAGTAAAGTGATTCAGACTAAACTATCATACCTTCTTTTTTTGGCACTCTTTCATGCATAGGCCTGACTGAGGGGTCAGTCTTTTGTGTTAAAGATACTTCATATGACTCTCTGTTCTTATTCCTTAATTCCTCATATGTAATATTTTTTCTTTTAGGACTTTCTTCAAGGTTGGGATCAGGTCCTAAAACAACAAACAGTTAATAAATGGTAATAAAAGGATTTGTATAACTCTAAAGCAACTAAATTTTACAAATGCTCCTTACAAAAGGAGCTACAATCAAAATAGAATAAAGAATCAAATTATTACCACCATTTCACAGGTACTATACTTTCACCAAGATAATCATCAAACTGAAATCTACTTCCACCCATATTTTTAAGCTTTTATTTCTAAAAATTAAAATGGACATCAAAAATTTTAAAAACTAAACCACAGCCAGAAGAAAAATATGTATCATAATATATAACAGTACAATTTAAACTCATTAAAATACCAGTGTTTTAAACTGGAGTTACTCATACTGTATACAGAATTAAAAGAGAAATATATTCTACTAGGGACAACTGAATAAAACTTGACATAGCATAGATTTTACTCAATATATAGTTAAATAGTCCTATAACCACAGACTCTATGAAAACAACTCCAGCTATTTTCAAAAATCATTTATTTTACCTTTTTACAAAATTTAAACAAAAATACTGAAAATAGGCCAGGCACAATGGCTCACAACTATAATCCCAGCACTTTGGAAGGCCGAGGCGGGCGGATCACCTGAGGTCAGGAGTTCAAGACCAGCCTGGCCAACAAGAAACCTCATCTCTACTAAAAACACAAAATTAGTTGGGCGTGGTGGCACACACCTGTAATCCTAACTACTAAGGAGGCTGAGGCAGAATCGCTTGAACCCAGGAGGCGGAGGTTGCAGTGAGCTGAGATCGCGCCATTGCACTCCAGCCTGGGCAACAAGAGCAAAACTCTGTCTCAAAAAAAAAGGAAAAAAAGTTGAAAATAATTACTTGAAAAGTATAAAACATAGCCTTTAATCAGAATATGTGTTGTTTTCATTCCAGTCTAACAGATGCAATGTTGATGCAGAAGAAAGTATCAACTGTTATTTTGGCCTGGGAACTAACATTTATTCTTTATTTCTCCCAAAGAGAGTCAAAATGTGAATATTACATATTATCATAGAGTCAAATGTAAATATAATGCAGTGGTTACTCCTAATATTGGTTGACAGGATCAAATAGTGAACATAGTTTATACAATTTATAAACAGCAAAAAAGGCCATATGAACATTAAAAAAAAAAGATGCTAACATTCAGTGAACAACTACTTAACTTACAAAGTCTTACCTACCACATACCACACCAAAAGTACTGTTTTTCAAAGATGTTTTCAATAAGACATACAAATTGGGCATATACTTTTAATATTAACTTTTTAAAAAATAATTTTTGTGATACTTATTTAGAACTCAAAGGTAGGATCCCAGTGAATAATCAGAATTTTCTAAGCAACATAACTATACATTAAATAATGTTTTCAACCATAAACTTTTTTTTTTTTTTTTGAGACAGAGTCTCACTCTGTTACCCAGGCTGGAGCACAGGGGCACAATCTCGACTCACTGAAACCTCCCCCTGCCAGGTTCCAGTGATTGTCCTGCCTGAGCCTCCCAAGTAGCTGGGATTATAGGCATGTGCCACTATGCCCAGCTAATTTTGCATTTTTAGTAGAGACAGGGTTTCGCCATATTGGTCAGGCTGGTCTTGAACTCTGACCTCAGGTGATCCACCCGCCTCGGCCTCCCAAAGTGCTGGGATTACAGGCATGAGCCACTGCACCCAGCCATTTTCAACCATAAACATTTATTCTGCTAAATAAATATATACTATACTTATATAAAGCAAAGAGGATTTAAATTTCTCCTAATTAGTTCTAGTATTATATGATGGTTCAAAACTACATTTTTCTTACTAAAAAAAGAATGTAAAGAAAAATATTATAACCTTATATTGGGATTAAAACACTTTGCATTTCATTAGTAATAAGTAATTACTGAACTCATTTCCCTTCACCATATATGTTATATTAAAAATTCTGAAGGAAATCGTGTGTACTTCAGGAACCTTGGGTTCTTAACCCCACTCTGCTGACAATTAGGAAATGTCCTTGGGCAAATCACTAAGCTTCTTTGAATCCTGGTTTTCTCAATTGCGAAATATGGTAGTTTGAGCAGATGATCTCTGAAGTTCCTTCCAGGTCTAATACTTTTTCTTATAAAAAATATTTTACCATTATAAAATTCTGGAACAAATAATGAAAATATACATCAGACAGAAGAAGACTGGGGAGAATTTCCCACACTATGGAGAGAACATGATTTACTATTTTGGGAAGGTTATAAAGAACTGGAAGGAATAAAAAAATGTAAAGTGGCACTGATTTAAATCTAACTGTAATAAACTCTAAGTCTCCTAACAGCTCTGAAGGAGTGCTTGCTATTTTAAAAGATTAATAACTCTCTGAATTCCTGGTAAAAGAAAGCAGAACTAAAGTAGGACTTAAACCAAAGAATAAGATGCCCTGGTAGGGGAGGATAGCATCTGGGGCAAAGCAAAAGCAGGCCACTGCTGGCCCATGTGGAGAGCAGTAAAAAAGTAGCCACTTTGATTTAGAGAAGGGGGTCAGAAGGCAGAGCAGTGGATGGATGGATGGCTGCTGTGGAAGGCATAAAATAATATTAAGACATGGCCTTGCTAAGTAGTCTGTGGGTAGATACCAAAGGGCTTTTTGTTTGTTGGCTTTTGTATGGAAAAAAACTATATAACAGAATTTCCTAATGCAAATGGTGGGGAAGATGCAAGTCATCACAAGGAAAGAGTTAGTGCATGTCTAGAATACAGTAGTGCCCCCTTATCTGTGGTTTCGCTTTCCAGGGTTTCAGTTACCTGCAGTCAACCATGGTCTGAAAATATTACATGGAACATTCCAGAAATAAACAGTTCATAAATTTTAAATTACACCCTGTTCTGAGTAGTGTGATAAAATCTTGTGAGGTTCTGCTCTGGTCCATCCAGGACTTGAATCATCCCTTTGTCCAGCATATCCACACTGTCTACACTACATGCCTGTTAGTAACTTAGTAGCCATCTAGATCAAAAAAACATAGAACATAAAGGATTTGGTAATATCTGAGGTTTCAGGCATCCACAGGGGTCTTCGAACTTATCCCCCATGGATAAGGGGGGACTACTGTACAAGAAGAATGGATTTGAACTTCAGACTGGTTAAATGAGACATAGTGAGGAACAAGGACAGCTGCCTTTGGAGATAAGATAGTGACTTTAGCCATTCTCTCCTAATCTGCCCATTCCCTTCCTTCCTTTTCTGACTAATTTGATGCCTTTGCTTCCAACCATTAAAGAAAAAAATAAAAAAATCAGAGTTGAGGATTAAGAAGCTCTCAATAACTTTCATCCAAATTCTTTAATCATCTGAACTTCCATTCTTTCCTGTCTCTTCCTTTATACAAGGCTAATACTCACCCCTTTGCCCCGACTTTTGCTCTTAAGTAGTGCTGTCCAACATAACTTTCTGCAATGATGAAAATGTTCTATATTGGCACTAACACGGTAGCCACTAGCACATGTGACTATTGAGCAAGTGAAATGCTACCAAAGCAATTGAGAAATTGAATTTTAAATTTCATTTAACTTTAATTAATTTAAATAGCCACATATGGCTAGCGGCTACTCTGACCTACCTAGAACCCCCTTCTGCATTCTCTAGAACCTTCTCTGACCTATAATCAACTTCTCCCTTTCCACTGTATACCCTCCCCTCCCTTTAACTTCTTTCCCTCTAATCTTTTAAAATTTAAAGAGTATACTCTACAAAGGTCCATAATCCCTTATCCAAACCTTGGGGTCAGGTATGTTTCACTATTCAAAGTTTCTGAGGTTTTAGAAAAATACTACAGTAAATACCCCTTATATTACTTAATATCCATCCATTCAGAGGTTTAGGACAGGAATGAGTAAGCAAACACATTAATATTTCTATAATGAAATAAAGGAAAAATCTTATCTGGCAAAGTAAATAAAGTCTACGTTTATATAACTTATGTGAATTTAGGTCAGGGTATTCTGCTAAATGAATTCAGGTCAGATTTTATTACCAGTTTAATTATTAAAAAACAAAAACAGGCCGGGGGCAGTGGCTCACACCTGTAATCCCAGCACTTTGGGAGGCCGAGGCGGGCGGATCACGAGGTCAGGAGATCAAGACCATCCTGGCCAACACAGTGAAACCCCATCTCTACTAAAAATACAAAAAATTAGCCGAGCGTGGTGGCGGGCACCTGCAGTCCCAGCTACTCAGGAGACTGAGGCAGAATGGCGTGAAGCTGGGGGGGCGGAGGTTGCAGTGAGCCGAGATCGCACCACTACAGTCCAGACTGGGCGACAGAGCAAGACTCCATCTCAAAAAAAAAAAAAAAAACAAAAAACAAAAAAAAACTTGGCTTAAACCTTTTTGAATTTCAGGATTTTAGATAAAGAATTACAGACCTGTATTTCCCGTTTCTAATTCCTCATCTTTTACTGCCGACTAGACTGAAGGAAAGAAACTAATGTTTTTTGAGTCTATTATTTGCCAGACATTGCCTCTGATTATTTCCTCTAATTCCAACAGTTCATTAAGAGAGGTAGTATCATCTCCATTCAACTGATCAAGAAACTGAAAGGATCATAAAGTAGTTATAATAATATTACTACATTATTATAATGTAGTAGTAGTATTACAAGGTCACATAGCTAGCAAATGTCAATCATGATTCAAATCCAAGCCTTAATACAAAATTGATGTTGTTGCACTTACATGTGTGATCTTCAAAGCTAGTATTTACAAACTTCACAAAGCATTTTCACATGGATTTTCTCACTTGACAACAGTTCTTTCTTGTATTACAGACAGGGAAGCTGAAAGCCTTTAAAACCCAGCCTATCAAATGTAACCTTTTTATACCTTTCCTGGAGCTCTACTTCCTGAGACACGATTTATCATTTCTTCTTCACTATTCCACTAAGCTTGCCTTAGTATTTTCAATTACTGGGACATACTAGTAATTCATCCTTGTATTTCTATATCTTCTAACAGACTGAAAGTTTTTCAGGGACAAGAACCAAGTGTTATTCATCTTCTTCCACGTCTAGCAGAGTCCTTGACACCTACTGGTCCTCAAGAAAAGTTGAATGAATGAAGAAACAAATGAACAAACATGCTGAGTTTAGGTTGATGATTGATGGTAGAACACACAGGTGATATCCAGCAGAAAAGGTCATCAAATAAAGTTTATACATACGTTGGACCATAAAATGTTGAAATTCATTTCAAGAGAAGTTTCTACCTTGGACAATATGATCAGTAATACCAGTGGGAGCAGATTCATTCATAGAAGAACTGAATGGAATTGGCTCATAATGAGGAAGCATTTCTATGTTGTCTGCTGCTGGGGATGTCACAAAAGATGATTGACCACTCACACTTGAGTCATATTTTGACTTTTGATAATAGTGCCTGTAAATGAAAATCATATTGTAGTAAGAAATATGAGTCATTGCCTATATCTTAAAGAAGTGTTAAAATAACTTCTTTCATATAGCTTATTTCCAAAATTATATATACATATAATTTTTTTTATTTTTTTGAGACAGGGTCTTGCTCTGTCACCCAGGCTATAGTGCAGTGACGCAGTCTTGGCTTATTGCAATCTCCACCTCCTAGGCTCAAGCAATCCTCCTACCCCTCAGCTTCCCAAGTAGCTGGGACTACAGGCATGCGCCACCACTTGGTTTTTTGTAGAGATGAGGTCTCACTATATTGCCCTGGCTGGTCTCAAACTACTGGGCTCAAGCAACCCTCCTGCCTCAGCTTCCCAAAGTGCTGGGATTACTGGCATGAGCCACCGCGTCTGGCCTCAAAATAATTTTTAACGCAGTTATTTATAATCAGTAAAATGAGGTCTGTTTCTTTCTGCCAACAAAACACTTTTAAAAAGTCCTGACCCACTTATACATCTTAAAAGCAGTCACTGTCAGTATAGAAAAATAGGAAATGTATACCCAGCCTTTCAAGATAATTTTAGTATGTTTGAAAGTTCTTGGAAAGAAAAAGCACTTTAAATCAGGTCTAATTTCAATAACCATGCCCGTTTCCCATGTCAATTGAGAAGGTAATATCACAGCTAAGAATCTATATAAACACTAATTTGCTAAAGCAGATACAAATTCTCTCTCATGGGGATTATATTGCTTGCCTATCTGTTTAAGAAGCATTAAAATGAAAAGCTGAAATCTGTTAAGAGATGGGATTGATAAGATTTGGGAATTCAAAAGAAAAGTCCAAACTATAGTAACCAAAGGTGTTTGCCAAATTGAATCGAGATAAAATCCTTTATTCTAGAACATGTACTCCCAATAGGACACAACTCTATATTTACAACAATGAAGGCCAGATGCAGTGGCTCACGCCTGTAATCCCAGCACTTTGGGAGGCCAAGTGGGGCAGATCACTTGAGCTCAGGAGTTTGAGACCAGCCTGGTAAACACAGTAAAACCCTGTCTCTTCAAAAAATACAAAAAATTAGCTAGGCGTGGTGGTGTATGCCTGTGGTCTCAGCTACTCCAGAGGCTGAGGGAGGAGGATCACTTGAGCCCAGGAGGCAGAGGTTGCAGTGAGCCGAGATCACGCCACTGTACTCCTAGCCTGGGAGCCAGAGTGAAACTCTGTCTCAAAACAAAACAAAACAAAAATGAAGAACCAGGCACAGTGGTTCACACCTGTAATCTCAACAATTTGGGAAGCCAAAGCAGGAGGACTGATTGAGCCCACTAGTTCAACACCAGCCTGGGCAACATAGTGAGACCCCCATCTCCATAAAAAAAATTTTTTTTTAATTAGCTGGGTGCAGTGGCTGACACCTGTATTCCTAGCTACTCAGAGAGCTTGAGGCAGTGGGGCCTTGTGAACCCAGGAGTTTGAGGCTGCAGTGAGCTAGGATCATGCCATTGTACTCCAGCCTGCGCAACAGAGGGAGATCCCATCATTCATTCATTCATTCATAAATAAATAAATGGTGGCAAGTCTTGCTCCAATTTTTGAAGCAAATTACTTTTAGCCTACAGCAAATGGCAAGTATCCAGTGGTCCTTCAGGCAATGTTTTTGAGCCATGAGTTATAGCAACATCTAGTTGTTTCTTAAAAATTAAAAATCTTAAGTAAAGATCAGAATCTGGCCTACCCAGGTGGTGAAGATCGTCGTGCTTGTCCTGATCGTAAAGCTTCTCCAAGGGGGGAATTTTCAAGTTTCTTGAATTTCTCTTGGCAAGTTTTCACATAAGAAAGTTTTCCAGCAAAGTATCCCATGATACAAGCAACTTATTTGTAAAATCAAACAAAAAGTGTAACTGAATGTGCCTTTCAGACAAAAGTATTTTCTAAAAGAAAAATTTGTTTTAAAGTGTGATTCTAAATAAGTCTTTGGTTTAGAAAGACTGAGATTTCCTGAAATAATGGTAGAAGAAATCAAAATTAAATCAGATCAGAGTTCATATACAGAGTCTATGGATATAATTCAGTTTCCAAAAAAAGTGTGCCAAAATAAAGCTGCTATAAATAAATCAATTATAGTATACTAATTACTTTATAATATATACAGGAAAGATTTAGTAAAGGTATAATGGGAAGAGGAATGGATAAGGAATAAAAGCATCAAAACATTTATTTATTTCTAGTTCTAAATAAACAGAACTAGATCACAAGGATTTAGGCCATTATTTTCCTATAAAACAGAATATCATATGCACAGCCATTTTCACAAGATTGTTTTAAAGTAAAATTAGGTGCAACAAATCCCTTAAAGTAATAAATTACGAACCATAACCTAAACGTGGCACTTACTGCATCACATGAGTTTCAAATAGAAAAGAAAGGCTAACCTGAAAGACTCATGAAAAGCCTCAGGTACTTCTTTTGAAGAGCAATGTAGCTTCTTTTTCTTTTATTTATTTATTTATTTACTTATTTTTTATTATACTTTAAGTTCTAGGGTACATGTGCATAATGTGCAGGTTTGTTACATATGTATACATGTGCCACGTTGGTGTGCTGCACCCATTAACTCGTCGTTTACATTAGGTATATCTCCTAATTCTATCCCTCCCCACTCCCGTCACCCCACAACAGGCCCCGGTGTGTGATGTTCCCCTTCCTGTGTCCACGTGTTCTCATTGTTCGATTCCCACCTATGAGTGAGAACATGCGGTGTTTGGTTTTCTGTCCTTGTGATAGTTTGCTGATAATAATGGTTCCCAGCTTCATCCATGTCCCTACAGAGGACATGAACTCATCCTTTTTTATGGCTGCATAGTATTCCATGGTGTATATGTGCCACATTTTCTTAATCCAGTCTATCATTGATGGGCAATGTAGCTTCTTTTTCTATTAACTATATTGCAATGTGTAAATAAGTTATGCTTATTTACATTTTAAAATACAAATTAGAGAGATTTCTTTTAAAAATTAAGCTTAATTTTAAATATACTTTATTTTGATTAATCAGAATATCTTCATAACTTTGTTTCCCCATAGACAGACCAAAAATTTATTTTCAAATACTTTATCCTTACAAAATAATTTTAAATTAATTGTTCTATTACATTATAAAGACACAAAAAAATGCCTATTTCAACTGATGATTTTTTATGCTAACAATAAAATATCCAAGTAATCCACTTAATGAAATGCTTTAACAAACTGATTTATCAGAGCATGTAACCACATAACTAATATGAGTAAGACATGATAAAACATTTGATAAAAATAATTTTATTTAAGTTTTAAAAAGCTATGAAAACTACAATGTTGTTCATACTTACGTATAAGTTTAGGGATGGAACCATATTTGGGATGACTTGAAAGTATTCCTAAAGAAAAGAGTTAAGTATTTCTGAGTAACACTGTTACAGAAAGAAAAATCAGTAAAGGCTATCTTTAAATATAATCTTACAACATTAGCTCCTTCCATGATCCTACAGAACCCTAGACTGTTTAATAGGGAAAACCAAATGAATTCAGTATCAAGAGAAATATGACGAAAATCCAAAAGACTCTACAAAGTATTAGAACAGGTAAATTTAGAAAGATCACTTGATGTAAGGTCAATAGACCAAATATATATGTGTGTGTGTATGAAAAACTGTTTATACCAACAACAAACAAAAAAACAAACATTTTTTAGAAGACAGAATTAATTATAGCACCAAAAAAAAAAACGCTCAAAACCCAGGAACAAATCTAATGAAAGATATGAAAGATCTCTACACTGACAAGTTATAAAACTTACTGAGAATTGAAAGACCCAATATTCTAAAGATGGCAATTCTCCATAACTTCACCTATAAATACAATGCAATCCCAATTAAAATCAAAGTTTTACAAAAATTGAAAAGCTTATTCTAAGAGTCATGTGGAACACAAAGGGCCAAGGCAACACTGAAGAATCGTATTATAGAACTGACTACCACCAGATAGCAAAATCTACATGATAAAGCTGTAGTAATTAAGACAGTCTGGTATTAAGTACAAGAATAGGCAAACTGACCAAAACTAAGAGTCCAGAAACAGATCCACACCTGCACACTTGATTTATGACAAAGACAACACTGCAGCATAGTCCTTTCAAATATAGTGCTGGGTCAATTAATATCCATTAACAGGGGAAAATGTACCTTGATCCTACATCGAACAATAATCCAGATGGCTTAAAAATTTAAATATGAAAGATTTTTTTAAAAAATTTTACAGAAGAAAGCATGAGACCATCTTTGTGTCCTTAGAGTAGACGAAGATCTTAAAGAGTCAACAAAAAGCACCTATTAGAAAGAAGAAACCTGATAAATTGGACTCTATTAACACTGAAAACTACAGTTAAACAGAGTGGGGAAAAAATAATCACCATATCTATATCTGACAAAAGACTCAATTCCAAAGTATACAGAGAAGTCTCACAAAACCAATAGGAAAAAAGACAATACAATGGAAAAATGGTTAACAGACTTAAACAGATACTTCACAGAAAAAGATATGCTGAAATGAAGTATAAACAAATGGAAAGGTCTTCAACTTCATTGGTTACAGGGAAATACAAATTCAAGCCACAATGCAATCAATATTAGTGTTTATTTACCACAATGGCTAAAACATAAAAGACATAAAAATAGCTAGTGTTGGTGAGAATGTAGGAGTATACATTGGTCTAAATAGTTTGGTAATATCTACTAAAGCTAAATAAATATATACAAAATCTATGACCCAGCAAAATGTCTATCAAAAAGGCACCATATTCTTGGCAAAACTAATTGTAACAGTGAAAATTGAAAACTACCAATTATCAATGCACAGTTCAGATAGATAAACTGGTGTATTCACACAGAGGAAAACTATAGGGCAACTACATGCAACAATGTGGTTAAGTGCAATGATGTGCTGGTAAACCAGCACTCCCTATAAAAAGCTCTAATTTTAATGTTTGTCAGTTTCCATGGTGTAAAGCTACCAATTCTTTTTTTTTTTTTTTTGAGACGAGTCTCGCTCTGTCCCCAGGCTGGAGTGCAGTGGCGCCATCTCAGCTCACTGCAACCTTCGCCTCCTGGGTTCAAGCAATTCTCCTGCCTCAGCCTCCCAAGTAGCTGGGACTACAGGTGCACACCACCATGCCCAGTTAATTTTTTGTATTTTTAGTAGAGACAGGGTTTCACCATATTGGCCAGGATGGTCTCAATCACCTGACCTCATGATCCGCCTGCCTCAGCCTCCCAAAGTGCTGGGATTACCGGCATGAGCCACCGTACCCGGCCAACTACCAACACTTTAAAAACCAGCTTGCCAAAGTTCCCGAAAATTTAACAACCAATTCTCAGGAGCCAGTACAAACCAGTTCCAGCATGCTACTGGATGAATCTCACCATGTTGAAAGAACTTACATAAAAGAATATTTCAGTGTATGATTTCATGTAATTAAAGTACAAAAACAGACAACTAATCTGTGCCTTTAGCCTCAGTTCCTTCATTTATAAGAACTGGGATGACAATAGAAAAAGGAAGATGGTAAGAACATCTCTATTTTTACATTAAAAAGTTGTTCCTTCATACTGTCACCAACTAGTTATAGACCACTTACAACATAAAGGTACTACATACTGGATATTAACAGGAAACAGGACACACTCTTTACTCTCATGGAATTTACAGTCTAGAGAGAGAGTTAAGACAAAGATAATAGTGTCATGGTTGCTATTCATCCCCTCAAATATTTGAGTACTATGTGCACTATGTATGTCCTCTGTCAGGTGCTAGAAATAGCTTATTTTCCTAAGGAGAAGTAGCAAGAATGGAAACAAACAGATTTGTTGAAGGTTAACGCAATACTCTTTGTGACATATGGTTGCATTAATTATGCTGGCAGTACAGATGGAGGTAGATAGTTAATAAAGACATTTAAGAGCTAAAAGACATTAATTGGACAAGGCAGATAAGGGATAGATGTGAAGGATAATGTCCCAGTTTCCTGGATAGTACTAACACCACTCAGTCATGAAGGGAAAGGAGGAATTGGTTTTGTGGAAAATGGTTGAGTTCTGTTTGAGGAGCCTATAGAAGGGCCATACATATTATATATTATATCCAAAATATAGTAACACCAACATTTCCCAAACAACTAGACAAAAAAACCCATACAAGAATGTAAGCACCAAGAGTTAATGAATTTTTGTTGTTTAGTGCTATATAACAATGTATAGTACATATCAGACACTCAAAAAACATGAAACAGAGGAATCGCCTGAGGTAGGAGAAAAATCTTAGGAATATGCCATCATGGAAGCCAAGAGAATAGACTATTTCAAGAAAAACTGGTTAAAGTTATGTAACGTTGGTCAAGAACAAAAACTGTCCATTATATTTAAGCAACAAACAGGTTGTTTTTGAAAAGTTTGTTTTTGAACTTTTGAAAAGTTCCAATAAATGGTAGAACATATGGATAGTCTCACACTGACTGCAATGGGTTAAACGAAGTAAAAAGTGAAGGGCTCATTCATGAAGTCTGCCTCTGGCTTCAAATATGAGGCAGTTGGGAGTAGCTGGAAAAACAAATGAGGGAGGATTTTTTTTTCTTTTTAATGTTCTCAAGTTAGAGGAGACCTGAGCATGTTTAAATGGTTTTGGCAGATCAGGAAGAAACAGAAGGAACATCTAAGACCACGTGGAGTATGACACACTGTGGATGAAAGGGGATACAGGCAGCCCTCCATATGTACATGTTCTGCAACCAACTGCGGATAGAAAATATTTAGGAAAAAAAAAACTGCATCTATACTAAACATGTACAGACTTGTTTCTTGTCATTATTCCCTAAACAATACAGTATAACAACTATTTACATAGTGTTTACATAGTCTTAGGTATTATAAGTAATCTAGAGATGATTTACAGTATACAGGCAGATATGCACGTAAACTTTACTAGGCCGTTTTATATCAGAGACTTAAGCTTTTGTGGATTTTGGTATCCTCTGGAGGGTCCTGGAACCAATCCACACAGACACAAAAGGACCACTGTACAAAATGTCAGGGATTTTGATTAAATGCAAAATGTCTTGGTGGATTCCAAATTCTTTTCTTAAAGTCTCTCTCAATTTTTACCTTTTTTTTGAGACAGAGTCTCGCTCTGTTGCCCAGGCTAGAGTGCAGTGGCGCCATCTCAGCTCACTGCAGCCTCCGCCACCTGGGTTCAAGCGATTCTCCTGCCTCAGTCTCCTGAGTAGCTGGGACTACAGGCACGCACGACCACGCCCGGCTAATTTTTTTGTATTTTTAGTAGAGATGGGGTTTTATCATGTTGGCCAGGACGGTCTCGATTTCCTAACCTTGTGATGCACCCGACTCGGCCTCCCAATATCACTTCTACCGTACCCTCAAGTAGCCCAAAGTCTTCAACTGCACCTAAACCCAAAATCTCTAAAAAACTTCCTCCTCTTCATAACCTAATCCAAATTATAATTTCTCCTGGCTCTACTTCAGCTATTTAATGGATTTTTCACTCCTCCCTGCATGATTTTGTCTCTTCAGTTCAGTCCTGATTGCCTCTCCCAATAGTTATGCCTATTTGTCTTCATCATCAGGTCCCTCCTTCCTGGTATGTTCTTTCTTCTCATTTAATCTAAATCCTGCCCATCCTTCAAAACCCACTTCTTTCAAGAAACTTTCCTTGATTACAACAGCCCTACAAAGATCTTTCTTCTTTGAACACCTACAACTCTTAGAGTCTCTACTATACAATTTAGTAGCTTATTAAGTATGTAATTAAATTTTCTATTTGCTTCAACATATGTTCACATCCATTTGTTTCCTCCAGTGAACTACTAGCAGCTATTAAATTCTTTTGTGTAACCTTCTGCATACCTAGCTCCAATCATTATTAAATGACACACTGGATTAAAATAGATAAAAGAAGCAGAACAATAATAAACACTGTAATTTCATCCCTGTGCCAGTTTTTCCTACAAAGAATGTAATTCAAGTGGGGTTTTTTTTGTTTTGTTGTTGTTGTTGTTGTTGTTTCACAATACAGAACCAATCTCAGTCTATAAAACAGCTTAGTCTTAAGGACATATAAGTGCATACATCTTGACTCGCTTCTATGTTTAAGATTTTTGTCATGGTACTGTATTGTAATGAAGTTCTTCAGAAGTTCCTTAAATAAATTTTTACCCCAAAAATCCTCTCATTTGCCTCCAAAACTACTTTTATCAACTAATTGTGTCAAAACTAAGTACCATACATCATATCCTAATGTGAAAAGGCTAAATCTTCCAATCATTAAGTCACATTTTTGAAGGAGCCAGTTAATTAAAACAATAGGCCTCCAGGCCATCCTAAGGTCACCATCCTTTTCTGGGACACCTTCCCATTACCAGATAGATAGTTCATGAAGTAAAGGAATTAAGCAACTCTACTGCTTACTCCACTACATTTTAAATGCAGGACTCAAGACATTTAATACTCAATCTAAACTCAATTCCACTACTGTACTATTTGAGCCAATAGACTTTAGGACAAGAAAGTCTCCTCGGTGGCTCGTTAAAAATAGATCACCTGCCAGACCCCTGAGATTCTGATTTTTTAAATAATGCTAACTCACCGCCACTCATCCGCCCCAGGTGATCAGACAAAGCTGGTTTAGAGAGCTACTGATCTTTAAATCATTATATAAGAATCACTTCGAATTTGTTAAAACACAGACTCCTGGTCCCCATGAATGTGCATTCTAACAAGCTCCTAGGCAATAATGTTGCTATTGGCCCACCTAGACCAGGTTTGCCCTGCTAATACTGGTGTTTAGTTACCTTCTTGCTCTTGCAGATTGTTAATGATGCTATTAGTGCAGGAGAAATTCTCAAGTCATGATATTTGAGCCAGTGGGTCCACAGAGATAAAACGTTTAAATTCATCAATGAATTTCTACATAGTGTTTAATATGATACATTGTTATCTTTACTTTTTCTAAAGACCTGGAAAATACCACAAAACAAACATGGTATCCAAAATGCTAAATAAATTCAAATTTTAAATATTTACCTTTACTAATTAATCCTTGAGTAATCAACATACTTGTTGCAGCCAAAGGCACAGCTATAGGAAGAAAAAGACCTTGTTAACATCAACAAAAGTAAAAGATTTTGTCTAAAGTTCATTAGATAAATGAATAGCAGTAAAACCATCTAGGAATTATATTGCATAACTAAGACCTTTAAAAAAGACTGTTCCATTTTTAAAAGCTGTACTGTATACATAGTGGAAAAATTAAAGGAGCATTTTAAATTTAAGAAAACATCACAAAATATTAAACAATATAATTCATGAACCATCTAGGCTTAGGTTCCAAATAGCCAGCTGTTCATCAACAGCATCAACTAAGACAACACAGTAAAAGTGACTCAAAATTACTTCTGAAGTAAGAGAAGGGGAAAAAGTTAATGAAGGAGAGGTAAGAAACAAGTTACAAGTAAGAACCACTACTGAGTAATGACTAAATTCTGTGCATCATGCTAAGCGCCTTATGTGCATTATCTCATTTATTATACTTTTTATCATATTTCTATAAGGTAGATAATGTTATTACCACCCTTTTAAAGATAAGGAAACTGAAGCTTAGAGATGTTAAGTAATTTGCTCAAGGCCAAACAACTAGTTGAATGGTTGGTTACAGATTCTAATAAAATCTGTCTGATACCAGATCTCAAGCTTTTAAGCTCTAGTATACCATCTAAACCAAAATACAAAACATATTTGACCGTAATCATACGGTGGCTGGGGCAAAAATTAAAAAGCACATATTTTAAACACTTATGTTCTTTCTTCTAAACTAGTGAACTCCTTAAACTATATGAAAATATTACATCTATATATATATATGCCTAAAACCGAGAGTGAAAAATCCAAAACTCATAATCTCAAAGGGGGCTATAACTTAAAAACAGCTATGAATCACTGTTCTTTACACCAGCACTGTCTAACAGAATTTTTTATGATAATGGAAGTTGGTCTTTGAGTGACCAACCCTGTGATCAATTTGGTCTTGGTACTTGACTGGTAAACAGTTCCCCCCATTGATATGCGTAATTGGCTCACTGTGCCCAAACTGTTTGTACAAATACAGTTCATGCCAAACATCTGCTTTCATTCTAGGAGTCTGGAATTTTGGTACCTGTTAGGCAGAGGGTGAATAAGTGACCAGCCCCCAATAAAAACTGTGGGCACTGAGTCTCTAATGAGTTCCCCGGGTAGATACAACTTCACACATTGTTATGACTAGCTGTTGGAGAAATTTACACTCCCTGGGAAGAGAACTCTTGGGACCTGGTTTCCGCCGGACTTCACCCCATGCTCCCTTTCCTTTTATGATTTTGCTTTATATCCTTTCACTGCAAGTTATTTTAAAGTTAAATTGCTACATGTGACTACTGGCTGCCACACTGGACAGTGCTGTTCCAGACCTGAGGTTGGCAAACACGTTCTATGAAGAGCCAGATGGTAAATATTTTGGGTTTTGTGGGCCAATCTCTGTCCCAGTTACTCAATTGCCGTTTTAAAGCAAAAGCACCGAAAGACAATCCAAAAACACATGAACGTAGCTGTGTTCCAACAAAACTTTATTTTTAGATGCAAACATATGAATTTCATGTAATTTCACACGTAATGAAATATTCTTTTCCTTTGATTTCTTAACCATTTTATCTTATTTTATGTTTTTAGACAAAGTCTCACTCTATCACCAAGGCTGGAATGCAGTGGTACAATCTCATCTCACTGCAGCCTCAACCTGCCGGCTCAGATGATCCTCCTGCTTCAGCCTCCCAAGTGGTTGGGACTACAGGCATGCACCGCCATGCCTGGCTAATTTTTTGTCTTTTTTCTTTTTTTTTTTTTTTTTTGTAGAGATGAGGTTTCGCCAAGTTGCCCAGGCTGGTCTCGATCTCCTTGGTTCAAGTAATCAGCCCACCTCAGCCTCCCAAAGTGCTGGGATTACAGGCGTGAGCCACTGCACCCAGCCTCTTAACCATTTAAAAATGTAAAAACAATTCTTAGCTCATGCATACAAAAACAGATTTGGTCCATGGGCTAGTTTGTTCAACTCTGGTCTAAACCATATATGGACAATTTAAGAACCAAAGTAATTAAGACATTTGAATTATTACAGATTTCATGATTAAAATCCATCACTTTGGAATAGGGCATTAACTTTGCCATCACACACAAATTGCACAAACGCTAAGGTCTGAATTCATGCTATCCTACTTACTAACAGATTTTACCTTTGCTGGAAATATGGTTTCTTTAATGTTGGCTAGTTAGAATGCCTTCATGCATTATCATTTATCATTTAAGGTTTTGCAAAGGACAAATCCCTTTTAATTACAGCACCAGTACAATTTGCAATCATTTTTCTCCAGCTTGACTCAAGGATTGCAACATGAAGCACTGAAGAATCATATAAGAATAAAAGGCAATGAGTTAGCTGGCCATTTCTACAATGGATAATGCTTTCCCCATTTAATGCAGAGTAATAGTCTGTTCGAGGAGATTCTAGTACTAGTTCTGCCATTCACCACAATGTCTTTGCATAGCTTCTTCTCATGCTATAAAGGAATAATGGATTAGACCTAAGGTCTCATTCCAACTCAGGTATTCTACTTTATGTCACAGAAAAAGACAATGGTAAGACTGAAAGAGGCTTCAGAGATTATCTAGTCCTCATTCCAATCTGAGTACACTAATATCCAGAAAAGACAAGTCATTTGCTCAAAGCAACACAGCTGGTTAGTTTGTGGTAATGCTGAGATCAGAACCCAAGTCTCCTGACTCCCTAGTCAGTGGCCTTTTCCACTACAGTATGTAATATCTATTTTGTTAAATAATCTGTCTCTATAGGCAAATCAGTAATACTGCTGACCAAAACCTAGTGCACATTATTACCACAGTCCCAAACTATATTCAATATATACAAGAATCCCTACAATTATTTGAACTCTTCTCCCCTCACAGTAACAAAAAGCTACTCTATATTCCTAACTGTAGTCAATAAAAATTTTTATTTCATTAATCATAATAACACTAATAGCTATTTAATAAAGATAGCCAACACTTAATTAAATTGCATTAATCCCTATAATAATTTCATGAGCTAGGCAGTTATCCCCATTTTATAGATAAGAAAAGTATAGCACAGACCTCAGGAACTTGTCCAAAATCTCACAGCTACTGTGTGTGGAGCTGGGATTTGAATCCAGCCAATCAGGCCTCAGAGTCCATACTCTTTTTTTTTTTTTTTTGAGATGAAGTCTCGCTTTGTCACCCAGGCTGGAGTGCAATGTCACAATCCTGACTCAATGCAACCTCTGCCTCCCGAGTTCAAGCCATTCTCCTGCCTCAGCCTCCCAAGAAGCTGGGACTACAGGCATGTGCCACCACACCTGGCTAATTTTTGTATTTTTAGTAGAGACAGGGTTTCACCATGTTAGCCAGGCTGGTCTTGAACTCTTGACCTCAAGTGATCCACCCACCTCGGCCTCTCAAAATGCTGGGATTACAGGTGTGAGCCACCATGCCTGGCCCATACTCTTATCACTCTTATACTGTATCATTTGAAAACTAGTAGTACACATATATGAAATATTATTCATAGACTCCAGCTGATACAAATATGAACTGATACATCTTTTTAGTAATTCTGGAGTTTGAGAACTATTTTAACATGAATATGCAATAAACTGACCCTATATGCACAGGGTCTTCACTACCTGTGTGTTTGGGCACAGACATAGTGATTTTAGGTCAGTGCATAGGGTCACGATTTTAAGCACCTAGAAATAAGATGCCTTCATAGTTATATTTCAGATTAATGGAATGTAGGTCAGTATAGAAACATAGTTATCTTAAGGAAAGAGAATGGTCCCTAGATCAACAAGTCTAATTTTAGAAGAGGATAAGTATTTTAACAGACCTAAAAAATGTATAAAAAATTACCTTAGTAAGTGCTTTTTTATAAATTCGTAAATGCTTTTATCACCTTTTTCTAATCCAAGGTGATACTCTCCAAAGTAACAGATGCCATTATTTGTTTACATAAATGTCACATACAGCATAGACTATCTAATTCGAAAGTACAAATGTTAAAGTACAAAATTTCCTATGTATGATTATCATCCTTCTGATAATTATACGTTGAACTTCCTATCACCTGGTTACAACCAAGCTTCTACATTTCAATGTTTGATGCTATAATATGCAACAACACCTTGGTTATCTGTTTTGAGAGTGAAATGCTACCTATTAATACAGTAATTTTTTGGCTGCTGTAATTTCTCAGTAATGTAGATATGGTATAAAATTAACAAGCTGTCTTTCAGCCTGTCCTTATCACATGCTTTTTGTCTTTTTTTTTTTTTTTGAGATGGAGTCTCGCTCTGTCGCCCAGGCTGGAGTGCAGTGGCACGATCTTGGCTTGCTGCAACCTCTGCCTCCCGGGTTCAAGCGATTCTCCTGTCTCAGCCTCTCGAGTAGCTGGAATTACAGGCACCTGCCACCATGCTCAGCTAATTTTTGTATTCTTAGTAGAGACGGGGTTTCACCATATAGGTCAGGCTGGTCTCGAACTCCTGACCTCAGGTGATCTGCCTGCCTCAGCCTCCCAAAGTGCTGGGATTACAGGTGTGAGCCACCAAGCCCAGCCGCTTTTTGTCTTTTCAACCTGTGATTTATCTGTTTTAATGCACAGAAATCACTTAGCTTTGTACTGTTCATATACCACATGTCCCACTATTAAGAGTCTGGTATACACGGGCATCCTGACATTGTTCACTACCCTTTAATGTACTTTTGGCATAAACCTGTCACAGCTATTTAGATTGTTAAACACCTGCAGCAGCATACATTTATCAGCCAGAAATAAATCTGGACACCTTAGCATCTATTTAACCGTTAGCCCAACACTACAATAATCCCAAATCCCCTCTATCACACTTGCCTTTTTCTTAATCCTGTGTCATCAAGACTTAAAAATAGATCATTTTATCCTATCTACTCTATATAATCTTCAAAGATTTAAAAAAAAAAAAAAAAAAAAGAACTGTTGCTGGAGTATACAGCCAAGTTCTCTAAGAAATTCTTCCCATTCTGGCCAGGCACAGTGGCTCATGCTTGTAATCCCAGAACTTTGTGAGGCCGAGGTGGGCAGATCACAAGGTCAGGAGCTCGAGACCAGCCTGGCCAACATGGTGAAACTCCTTCTCTACCAAAAATACAAAAATTAGCTGAGCATGGTGGCAGGCGCCTATAAGCCCAGCTACTTGGGAAGCTGAGGCAGGAGAATTGCTTGAACCCAGGAGGCAGGGGTTGCAGTGAGCCAAGACTGTGCCATTGCATTCCAGCCTGGGCAACAAGAGTGAAACCCAGTCACAAAAAAAAGAACACCGAAAAAAGAAAAAAAAACAAAAAAAAAAAAACGATGGCTTACGTCTGTAATCCCAGCACTTTGGGAGGCCGAGGCAGGTGGATCACAAGGTCAGGAGATGGAGACCATCCTGGTTAACACGGTGAAACCCCATCTCTAGTAAAAATACAAAAAAAAATAGCCAGGTATGGTGGCAGGCGCCTGTAATCCCAGCTACTCGGGAGGCTGAGGCAGGAGAATGGTATGAACCCAGGAGGCGGAGCTTGCAGTGAGCCAAGATTGCACCACCGTACTCCAGCCTGGGGGATAGAGCGAGACTCCGTCTCAAAAAAAAAGAAAGAAATTATTCCCATTCTAATGAGCCATGAAAATTTTATAGAAGCCCTTACTTTATGATGACTATGCATCTATAACAATTATTCTCAACTCGTTCCAGTTATTCTGCTCCCAGTTGAGAATAACTGTTTTAGATGCATAGTCATCATAAATTTAAAATGGACATCATCACCTAATTCTTATTCAGGTTCTTTCTAGCTTGAAATACCTGCAAGTCTCTGAATATTGGTGGATAAAATGACAAAGATTCTATCAGAGCTCCTCTATCTTCCTAACTGCTCTTGGTCTTTGTTGATTCTTTCACTATCACTTGTTCCCTTATCCATGGGTACTATCCAAACTTTATCCTTTATTCTATCAATCCTAAGTATTAATCACAGGGCAGAAACTATTATCAGTTTTATGCTTTTATCTCTACACTTAATTTATTGGCGAATTCACCAACACAACTCCACAATAAACTAATTTTTCATGTATGCTTTTGTTTCTATCTGTAGTTGCTTAGAAATCTTCGACAATCGAATGTTGCACCATGAACTCAAAACGTCTGAACTAAACTCATCTTCAAACAAGAACTCCTTCTAAATGAACCTTTTATTCAGAGGTATCATTGAGTCTCCTAAGCTGGTTATCTTAAAGCTATTACCTCCCTCTTACCATTCCTTCATTCCCCCTTAGTCGAACTTTTTAAAAAATCCTTTTATTTGTCCTTTAAAAAGTCTTTCGTTGCCAGCTCATCTTTTCCAGTCCAAATGACACACTAATCAACTATATCTCATCGTTGACTACATATATATGCCTAAGTTACTGCCAAAAGCTCAAAACAGATTTTACCAAGTACAACTTCTCACCCTTCTACCCATCTTGCACACTGTTAACTAACCTTCCTTAAAAAAAACCTTACATATCACCCCCCTCTGCTCAAGAACCTAAACGATATAATGGATCAAACCTTTAACTCATTACTATGTTTTACGTTCTATCCTCAATGAAAGACCTCTGTTCCAATCAATTCAGGCTCACCGCTCCAGCAGAGATGAAGTTATTGCAAACTCTGCCTTTGTTCACTACTCCTTTCTTCCAAATGCTACTCCACCTTTCCTCTTCACTTATCTACTTATTAACTATTAATTCTTTTGTTGTTGTTGTTGGGGGATTAGGGACAGGGTCTCACTATGTTGCCAAGGCTGGTCTCAAACTCCTGGTCTCAGGCGATCCTCCTGCCTCAACCACCCAATGTGCTGGGGCCAGGTTCAGTGGCTCATGCTTGAAATTCCACCATTTGGGGAGGCCAAGGCAGGCAGATCGCTTGAACTCAGGGGTTCAAGATTAGCCTGGGCAACATGGCAAAACCTAGTATCTACAAAAATAAAAAACAAAACAAAACCAAGGTGCTGGGATTACAGGTGTGAGCCACCATACCTGGCCTACAGTACTATTATAAAGTTGTTAAAGTATTGTTTGCTTAACAAATAAAGGTCTTTTTCCAACTCAGGTATTCCACCTTATGTTACAGAAAAACACAACTGTAAAATTGTAAGAGGCTTCAGTTTTTACCAAATTGAAATTTGGTAAAATTTTGAGAAAATTTTGAGTTTTAAAATCTCAAAAGTTATTCAAATTTTTCAATTTCAGTAAGTCAATTCTAATTAATTTATCTCTTTAAAAAGTCTTCTGCAGTTACACACTTAATCTCTAAGTGTTTCATGTATTAGCTTTGTCTCACCACATATAAAACTACTTCAGGGCCAGGCGCAGTGGCTCACACCTGTAATCCCAGCACTTTCGGAGGCCAAGGCAGGTGAATCAACTGAGGTCAGGAGTTCGAGATCAGCCTGGCCAACATAGTGAAACCCAGTCTCTACTGAAAATACAAAAATTAGCCGGGCATGGTGGCGCACGCCTGTAGTCCCAGATACTCAGGACACTGTGGCAGGAGAATCACTTGAACCCAGGAGAAGGATGTTGACGTGAGCAGAGATCACACCACTGCACTCCAGCCTGGGGAAGAGAGTGAGACTCCGTCTCAAAAACAAAAACAAACAAACAAAAAAGAAAATTAATTCAGGACAAAGTCTGTCTTTCATAAAACTTATCTTCCCAACAGGTACCTTGCACATTTTAAGCATACATATCAGGCTGACTGATGAAAACATACATCCTCCTTAATGGCTTAAGTTGCCCTTTTTTTCTTTTCTTTGAGACAGGGTCTGGCTCTGTCACCCAGGCTGGAATGCAGTGATGTGATCATAGCTCACTGCAGCAGCCTCTATGTACCCAGCTCAAGGGATCCTCCTACCTCAGCCTCAGCCTCCCAAATGGTTGCGATTACAGCTACGTATCACCACACCCAGCTAATTTCTTTCATTTTTGGTAGAGACAAGGCCCCTCTATGTTGCCCACGCTGGTCTTGAACTTCTGGGCTCAAGCAATCCTCCTGCCTCAGCCTCCCAAAGTGCTGCAATTATAGCCATGAGGCACCGTGCCAAGTTGCCTTTTTTAAAAAAAAATTTGCCAGGCATGGTGGCTCACGCCTATAATCCCAGCACTTTGGGAGGCCAAGGCAGATCACCTAAGGTCAGGAGTTCAAGACCAGCCTGGCCAACATGGTGAAATCCCGCTTCTACTAGAAATAGAAAAATTTGCTGGGCATGGTTGCACATGCCTGTAATCCCAGCTACTCAGGAGGCTGAGGCAGGAGAATCGCTTGAACCCAGGAGGCAGAAGTTGCAGTGAGCTGAGATCACACCATTGTACTCCAGCCTGGGCAACAAGAGCGAAGCTCCATCTCAAAAAAACAAAAACAAAAACAAAAAAAAATTCATCCTCCTTTTTACCTGAAAGGACTACAGTTTCCAAGTAAAGCAATACCAATTCTTTGTTAAATAGTGAGAGTATATTTTGTATACTGCTTCCAACAATCTCTGTATTTAAAAAATACAATCTTGATATATATATATACACAAATATATATATATTTCTTTAATCAGAAATCAAGAGCTGGTAGTATAACAACATTTCACAATGATAAAATGGGAACTAATCTGCTATTATATAATGGTTAAAAGCATTAAGAGTAAAATCTGTTTCAGACAGACCTGTTTTCAACTCCAAACATCGTAATTTATCACCTGTGTAACACTAAGTGTTGCCATTTAACATCTCTAAACCTCAATTCCTTCACCTGTAAAGTGAGGGTAATAATAGTTATCAACCTTATTGGGTTGTTTTTATATAATCTATGTACACACAGTAAATGCTAACTATTACTATTATCAACAAAATTACCTCATGGTTTTGTTAAAAATCTGGAAATAATTACTTTAAAATGTGTGCAATTCCTTTATCTCCTTAATCTCTTTTAACAACAACCACACTATGCAAAAAGTTTGCCAATTTGTTCTATACGGAGTTATTATAATTTCAGGTTCAAATTCAAGTCAAAATTTCAGGTACAAATTTTGGATCAAATTATATTAATTAGAAAATTGAACTCACATCTGAACCAGAAGCTTTCATCATTGCATTCTGCGAAGACTCTCCTTTCTTCCTCTGTTGGAATGTAATCAGGCCCTATGTCTTTTTACCAGGGAAAATCAGAAAACATTAAATTATCCATAATAAAACTAGGTCTGAAAAATTATCTTAGCCTAAACATTAACAAGAGGCACCCATTTTTTAAACTCAAATAATAAAACAACTGGCTTATGCACTTTTTTTGTTTTTTGAGACAGTGTTTCACTCTTGTTGCCCAGGCTGGAGTGCAATGGCGCGATCTCGGCTCACTGCAACCTCCACCTCCCGGGGTTCAAGCGATTCTCCTGCCTCAGCCTTCCGAGTAGCTGGGATTACAGGCACCCATCACCACGCCAGGCTAATTTTTTGTATTTTAGTAGATACGGGGTTTCACCATGTTAGCCAGGCTAGTCTCGAACTCCTGACCTCAGGTGTTCCACCCATCTCAGCCTCCCAAAGTGCTGGGATTACAGGCATGAGCCACCGAGCCAGGCCACTTATACACTTTCAACAAACTTTGACTTCAAATAGAATTAATGCTACTATCTGCTAGTCAGGACTGGCTACCTAATGTGCTGGGCCCAGTGCAAAATAAAAACGTGGGACTCCTTATCCAAATGATTATGAATTTCAAGATAACAAGACTAGAACATGAAACCAAGTATGGGGCGCTGTCTGCACATGCCCATGAAGCCAGCCCACCTGCCACTGTTACTCAAGGCAGTGAAAATTCCTTTACATAGGAAGTGCTTCTAATTATAAATACTTAATAGATAGTTACGGGGAATTGGTCTTGGAACCTCTGCATTCGGCTCTCGAAAATCAGCCCTCCCATTCATCTTTCCTGTATCAAAAACATTACATATTAAGTATTAGAAACTATCACTAGATAGGTCAAAGTAAATCAAGACGTATGATATAGTAAAACTACTAGTCTACACAGCAATCAATCAACAAATATTTATTAAACACTACTATATCTTACGTACTCCACATGTAAATAGCTAGATGAAAAAGTAACAGACCTACTGATTAATTTGGAACTCACTATTCAGGTTAAGTCCCTTAATTGAAAAAGCATATGCGTTTTATAAGTTTATAATTTTTTTTACTATCAAGATATCAATAAAATAACAGACATATTTTTTCCTCCTGGAAGTGGGTTCTTTCACATCCTATGTTTTGGTCGTTTCTCGAATCTATGCCCAATGATTAGGATAATTCCCCAAAATAGAAGAGAAAAAAAATTTCAAGTCATTTCTGAGCTTCCATATTAAAAAATGAAATAATCATCAGAAACATTCAACCTCTCCCACAAAGGAGCACTCCAAAATTATGGAATAACAAAGACGACATATCCTTCTCCCTGTGAGGTAAAACTAACAGCAAATTCTGTATCTCCAAATTTCCTTCCACCCCAAGAATATAAGAAAAAAATGCATAAAATTCCAAGAATATACATTTTTTATTTGGTTCTTTTTTTAAAAACTCATATATTGGGACTCAGACCAACAGATCAAGTAACCGTATTTTACAGAACGTTTACGTGGGATCATGATTATTCTCATTTTAAAAACAATTTGCATGGAAACAGGAAATGGCATACACAATGAGGACAGCAACTGAGCCCTTCCATAATTCATTCAGTCAATAAGCCATGAAGGCCTACTACATGCCAACCCCTTAATTAGAGAAAAGAAATAAAAAAGGTCAGCTGAATTCATGGATGGATGGAGCCTGCTGAATAAACTACCTTTACCCTACAACCGTATGAGAAAAAATGAAACCCTCTTATTTCCCATAACGGCATCCTTCCTAGAAACACCAGGAAGACTGTCAGGGCTGACACGGCGCTTAAGACAATACCATTTTAAGTTCTTTACACAAAACAACGCTGGATTAAAGCCTAAGCGGCCTACAACCGCTGATTACCGCACTCCATCCTCCACCCAGTGTCCGTCTCCCACCTGCCGTTACAGACTGAGCAGCAACCCCACACGCATCCGTGACCACGAACTTCCCCAGCTCACACCCCCAGAAGCACTCCGTCGCCTCCCGCAGTCACCGGCACTCAGGAGGCCGAGACCCGAGCGCGATCTGTCCACCCTCACAGGCAGGAAAATGGCGGAAGGTGCGAAAGTCGTGGATGGCCGCAAAGGTGGTGAGGGGATACGCGGAGGGCAACAACGGGGCTGTTTGCGTCACCTCACCCACCTCCCGACGACAGCAGCAGGCGACTGCAAGGAAAACCAAGCGATCAGGGGCAGAAGGCCCGGAGGGTGGACTCGAGAGGGGGCAGGGAGGGAGAAAAGTGCAAGGTACCGCGGGGAGGGGGAGGGGTAGAACAGCCGCAAGAAGTCATCCAGACAGGGGCTCAAAATGACCGCGACCCGGAGGCACTGTATACTTACGGCAGGAAATGACGTCAGACCTCACTGCGGGTCTGAGAGCCAGCAGCCTAGGAATAGACGCATGCGTATACTCGTCCCTTTGCCCTTTCAGGCAGCTGCGGCCACGAGCCGCACTGCGACTGCGCAGGCGACAGCGGCGGACCAAGAACCCTGCCCCGCCCCTTCCCTGGATGGCGGGGAAGGGGGTTGGGAGTAGGCTTGACTTTGGGCTGTTGTGATGCACCTCTCTGGTCTTCTCGTGGCGGCTGGCGGGAACGTTCCGGAACCCTCTGTTGTCCCTCTTTTGAGAGCGACTTTATAAATTATCTCTTTTATGAGATAATTTCATTCTTTGAGCCTGTAGGCTAAGTAGTAGAAAGTAATTTTTAAGCATGCATACCTGGTTATTTGTCACACCCTCTTGATCCAAGTTTCCAACAAGTTCTACAACCTCTGGCAGGGTACCGTGATCTCTCTGAGGCTACGGTTTTTCTCACCTGAAAAGTGGAATTACATATAGGGTTGTTAGAATTAAAACAACACATCACTGTCTATTAATGAGGGGGCTCACGACTTCTACACATCAGACATGGTGCTGCCACACCCAGCCAATCAGCATTTTACTCATTTTCATACATTCCTTCCTGAAGTATTTATTAGTGCCATGTACTGCAAGTTATTAGTGACTAAACAGTGGGCAAATCCAGTCCTACTATTTGTCAACCCCTCAAAGCCTCTCAGGTTTCTCATCTCTTTCTGAGCCCCTTTGCCACTTTATCATTTAACATTTATTCTCCCGAAGACATACTTAAGGGAGACAGTCACGTGAAACGAATCCAACGCTGTGTTTCCTTCCTTGGAGTCTTTTGATAGCTCCAGTCATGCACCGAATATAAGGCCCATCATGGCCTGGTGGTGCCTGTGCCTTTTGAGCGTCACTTTCTTCTATTTCAGGGTTCACTAACAAGAAACAGCCTGGAGGTCTTTGCCCTCAGTGTTCTCTGTGCACTGTTTCCCCAGTACAACTCTACTCCCTGCTTTGTCAATTCTAACGATATTTCAAAATTCTGCTTTTACATCACCACCTTTGTGATGCCTTCCCTGAAATACACCCCAGAGAAGTAATCACTCTTCCTTCTTAGTCCTTAGCTTGTCCATACTGCTGTCACTGCAATGTACTTTTGCACTGAATAGTGATCTTTTTTACTTACGTCTGTCTCTGTTACAGAGCTCCTTTAGGACAGAGATGTTGGCTTGTAAGTCTTTATAGAACCAAATAAATCCCTGAGATAATCAGTATTAGTAACTAATACTCATTTTGTTCCTGGGACAAGCTAATTTACTTCTGGGCCCAGGGCTTGTGCAATTGCTGTTCCCTCTTCTAGACCACTGTTCTTCCAGATGTTCAACGTGGCTTTTTGTCTGAGACTTCAGTTGATGTCACCACATCAGAGAGGCATTCCTTGACCACCCAATTAACATGGCACCCCAGTCACTCTCCATGTTACCTTGCTTATTGTTTTCATAGTATTTGTTATGGTCTAAAACAATGATTTGTTTGTGTATTGTCTCTCTTCACTAAAAAGGTCTATGACAGTAGGAGCCGTATTTGCCTAGCATCAGTGATTGGCACATGATCATATGAAGCCAACAAATATTTCTTAAATGAATTTGTTGAATGCATTTTTATAGGAGAAAAAACAAAAATAAGAAAATTAAAAGACATTCTAGAAGAAACAAAAATAAAAAAATTAGAAGACATTCTAGGTGGTGAGCTTTATGTTAAAGCAAAGTTTTTTGTTGTTTTTTTTTTTAGGACAGGGCCTTGCTCTATTGTCTAGACCGTAGTACAGTGGTGCCATCTCGGCTCACTGCAACCTTCGCCTCCCAGATTCAAGCAATTCTTGTGCCTCAGCCTCCTGAGTAGCTGGGACCACAGGTGTGCACCACCACGCCCAGCTAATTTTTTTATTTGTAGAAGAGACAGAGTTTCACTACTTTACCAGCCTGGTCTCCAATTCCTGGCCTCAAGTGATCTGCCCACTTTGGCCTCCCGAAGTGCTGGGGTTATAGGCATGAGCCACTGCACCAACTTTAAAGCAAAGTCTTTTTCTTTGCTTCCTGACTAGATTGTAAGATTCCAGAATCCAGTTTTATCATATTCTTTATACTTACTGAGCCAGGCCTAACACATAGTGTGTCCTAAATTGGTGGGTTCTTGGTCTCACTGACTTCAAGAATGAAGCTGCGGACCCTCACGGTGAGCGTTACAGTTCTTAAAGATGGTGTGTCCAGACTTTGTTCCTTCTGATGTTCGGACATGCTCGGAGTTTATTCCTTCTGGTGGGTTCGTGGTCTTGCTGGCTTCAGGAGTGAAGCTGCAGACCTTCGCAGTGAGTGTTACAGCTCTTAAGGCGGTGCATCTGGAGTTGTTCATTCCTCCCGTCTGGAGTTGTTAATCCCTCCAGGTGGGTTCATGGTCTCACTGGCCTCAGGAGTGAAGTTGCAGACCTTCACAGTGAGTGTTACAGCTCATAAAGGTGGTGCAGACCCAAAGAGTGAGCAGCAGCAAGATTTATTGCAAAGAGCAAAAGAACAAAGCTTCCACAGTGTGGAAGGGGACCTGAGTGGGTTGCCGCTGCTGGCTCAAGAGGCCTGCTTTTATTCCCTTATCTGGCCCCACACACATCCTGCTGATTGGTCCATTGTACAGAGAGTTGATTGGTCCATTGTACAGAGAGCTGATTGGTCAATTTTGACAGGGTGCTGATTGGTGCATTTACAATCCATGAGCTAGACACAGAGTGCTGATTGGTGCATTTACAATCCTTTAGCTAGACACAAAAGTTCTCCAAGTCCCCACTAGATTAGGTAGACACAGAGCACTGATTGGTGCATTTACAAACCTTGAGCTAGACATAGGGTGCTGATTGGTGCATTTACAAACCTTTCCCTAGACATAAAAGTTCTCCAAGTCCCCACTAGATTAGCCAGACACAGAGCACTGATTGGTGCATTTACAAACCTTTAGGTAGACAAAGAGTGCTGATTGGTGCATTTACAATCCTCTAGTGAGACATAAAAGTTCTCCAAGTCCCCACCAGAGTAGCTAGATACAGAGTGCTGATTGGTGCATCTACAAACCCCGAGCTAGACACAGAGTGCTGATTGGTGCATACACAATCCTCCAGCTAGACATAAAAGTTCTCCAAGTCCCCACCCAACTCTGGAGCCCAGCTGGCTTCACCTAGTGGATCCCATGCCGGGGCTGCAGGTGGAGCTACCCGCCAGTCCCACGCCACGTGCCTGCAATAGCACATGGTAGATTGATAAGTCTATTTTCTGTTGCCCCCTAATTTCTCAGCAATTAATCAATAAATTGAGTTTCTGTTGATAAAAGACTATGAGCTCCTTCTGTGGGAACATATAGGATTCTAAAACATTCAAGTAAACTGTCACTTTGCATTTGTGCTGGCATTTAGAGGTTATTGAGTCTTTTGGTAATTTGGGTAATGCAACAATCAAAGAATTCAAACATAAATTGGGCAAGATCCAAAGACTTGCGGGAAGTCGATACACATTTGCTAGAGATGGGCTGTAGGATTTATTAGCCAACTCAGACTAATGTGTTCTAATCTGGAATGGTGAGATCACCAGAAATCGATCCACCTGGATTAAATTAAATCAACAGTCTTCATGATACCTCCATTGAGTTAAGATCTAATGAAATGTACCATAAGAAATTTCCACTTATTAGACATCACTTAAAAAAATTAATAATAAAGGGATAATTTATACTCATTAATGTATATAAATGAAATCAATGTAGTGAACTTCTACTTCATTTCAGTGTCAATAAAAGATTTATTTTCAAATGAACGCTTGAACTTCCATAATTGATAATTATTCAGCGATTATTCAAGCAATCATTATTCAATAAATTATTATTCAGCATATTTCTATTTATGTTCCATTAGAGCAGAACTTGTGTTTTATTAGTTCACCAGACTATCTAGTTTAACACATATTTATTATTCAAAATGTAGTGTCATAGAAGCCAAAGGAAAAGAATCTTCTAAGAAGGAAGAAATGGTCAATTATATCAAATGCTGGTAAGGATGGAGAACTATCCATTACATGCAGCAATAAAAAGGTTATTTATAACTTTTGCAAGTGTAGTTTTATTAAAATCTAGATTACAATGGGTTGAGAAAAGAGTGATTGGAGATAATGTGAGGAAAAGTGTACATTACTCTTTCTGGAAGTTTAGCTGTTTAGAGAAAGCAAGATAGAGTGGTAGCTGGAGGAAAAAATAAAAATGGATGAAGGTTATTTTTTGTTTTGGGTTTTTGCTTTTATGATTTTTAATTGACATAATAATTGTACATATTTATGGGGTACAACATGATATTTTGAAATATGTAAGTGTGTAATAATCAAATCAGAGTAACTAGCATATTCATTACCTCAATGTTTTTGTTTTTTAATTCCATAGGCTTTTAATTGTAATTGGCAAAGGGAAAGAACCACTAAAGAGAAGAATTGAAAATATAGTATTCCAGGAATACTATGCAGCCATAAAAAAGAATGAGTTCATGTCCTTTGTAGGGACATGGATGAAGCTGGAAACCATCATTCTCAGCAAACTATCGCAAGGACAGAAAACCAAACACCGCATGTTCTCACTCATAGGTGGGAATTGAACAATGAGAACACTCGGACACAGGGTGGGGAACATCACACACTGGGGCCTGTTGTGGGTTGTGGGGAGGGAGGAGGGATCGCATTAGGAGATATACCTAATGCTAAATTATGAGTTAATGGGTGCAGCACACCAACATGGCACATGTAAGCATATGTAACAAACCTGCACGTTGTTCACATGTACCCTAGAACTTAAAGTATAATTTAAAAAAAAAAGAAAATATAGGAGGGAGGCCAAGCACAGTAGCTCATGCCTGTAATCCCAGCACTTCGGGAGGCTGAGATGGGCGGATCACTTGATGTCAGGAGTTCAAGACCAGTCTGGCCAACACGGCGAAACCCTGTCTCTACCTAAAACTACAAAAATTAGCCAGGCGTGGTGGTGCATGCCTGTAATCCCAGCTACTGACAGGCTGAGGCAGAAGAATTGCTTGAACCCAGGAGGTGGAGGTTGCAGTGAGCCAAGATTGTACTACTGCACTCCAGCCTGGGCAACAGAGTGAGGCTCTTGTAAGATGGAAAGAAAGAAAGAAAAGAAAGAAAGAAAAAGAAAGTAAGAAAGAAAGAAGAGAGAGAAAGAGAGAGAAGGGAGGGAGGGAGGGAAAGAAAGAGAAAATACAAGAGCAAGAAGGGATAATTAATAGCATAGGGCGGATTTCTTAACTAATATTCCCATGGATGTGTTATAGGTATGCCACAAGCTATTGATTCACTCACTCAGCCTTTGCAGCAGTCTGTGGGCAGAGACCATGGGCCAGTTTCCTGCATTATAAGCAACCTTCTTTGGGGGTCCTCTGAGGTGATTTAGAGGAAAACAAAGTCTAATGGTATTCCTATGTACCCCAAAAGTGATGAGAATGATAAGCAAAATTCAGCTCTTCTTTCCCATACTAAATCTCAGAAAATTCAGCCAAAGGGCACGCTGCTGCCCATCATGGGCAAGGGGCCTATGGGGCTGCTGAAGATATTCATGTGTTAGATACCCTGGATGCATACCTAGATATTCATGTGTTAGATGACCTGGATTCATGTGTTAGATACCCTGGATGCATACCCTAGATACCCTGGATGCATGGGATGGCAGGAATCCCAAGGTGCAGCTAGTAGAGTGGGGGCACAAGGAGTCAGGACTGGGGCCCCAGGCAGGTGCAGCTCCAGGGAGTAACCCCAAGGAGCAAGCCCATATCTCAGTCTTCACATTAATTGGGCATGTCTGGACTTTTGGGGTTGAAATGTCCTTTTTGTGGTGTCCATGCCAGCTGCAGGGGATCTGCTCTCATAATGCAAATTACAGTTCCTTCATTATTTTGACTTATTTGAAATTAAAAACTCCAGCCAGGCGCAGTGGCTCATGCCTGTAAGTCCCAGTACTTTGGGATGCCAAGGTGGGCAGGTCATTTGAGCCCAGGAGTTCCAGACCCACCTGGGCAACATTGTGAAACCCTGTCTCTACTAAAAATACAAAAATTAACCAGATGTAGTGGTGCATGCCTGTAATCCCAGCTACTTGGGAGGCTGAGGTGGGAGGACCACTTCAGCCCAGGAGATCAAGGCTGCAGCAAGCTATGATTGCGCCACTGCACTCCAGCCTGAACAACAGAGCAAGACTCTGTCTAAAACAAAAAAGTTCATTTGAATTCAAAATTCACCTGAATTGTCATTCATTATATTTCTGTTACATTTCTTAATGAAAGAAAAGAGGCCAGTGCAGTGGGTGGTTCACACCTGGCCAAGGCAGGAGGATCGCTTGAGGCCAGGAGTTTGAGACCAGCCTGGGCAACATAAAAAGACCCTATCTCTAAAATAATAATAATAATAATAATAAGGTGGGTGTGCTAGTGCATGCCTGTAGTCCTAGCTACCCAGGAGGTGGAGGCGACAGGATCACTTGAGACCAGGAGTTCAGGGTTGCAGTGAGCTATGATTGTGCCTGTACACTCCAGCCTGAGCAACAGAATGAGGTCCCATCTCAAAAAAAGAAAAAGAAAAACAAAAACAGTTTTAGAGTCTTTGATGTAATTTCAATTGTAAATACTGAGTGGTTATTGCATTCAAAATTTCTTGTTAATGGAAACTATTAAAAATTCAGGCTGGGCGCAGTGGCTCACACCTGTAATCCCAGCACTTTGGGAGGCCAAGGCAGGTGGATTGCTTTGAGCTTAGGAGTTTGAGACTAGTGTGGGCAACACGGCAAAAACCCATCTCTACAAAAAAATACAAAAAATTAGCTGGGCATGATGGTGCTCATCTGTAGTCCCAGCTATTCAGGAGGCTGAAGTGGGAGGATCACTTGAGCCTGGGAGGCAGAGGTTGCAGTAAGCCAAGATCATGCCACTGCACTCCAGCCTGGGCAACAGAGTGAGGCCCTGTCTTAAAAACAAAACAAAAGAAGAATTCAAAGAAAGCCAGGTGTAGTGGCTCACTCCTGTAATCTGAATACTTTGGGAGGCCAAAGCAGAAGGATCACATGAGGCCAGGAGTTTGAGACCAGCCTGAGCAACATAGCAAGACTCCATCTCTACAAAAAAAAAAAAAAAAAAAAAAAGCCAGGCATTGTGGCACCCCTGCAGTCCTAGCTAATCTAGAGCATGAAGCAAGAGGATCACTTATGCCCAGGGATTTAAGGCTCCAGTGAGCTATGATAATGCCACTGCACTCCAGCCTGGGCAACAGAACAAGACCTTCTCTAAAAAAAAATTAAAAATAAATAAAAATAAAAGTAAATTCAAAGAGATCATCATTTAAAAAAGGAAATGTGTATAGCCATTTCAAATTTTTTTAAGTATTACAATATGTCTTTTTTTTTTTATTTTACTTTAAGTTCTGGGGTACATGTGGAGAACCTGCAGGTGTGTTACATAGGTATACAGGTGCCATGGTGGTTTGCTGCACCTGTCAACCTTCCATCTAGGTTTTAAACGCCGCATCCATTAGGTATTTGCCCTAACGCTCTCCCTCCCTTTGCCCCCTACCCCCCCACCAACAGGTCCCGGTGTGTGATGTTCCCCTCCCTGTGTCCATGTGTTCTCGCTGTTCAGCTCCCACTTATAAGTGAGAACATGCGGTGTTTGGTTTTCCGTTCCTGTGTTAGATTGCTGAAAATGATGGTTTCCAGCTTCAACCATGTACCTGCAAAGGACATGAACTCTTTCTTTTTTATGGCTCCATAGTATTCCATGGTATGTATGCGCCACATTTTCTTTATCCGGTCTATCATTGATGGGCATTTGGGTTGCTTCCATGACTTTGCTATTGTAAACAGTGCTGCAATAAACATACATGTGCATGTGTCTTCATAGTAGAATGATTTATAATCCTTTGGGTTTATACTGAGTAATGGGATTGCTGGGTCAAATGGTATTTCTTGTTCTAGATACTTGAGTAATTGCCACACTGTCTTCCACAATGGTTGAACTAATTTACACTCCCACCAACAGTGTAAAAGCGTTCCGATTTCTCCACAGCCTCACCAGCATCTGTTGTCTCCTGACTTTTTAATAATCACCATTCTGACTGGTGTAAGATGGTATCTCATTGTGGTTTTCATTTGCATTTCTCTAATGACCAGTGATGATGAGCATTTTTTTATATGTTTGTTGGCCACATAAATGTCTTCTTTTGAGAAGTGTCTGTTCGTATCCTTTGCCCACTTTTTGATGGGGTTGATTGTTTTTTCTTGTAAATTTAAGTTCCTTATAGATTCAGGGTATTAGACCTTTGTTGGAAGGGTAGCTTGCAAAAATTTTCTCCCATTCTGTAGGTTGCCTGTTCACTCTGATGATAGTTTTCTTTGCTGTGCAGAAGCTCTTCAGTTTAATTAGATCCCATTTGTCAATTTTGGCTTTTGTTGTGATTACTTTTGTGTTTTAGTCATGAAGTCTTTGCCCATGCCTATGTCCTGAATGGTACTGCCTATGTTTTCTTCTAAGGTTTTTATGATTTGGGGTTTTACATTTAAGTCTTTAATGCATCTTGAGTTAATTTTTACGTAAGATGTAAGGAAGTGGTCCAGTTTCTGTTTTCTGCATATGGCCAAGCCAGTTTTCCCAGCACCATTTATTAAATAGGGAATCCTTTCCCCATTGTTTGTTTTTGTCAGGTTTGTTGAAGATCAGATGGTTGTGATGCATGGTGTTATTTCTGAGGTCTCTGTTCTGTTCCGTTTGTCTATACATCTGTTTTGGTACCAGTACCATGCTGTTTTGGTTACTGTAGCCTTGTAGTATAGTTTGAAGTCAGATAGCATGATGCCTCCAGCTTTGTTCTTTTTGCTTAGGATTGTCTTGGCTATGTGGGCTCTTTTTTGGTTCCATATGAAATTTAAAGTAGTTTTTTCCAATTCTGTGAAGAAAGTCATTGGTAGCTTGATGGGAATAGCATTGAATCTATAAATTACCTTGGGCAGTGTGGCCATTTTCACAGTATTGATTGTTCCTATCCATGAGCATGGAATGTTTTTCCATTTGTTTGTGTCCTCTCGTATTTCCTTGAGCAGTGGTTTGTAGTTTTCCTTGAAGAGGTCCTTCACATCCCTTGTAAGTTGTATTCTTAGGTATTTTATTCTCTTTGTAGCAATTGTGAATGGGAGTTCACTCATGATTTAGCTATCTGCTTGTCTATTGTTGGTGTATAGGAATGCTTATGATTTTTGCACATTGATTTTGTATCCTGACACTTTGCTGAAGTTGCTTATCAGCTTAAGAATTTTTGGGCTGAGACAATGTGGTTTTCTAAATATACAACTATGTCATCTGCAAACAGAGACAATTTGACTTCCTCTTTTCCTATTTAAATACGTTTATTTCTTTCTCTTGCCTGATTGCCCTGGCCAGAACTTCCAATACTACGTTAAATAGGAATGATGAGAGAGGACACCCTTGTGCTGGTTTTCAAAGGGAATGCTTCCAGCTTTTGCCCATTCAGTATGATATTGGCTATGCGTTTGTCATAAATAGCTCTTATTATTTTGAGATATGTTCCATCCACACCTAGTTTATTGAGAGTTTTTAACATGAAGAGATGTTGAATTTTATCAAAGGCCTTTTCTGCATCCATTGAGATAATCATGTGGTTCTTGTCATTGGTTCTGTTTATGTGATGGATTACATTCATTGATTTGAGTATGTTGAACCAGCCTTGCATCCCAGGCATAAAGTCGACTTGATCGTGGTGGATAAGATTTTTAATGTGCTGCTCGATTTGGTTTGCCAGTATTTTATTGAGGATTTTCACATCAATATTCATCAGGGATATTGGCCAGAAATTTTCTTTTTTTGTTGTGTCTCTGCCAGGTTTTCATATCAGGATGATGCTGGCCTCATAAAATGAGTTAAGGAGGAGTCCTTCTTTTTCTATTGTTTGGAATAGTTTCAGAACGAATGGTACCAGCTCCTCCTTGTACCTCTGGTAGAATTCGGCTGTGAATTCGTCTGGTCCTGGGCTTTTGTTGGTTGGTAGGCTATTAATTACTGCCTCAATTTCAGAACTTGTTATTGGTCTATTCAGGGAGTCTACTTCTTCCTGGGTTAGTCTTGAAAGTGTGTATGTGTCCAGGAATTTATCCATTTCTTCTAGATTTTCTGGGTTTATTTGCATAGTGGTGTTTATAGTATTCTCTGATGGTAGTTTGTATTTCTGTGGAATCAGTGGTGATATCACCTTTATCATTTTTTATTGTGTCTATTTGATTCTTCTCTCTTTTCTTTATTAGTCTAGCTAGTGGTCCATCTATTTGGTTAATCTTTTCAAAAAACCAGCTCCTGGATTCATTGAATTTTTGAAGGGTTTTTCATGTCTCTATCTCCTTCAGTTCTGCTCTGATCTTAGTTATTTCTTGTTTTCTGCTAGCTTTTGAATTTGTTTGCTCTTGCTTCTTTCATTCTTTTAATTGTGATGTTAGTGTGTTGATTTTAGACCTTTCCAGCTTTCTGTTGTGGGCATTAAGTGCTATAAATTTTCCTCTTAACACCACTTTAGCTGTGTCCCAGAGATTCTAGTATGTTGTTTCTTTGTCCTCATTGGTTTCAAAAAACTCATTTATTTCTGCCTTAATTTTGTTATTTACCCAGTACTCATTCAGGAGGAGATTGTTCAATTTCCATGTAGTTGTGCGGATTTGAGTGACTTTCTTAATCCTGAGTTCTGATTAGATTGCACTGTGGTCTGAGAGACTGTTTGTTATGATTTCCATTCTTTTGCATTTGCTAAGGAGGGTTTTACTTCCAATTATGTGATCGATTTTAGAATACGTGCTATGTGGTGCTGAGAAGAATGTATACTCCGTTGATTTGGGTTGGAGAGTTCTGTAGATGTCTATTAGGTCCCATTGGTCCAGAGCTGAATTCACATCCTGAATATCCTTGTTAATTATCTGTCTCATTGATCTGTCTAATATTGACAGTGGGGTGTTAAAGTCTCCCATTATTATTGCGTGGGAGTCCAAGTCTCTTTGTAGGTCTCTAAGAACTTGTTTTATGAATCTGAGTGCTCCTGTATTGGTTGCATATATACTTAGCTCTTCTTGATGTATTGATCCCTTTACCGTAATGTAATGCCCTTCTTTGTCTTTTTTTATCTTTGTTGGTTTAAAGTCTGTTTTATCAGAGACTGGGATTGCAACCCCTCCTTTTTTTTTTTTTTTTTTTTTTTTTTTTGCGCTTGGTAAATATTCCTCCGTCTCTTTATTTTGAGCCTATGTGTGTCTTTGCACGTGAGATGGGTCTCTTCAATATAGCACACTGAGGGGTCTTGACTCTTTATCCAATTTGCCAGTCTGTGTCTTTTAATTGGGGCATTTAGCCCATTTACACTGAAGGCTAACATTGTTATGTGTGAATTTGATCCTGCCATCATAATGTTAGCTGGTTATTTTGCACATTAATTGATGCAGTTTCTTCATAGTGTCATTGGTCTTTATATTTTGGGTTGTTTTTGCAGTGGCTGGTACCAGTTTTTCCTTTCCATATTTAGTGCTTCCTTCAGGAGCTCTTGTAAGGCAGACCTAGTGGTGAGAAAAATCCCTCAGCATTTGCTTGTCTGTATAGGATTTTGTTACTCCTTTTCTTATGAAGCTTAGTTTGGCTAGATATTAAGGATGCTGAATGTTGGCCTGCACTCTCTTCTGGCTTGTAGGGTTTCTGCAGAGAGATCCACTGTTAGTCTGATGGGCTTCCCTTTGTAGGTGACCTGACCTTTCTCTCTGGCTGCCCTTAACATTTTTTTCCTTCGTTTTCATGTTGGAGAATCTGACCATTATGTGTCTCGGGGTTTCTCTTCTTGAGGAGTGTCTTAGTGGTGTTCTCTGTATTTCCTGAATTTGAATGTTGGCCTGTCTTGCTAGGTTGGGGAAGTCTTGTGGATAATACCCTGAAGTGTATTCTTCAACTTGGTTCCATTCTCCCTATCACTTTCAGGTACACCAATCAATTGTAGGTTTGGTCTTTTCACATAGTCACATATTTCTTGAAGGTTTTTTTCATTCCTTTTCATTATTTTTTCTCTAATCTTGTCTTCATCCCTTATTCCGTTAAGTTGATCTTTAATATCCAATATCCTTTCTTCCGCTTGATCAATTCAGCTATTGATACTTGTGTATGCTTCACAAAGTTCTCCTGCTGTGTTTTTCAGCTCCATAAGGTCATTTATGTTCCTCTCTAAACTGGTTATTCTAGTTAGCAGTTCCTGTAACCTTTATCAAGGTTCTTAGCTTCCTTGCATTGGGTAGGAACATGCTCCTTTAGCTCAGAGGAGTTTGTTATTACCCATCTTCTGAAGCCCACTTCTGTCAATTCATCAAACTCATTCTCCGTCCAGTTTTGTGCCCTTGCTGGAGAGGAGTAGAGATCATTTGGAGGAGAATAGGCCTTCTGGTTTTTGGAATTTCCTGCATTTTTGCACTGCTTTTTCCTCATCTTCGTGGATTTATCTACCTTTGATCTTTGAGGCTGATGATCTTTGGATGGAGTCTTTACGTGGGGGTCCTTTATGCTGATGTTGATGTTGTGGCTTTCTGTTCGTTAGTTTTTCTTCTAGCAGTCAAGACCCTCTTCTGCAGGTCTGCTGCAGCTTGCTGGAGGTGCACTCCAGACCCTGTTCACCTGGGTATCACCAGTAGAGCCTGCAGAACAACAAAGATTTCTGCCTGCTCCTTTCTCTGGAAGTTTCGTCCCAGAGGGGCACTGGCCTGATATCAGCTGGAGCTCTCCTGTAAGAGGTGTCTGTCAACCCATGTTGGGAGGTTATTCCCAGTCAGGAGGCACAGAGGTCAGGGACCCACTTGAGAAGGCAGTCTGTCCCTTAGAAGAGCTGGTGCACTGCGCTGGGAGAATCCCTTTTGTCAGGATCAGCTGCTCTCTTCAGAGCCAGCAAGCAGGAATGATTAAATCCGCTGAAGCTGCGCCCACAACCACCCCTTCCCCCAGGTGCTCTATCCCAGGGAGATGGGGGTTTTGTCTGTAAGTCCCTGACTAGGGCTGTTACCTTTCCTTCAGAGATGCCCAGTGAGGAGAAATCTAGAGAAGCAGTCTGGCCACAGCTGCTTTGCCACACCCAGCCCAGAGCACCCAGCCTCCTGAGCAATGTCAGGAGAAAACTGCCTTCTAAAATGTCAGTAATGGCAGATGCCCCTCCCCACACCAAGCTCGATTATTCCAAGTTGTCTTCAGACTGCTGTGCTGGCAGCAAGAATTTCAAGCCAGTGGTTCTTAGCTTGCTCGGCTCCATGGAAGTGGAACCCACTGAGCTAGACCACTTGGCTTCCTGGCTTCAGCCCCCTTTCCAGGGGAGTAAACAATTCTGTCTCACTGGTGTTCCAGGCCCCACTGGGGTATGAAAAAATACTTCTGCAGTTAGCTCGGTGTCTGCCCAAACAGCCCCCCAGTTTTGTGCTTGAAACCCAGGGGCCTGGTGGGAATCTCCTGATCTGCAGAGTGCAAAAACCATGGAAAAAGTGTAGTAACCCGGCTGGGTAGCACAGTCCCAGGTGCCACTGGGGGTATGAAAAAATACTTCTACAGCTAGCTCAGTGTCTGCCCAAACAGCCGCCCAGTTTTGTGCTTGAAACCCAGGGCCCCGGTAGGAATCTCCTGATCTGCAGATTGCAAAAACCGTGGAAAAAGTGTAGTAACCCAGCTGGGTAGCACAGTCCCTCATGGCTTCCCTTGGCTAGGGGAGGGAGGTTCCTGGCTCCTTACACTTCCCGGGTGAAGCAACGCCCCACACTGCTTCTGCTTACTCTCCATGAGTTGGACCCACTGCCTAACCAGTCCCAGTGAGATGAACTGGGTGCCTCAGCTGGAAATGCAGAAATCAACCACCTTCTGCGTTGGTCTTGCTGGGAGCTGCAGGCCAGAGCTGTTCCTATTCAGCCATCTTGGCCCCTCTCCCACCCCTTTTTTTGGGGAGGAGGGAGTCTCGCTCTGTCACCCAGGCTGGAGTGCAGTGGCCCAATCTCCACTCACTGCAACCTCCACCTCCCAGATTCAAGCGATTCTCTTCTCTCAGCCTCCCGAGTAGCAGGATCACAGGTGTGTGCCACCATGCCCAGCTAATTTTTGTATTTTTAGTAGAGACAGGGTTTCGCCATGTTGGTCAGGCTGGTCTCAAACTCCTGATCTCGGGTGTTCCTCCTGCCTTGGCCTCCCAAAGTGCTGGGGTTACAGGCGTGAGCCACGGTGCCCTGCCACCGTTTCAAATTTAAGCCTAATAATAAACAGTTAAGAAGTTGTATTTTGAGAAGCAAGCCCAAGTTTTAAAAGATATTATTTCAAAGTTTTATAAAAGTCAATATTTATTCAACAAAAGCCAGTATTTATTATCTTCCTTTTTTTTTTTTTCCTTTTAGACGGACTCTTGCTCTGTTGCCAGGCTGGAGTGCAGTGGCGTGATCTCAGATCACTGCAACCTCCGCCTCCCAGGTTCAAGCGATTCCCCTGCCTCGGCCTCCTGAGTAGCTGGGACTACAGGCATGTGCCACCATGCCCAGCTAATTTTTTGGCCAGGATGGTCTCAATCTCTTGACTATATTTTGTATTTTTAATTGCCATTAGCATATATCAACTAAGCGCTATATAGATGTCCTGATCGCCTCCAGTTTATTCTAATGAACTGCACAAAGATTAGCGTTTTTCTATGTGTGCCATGATATTAAAAAGATTGGGACATATTGGCATAGAATGTCTAAACAGAGAGAGAGCGAGAAATGCACAGGTGGATAAGTCGACATAAATGGGAGAAGGGCTTACCCATCCTGTGTGACTAGCAGGAAGAAGGTAATGAAAGTTATAGAATACAGGCCACTTTATACATTTGTGACAGAAAGACAAAGTAGTTGAAGATATTGGCAAGAGAATGGTTGAAATTATTGGCAATGGAATTGAAGCTAAGTAGGGATGAAAAGAAAACAATCAGATAGGGATAAAATTAAGAGTATCAAAGATCTAGTAGTCAGTATGATGCCAAAGAACAGGTATGTGCGGGATTACCTATGTGGGAGAGCTGAAAGAATATGATGTTGACTAGATGGTGGAATGTAAATATTTCATATTCAATGAATTTATGCCTTGGCCACAAAAAGCTTTGTTGTCATTAAAACAGAGGCGATGGGAAGTGAAAGGGAAAGTCATTTGCGACCCTGGGGTTTCTGAGCTGCTGTCTAGTTCAACAGTTTGATTTCCTCCAAGCCAGTGGAGTAGAGATTTGAGAATTTTACAAGAACTGAGATAGCCCTGTCTACATTATCAGAATCTAGTTCAGTTCATGAGTCACAGAAGTAAATATTTGTTCATATGTCAGATCTACTGTAGTTTTCAGACTTTTATCAAACTGCAGCACTTCTTAAAGATCCTCCAAAAAGCAGGCTTACCAAGAAATGTAAATTCCCTGGCAGGTTTTGCAGGTCATTCCAAAAAAGCATAGTTTCATGCAAATGAAGTTTCAAGACAATTACCTCCCAGCTATTTCTTGCAAATACATTGTCAATCCTGAGTCTTGTCTAGAGAGAAATCTTGCATCTGCCACTGTGTGAATTTCTTCTAGAAATAATTTATTCTTTTCTTTTTTTTGAGATGGAGTCTCACACTGTTCCCCGGGCTGGAGTGTGGCGCGACCTCAGATCACTGCAACCTCCGCCTTCTGGTTTCAAGCAATTCTCCTGCCTCAGTCTCCTGACTAGCTGGGATTACAGGTGCACACCACCACATCCGGGTAATTTTTTGTATTTTTAGTAGAGATGGGGTTTCACTATGTTGGCCAGACTGGTCTCGAACTCCTGACCTCATGATCTGCCCACCTCAGCCTCCCAAAGTGCTGAGATTACAGGCGTGAGCCACTGCACCCAGCCTCTTCTAGAAATGGTTTAAGAGGACTTCACAAATCCTGGACTCCCAGAATGTATCTTAATATATAGACTATTATTTTGAGGCATATTTTGTTCTTGTTTTCCTTTTTTCAGCAGAAGATGAAGAGAAGCATCAATAAAATCATGGAGCCCATGTGTCAGTATGAATATGAACCTAAGAAGAATCTATTAATACCTCTGAGATACTAAATCATATAAAGTTATAAAGTACCTAACACAGCATCCAGGACTTGGTTTGCATGCAGAAAATGTGAGTTCTTTTTTGTTTTTCTTGAAGATTTAAAGTACTAGAAAGGAGTTTGGAAAAGAGAGAGAGAGAGGTAAGCATAAAAGTGATATAGCCTATATTGTTAATTTAGAACCATTCCCGGTAAACTATTGCAAATAATTTGTCTAACTTTGTAATTAAAATTTAAAACAAAAAGTTTATTTTTAAGGGGAAAATAGGGCTTCCAGTGATCATTATTCCAGCTCTAATCGATGCTGTTGTGTAAATTATGTTATTTTTGTTTTTGCCTTAATTCCAGCTCTATCTCCAATATTCTGAGTATTGCATTCAAACACCAATCTGTCTACTTTGTTATAAATATGAAGAGTCAGCTCTCAGTCAAAAGTTAGAGGAGAGTTTTTTCCACGTCTAGGTGACTTTATAATTTCACTATAACAAATATTTGAAAAAAAAAAAAAAAGGCTTTCTGAATAGCCATACTCTGCTTTTCTTTCTTGGACAGTTTCATTTTCAGGCAGAGGCAAGGATTAAAAAAAAAAAAAAAACCCCTCCACAGGAGGTGACCCTTTCTACAGTGCTCCTCATGCTGTCAATCAAACCGAGAACCATCTGTCCCTCTTTAGATTTCAGGAGCCATCTTGCACATCTGCTGTGCCTTTTCTATTGCCACTTATAGAACACACTAAGAGCTGTTAGATGAATTAGGGGAACCAGAGTGCAGCTGCATGTAGCTGGTTTGAATTTTGCAGCTGGGTCCTACACATCAATCTCAGTCTTAAAAAATTTTTTTAATGAGATTAGAACTACAAAATTATTTATTTATTAATAGTAACTTCTAAGAAAGTGGGTCTTAAATTTTTATTCTCTGAAAGTTTAAAACATATATTTTTACAACTCTCACCAAATGTTTAAAATTCAAGCCAACTGTAACATTTAAATAGTTATTCACGAGCTCCTCTTAAGAAAAAGTGTCACATGAAAAAAAGTTTTTAAAACTTTGACATAAGCCAAATACTTTCTGATATAGAAGTAAGTTTGATGCCTGTTATAGAAATGCTAGAAGTTTGCAGGCCACAAAACTAAAATATTAGCAGCTTTAGGCCAGTTTTTGTTTGTTTGTTTCCCCTTTGGGACAGGGTCTCACTCTGTCACCCAGGCTGGAGCACAGTGGATCTGATCCCCAGTTCACTGCAACCTCCACCTCCCCGGCTCAAGTGAGCCTCCCATCTCAGCCTCCCAAGTAGCTGGGACTACAGGCACATGCCACTACGCCCAACTAATTTTTGTATTTTTTGTAGAGACGGGATATCACCATGTTGCCCAGGCTGGCCTCAAACTCTTGAGTTCAGGCGATCCACTCACCTCCGCCTCCCAAGGAGCTGGGATTACAGGCGTGAGCCACCACCCCCAACCAGTTGCTGCAGCATTTTCATATGCCTGTAGGATAACACTTACCACATCACAATTGTTTGTTTACCTGTTTTGCCCACAATACTGATTCTTACAAGTAAAGGGAACCCCCACACCATATCAACAGTATCACGTATACCAGACTCTTTCAAAAATGTTTCATTAAATGAAAAATCATAATATGTAATAGAAAAAGTGTTGCGATATTTCTTGAAAGATGCAATCGGAATTCCACAGGCTCTTAACTTGACATCCATCCCGCATCATGCCAGATAGAGGTCATGACAAGAGCCTGTGGAATTCTTCTGCACCTGTACCCGTATAGTATGTTTTCCTCTATGACACACACAGCTCTTCTGCCTGTGCTCCTATCCAAGACCAGCCCTGTACTTGAGAGGTAGATTCCATCCTCTCTCACCTACTCAAGGTATTCACCTACTCAAGGTACCCACCTCTAGCAGTTCGACCCATTCTGTCTCCCATCCTTGGTTTCTCTTCACTGTAAGAAAATTCCCATCAGCTTATGAACAAGTTATGATTCTCAGCTTTAACAGCAAGAAAAATCCCAAAGCTTTTCTTGACCTCACATTCTCATTTTTTTGCTCTTTTATGGCAAAACTCCTTGAAAGAATTATCTCTACTTCCTGTGTCCAATTCCTCTCTTCCCAGTCTCTCTTGGGCTCACTCCAAACACTTTTACCCTAAGCAAATGTCCTTGTCAAAGTCTCCATGACCTTTGTGTTATTAAATCAATCTTTCAATTCTCTATCCTTGTATTATGCGACCTATTCTAAAGCGTTTGACAGTCAATCACTCCTTTATTCTCTTCTCTTGTTCCAAAATTTGGCCCCCTTTTCTTTTTTCCCTCTATCTAACTGACCACTCTTTTTCAGTTTCCTTTGCTGGTTCTTTCTTGTCTTTCTGATTTCCAAATTTTGGGGTGCACTTTGACTCAGACAGGCCTTGGACATCTCGGTAGCCACTTTCTTGGTAACCTCTGGTGTCAAGGCTTTAAATACCATATCATAAATGCCAAATTTAGTTTTCTTTTTCTTTTCTTTTTTTTTTTTTTTTTTTTTTTTTTTTTTTTTTGAGACCAACTCTCACTCTGTTGCCCAGACTGGAGTGCAGTGGCATGATTTCGGCTCACTGCAACCTCCACCTCCTGGGTTCAAGCTATTCTCCTGCCTCAGCCTCCCAAGTAGCTGGGAATACAGGCATGCATCACCAAGCCTGGCTAATTTTTTTGTATTTTTAGTAGAGATAGGGTTTCACCCTTGGCCAGGCTGGTCTTGAACTCCTGACCTCAATGATCCACCCGCCTCAGCCTCCCAAAGTGCTGGGATTACAGGCATGAGCCACTGTGCCCAGCCCCAAATTTAGTTTTCTAGTATAGACCTCTCTCTGGAACTTCAGACACATATGTCTGCCTACATGTATCTAATTTGCATCTCAAACTTTACATACCTCAAACCAAATTCCTGGTCTTTGACACCACAACAGAAAAAAAAAATGAAACTTTTCTTTTCAGTCTTCCTCATCTTCTTCATCTCATTTGAAAGCTATTCCTCTTTCCATTTCATTTGACTAAAATCTGTGGAGGCATCCTTGACTCTTCTTTCTCTCTCACTCTACATAAAATTTCTTTGTGACTCCTATTGGATTTATCTTCAAAGTATATCCATAATCTGATCCCTTCTCATTATTATTGTTATTATTACTTTGAGACAGGATCTCACTCTGCTACCCAGACTGTAGTGCAGTGGCATGATCTTGGCTCACTGGAACCTCCACCTCCCAGGCTCAGTAATGGTGAATTGTATTATGCAGATATCTGAGAGCAATTACATAGAGCCTAAGATGGGTACCTGCTTGGCATGTTTGAGAAAATGCAAGAGCAGTGCTGCTGGAGTGTAATTAATGAGGAAAAGAATGGTGGAGTATAAGGTCTGGAGGAAAGGAAGAGAAAGACTGCAGGGCCTCCTATGCCATTGTAAAGACTTTGGCTTTTATTGGAGAAATGGGAAGCCATTTGGAGGGTCTGAGCAAAGGAGTGGCTATCTGACTTGGATTTTAACAAGATCACTCTGGCTACTGTGTTAAGAGTAAAGTGAAACAAGACGTGGAGGCCAGTTAGGGGACTTCTGCAATAAGTTAGGCAAGAGATCACGATGATGTGAATCAATGTGGTAGTGGGAGATCTAATGAGAAGGGATCAGGCCAGGTGCAATGGTTCACGCCTGTAATGCCAGCACTTTGGGAGTCCAAGGTGGATGGATGGCCTGAGCTCAAGAGTTTGAGACCAGCCTGGACAACATGACAAAACTCTGTCTCTATTAAAAACACAAAAAATTAGCCAGACATGGTAGTGTGTGCCTGTGGTCCCAACTACTTGTAGGGCTGAGGTGAGAGGATCATGCCACTGCATTCCAGCCTGGGCAACAGAGTGAGACTCCGTCTCAAAAAAAAAAAAAAAAAAAGAAAGAAAGAAAGAAAAAAGAAAATTGCAACTCCTCTCTTCTTTATCTCCCATCCTCAATCACTACCCACTGCAGACATTTCCTATCCCCCTTCTATTTCCTGCCTTTTTTTCCTCCACTTCGGTAGCACTTACTACAGTCTAACCTCTTGTTTTACTTATTCCTTGTCTCTCTCTAGGTAAGCACCATGAGGCAGGATTTTAATTTTTTTCCCTGATGCATCCCTAGTGCCTAGAACAGTGCCTGACGCTCAGGTGCTCAACTAATATTTCCTAAAAGACTAAATAAATAAATAAATTGTAGTCATTGGTGAGTATATATCATATGCCAGGGACAGATAAGAGAATCCCTTGAGCCCACGAAGTTCGAGGTCTGCCTGGACAATGCAGCAAGATCTCATCTCTTTTTTTTTTTTTTTTTTTTTTTGAGATGGAGTCTCACTCTGTCACCCAGGTTGGAGTGCAGTGGTGCGATCTTGGCTCACTGCAAGCTCCACCTCCCGGGTTCACGCCATTCTCCTGCCTCGGCCTCCCGAGTAGCTGGGACTACAGGCACCCGCCACCGCGCCCGGCTAATTTTTTGTGTTTTTAGTAGAGACGGGTTTTCACCGTGTTAGCCAGGATGGTTTCGATCTCCTGACCTCGTGATCCACCCGCCTCGGCCTCCCAAAGTGCTGGGATCTCATCTCTTAAACACACACACACACCGAGTTCCTAAAAAGCTAACGCACTCTGCTCCTAAAAATCTAGATTTTTTTGGCAGAGATAATAATAATATCTAATATTTCGCAAGCACCAGGCACTGTTCTAAGAATGTTACATGTATCATTTCATTTAGTTCTCAAAATAAGAGGTGGATACTATTAAATAATATTTTACAAACAAGGGGACCAAAGCACTGAAATTAAGAAGCACACTCAATGTCACAGAGCTAGTAACCAGTGATACTAGGATTCAAATCCATACGGTCTGATTTTGGAACTCATATAGTTAAGTACTTAAGTCTGCAACATATAATGCAATAAGTCACTACTGTGATTAAAGGGAGCCTAGGTTATTAGAGGAAAACATAGCAGGGCAAACTTTCTGGGAAAGGTGATTTTGAGGGACCACAATTAGTTAGCCAAGGGAAGAACAAAGGAATGGGTGCTTAGGGCAGAAAGTGCAGCATATGCACCAACAGGTGAAAGAGTGGGGTGCTTGGGCATCCTACAAATGTTATTAGTAATAGCTAGAGAATAAAGTGGCAGAGAGAAGGTGATAAGAGCTGATAAGGTAGACAGAGGCCGTATCATGAAGGGCCTCAAATGTCATAGTTAGGATTTTACATTTTAACTTTTTTTATTTATTTTTATTTATTTATTTATTTTGAGACAGAGTCTCACTCTGTCACCCAGGCCAGAGTGCAGTGGCGCAATCTTGACTCACCGCAACCTCCACCTGCCGGGTTCAAGCAGTACTCCCTGCCTCAGCCTCCCTAAGTAGCTGGGATTATTGGCGCCCACCACCGCTCCCAGTTAATTTTTTTGTATTTGTAGTAGAGATGGGGTTTCGCCAAGTTGGCCAGGCTGGTCTCAAACTCCTGACCTCAGGTGATCCGCCCACCTTGGCCTCCCAAAATGCTGGGATTACAGGCGTGAGCCACCGCGCCTGGCCTTTACATTTTTATCTTGAAGGCAATAGGGAAGCCATAGATGGATTTTAAACAAGGAAATGGAAATAAAATAAGGTTTGAATTGTAGAAAAATCACTATGAGCTGTGTAGGTAACAGATTAAATTAAAGGAAAGGAAAACAGCTATATTAACTAAGGCTGTTTTAGTAATACAAGGAAAAAAATGAAGGCTTGAACTAAGATGGTTGAAGTGGTGATGAATACAGGTGAACAGATTTAAGAAATCATAAAAACATATAATCAAAAGGACGTGGTTACCAACTAAGGAGGGTTGTTAAAGAGGAAGAGGACAAGAATGACTCTCAGGTTTGGTAACAGTACTGGGTGGTAGAACCCCTGACTGCCATAGAGAATACTAGAGGGAGAAAATTTTGATTGAGGGAGAGAAGTATATCAGCTGAGTGCTGGATGTGCTGAGTTTACAATTGTCTTAGTTTCTTTGTGCTGCTATAATAGAATACCACAGGCTGGGTAATTTACCAAAAACAGAAATTTATATCATATAGTTCTGGAGGCTGGGAAGTCCAAGATCAATGCACCAGCAGGTTCAATTGTACGGTGAGGGCTGCATTCTTCAGAGGGGAGGAACACTATGTTTTCATGTGGAGGAATGGGTTAGGGCAAGCCAGCCAAATGCTGCAATGCCTCTTCTGTAAGGTCCTTAATCCCATTAATAAGGGAGCAGCCCTCAGGGGATTATCCCTTGAGGCACCATCTTTTTCCTTTTTTTTTTCTTTGTTTTTTGTTTTTTGGAAGTAAGGTCTCACCCTGTCACCCAGGCTGGAGTGCAGTGGTGCAATCACCATTCACTGTAGCCTCAGACTCTCAGGCTCAGGTAGTTGAACCACCTCAGCTTCCTGAGTAGCTGGGATTACAGATGCATGCCACCACACCCAGCTAATTTTTTTGTATTTTTTGTAGAGATGAGGTTTCACCACCTGGTCCAGTCTGGTCTTGAACTCCTGGGCTCAAGTGATCCTCCTGCCTTGGCCTCCCAAAGTGCTGGGCTTATGGGCTTGAGCCACTGTACTTGGCTAGCCCCATGTCTTAATATCATCACATTTGCAACATCTGGGTTTTGGAGAGAGTATACACAAAACATAGCAGAATACCCAAGTGGAGAGCTGTAGTGAACAGTTGGATGTATTTGTCTGGAGTTACTAGCTCTATGACACTGAGTATGCTTAGGTCCCCTTGTTTATAAAAATAGTATTTTAATAGTATCCACCTCTTATTTTGAGAACTAAATAAAATGATACATGTAAAATTATTCTGATACAAAGTGACAGTGCCGATCTGGGGCTCAGGAAAACATCCGGTCTAGAGACATCAGGCCATAGATGAAGTTGATGTCATAGTAGCAAAAGAGTGAAATGAACCCTGGGAAACACCCACGTTTGAAGCAGTGGCTTTGAGCATCAAATCACCTTGGGAAGTTTTTAAAAATACAGATTCTCTGGAGCCCCTCCCCAAATCTACTGAAGCAGAATCATCAGAGATGAGAAGAAGGAATCTAAATTTTTAAGTGCTCTCAGTTGATTTTGCTTGGGCCAGCCTGCAACCGGAAACCAGTGATTAAAATGATGGAAAGAAGAGATCAAGAAACATACTTTTAAAAAAAGGCAAGAAAGAAAGGGAATTAATATTAATGCCTAACATTTATTACACACTTAGTATGAGTCAGGTACTGTTCTAAACACTTTAGAGCAATATAATATGAATCCTTATAACAACCTGATAGATACTTGGTACTATTATCCTCACTCTATAGATGAGGAAGTTGAGATACAAGGGCGGCATGTAATTTACTGAAGTTCATATTGCTAATAAGTAGTAGATCCAGGATTTAGATCTAGTCCATGCTCTAGATTAGTGCCTCTCAGATTTTTTTTTTTTTCTTTTTGAGACAGGATCTTGCTCTTCACCCAGGCTGGAGTGCAGTGGCTCAATCGTAGCTCACTATAAACCTGAACTGCTCCTGAGCTCCCACTCAGACCTGCTCAATCAGAACCTGCATTTTAAACAAATTCATAAGCACTGTAGTCCCAGCTACTCAGGAGGTTGAGGCAGGAGGATCACTTGAGGCTACAAGTTTGAGACTAGCATGGGTAACATATCGAGACTCTGTCTCTACAAAAAAATTGAAAAATATAGCCACCTGTTGGTGGTGTGTGCCTGTGGTCCCAGCTACCCCAGAGGCTGAGGCAGGAGAATCGCTTGAGCCCAGGAGTTTGAGGCTGCGGTGAGCTGTGATCGCACCACTGCACTGCAGCCTGGGCAACAGAGTGAGATCCTACCTCAAAAAAGAAAGAAAAGAAAGCTGGACTGGGTTGCTCACGCCTGTAATCCCAGCACTTCGGGAGGCCGAGGTGGGTGGATCACAAGGTCAAGAGATCGAGACCATCCTGGCCGACATGGTGAAATCTCATCTCTACTAAAAATACAACAATTAGCTGGGCATGGTGGCACGCACCTGTAGTCCCAGGTACTCGGGAGGCTGAGGCAGGAGAATCGCTTGAACCTGGGAGGCAGAGGTTTCAATGAGCCAAGATTGCTCCACTACACTCCAGCCTGGCAACAGAGCAAGACTCCATGTCAAAAAAAGAAAAAAAAAGTTAATTTAAAAGGGCAAGGGCAGTGATAATTCTGTGCTATCAACCACAGTGTGATGAGCCAAATCAATCTTATTCTGTGTATCTGTGGTCTAATTTTAAAAATCCAGAATTTGAAATGAGTTTTAAACATTCTTTATAAATTTCAAGAAAAAGGTAGAGTGTTCCTGAGTAGAAAAGAGAAAAAGAAAAAAAAATCATAAAAGTGATTTTGGAAAAGAATGAAAACTAACAAAATGGAAAGTCCTTTTCCAAAGTTGTCCAAAAAGGTGTTTTAATCAAAGCAAAAAACTAGAATATTTTCTTTAAAATGTTTTTCCAAATTTATTTATTTATTTATTTATTGAGACAGAGTGTCACTGTCACCCAGGCTGGAGCACAGGGGCGTGATCTCGGCTCACTGCAACCTCCACCTCCCGGGTTCAAGCGATTCTCCTGCCTCAGCCTCCCTAGTAGCTGGGACTACAGGCGCCTGCCACCGTGCATGGCTAATTTTTGTATTTTTAGTAGAGATGGGGTTTCACCATGTTGGCCAGGCTGGTCTTAAACTCCTGACCTCAGGTGACCTGCCTGCCTCGGCCTCCCAAAGTGTTGGGATTACAGGCGTGAGCCACCACCATGCCCGGCCTGTTTTTCCAAATTTAAATGACAAATGCTAAAGAAGCCGGACATGAAACTGAATGAAGAAAATTGAGATGGCTTTAATTTTAGAAAACAGAGTATGAATATTATCTTTTCTAGAGATCATTAATTTATAAAGCCAGCATATAACTGTATAATTCATATACCCCTAAAATACAAAAATAAAATTGCTCAGCATTAAAAAATTTTTTTTCTAAACAACTGTTAACTGGAATATAGAATACAAAGGAAAATTTGCGTAAAAGGGACAAGAGAGATTTCTGATAATTTTTTTTTTTTTTAAGAGATGGGGGTCTTGCTCTGTCACCCAGGCTGGAGTACAATGGCCCAATCACAGCTCACTGCAGTCTTGAACTACCAGGCTCAAGTGATCCTCCCCTGAGTAGCTGGGATTTTTACCACACCAAAAATCTTATGTCTTTTTTCACATTTATCCAAAGTAAGTTATAGAATTGACCAAAAAAGGATTCAAATTGCTTACCATCTGTATAGTCCCTGTATTAGTTATCCATTGCTGTGTAATAAAATATTCCAAGATTTAGCAGCTCAAAACAACATACATTTATTATCTCGCAGTTTTTGTGGCTCAGAAATTTGGGAGTGGGTTAGCTGTGTGGTTCGGCTCAGGGTCTCTTACCAGGCTGTGATTAAGAGGTAGGCTGGGGTTACAGTCATCTGAAGGCTCTCTTGGGGCTGCAGTATCCACTTCCAAGGCAGCTTACTGACATGATTGCTAGCAGAGGCCTCAGTTCATCTCCTTAGTGCTGGTTGAGTGTCCTCATGATCAGGTATCAGGCTTCTGCAGAGTGACTGATTTGAGAAAGAGAGGAGGAAGCTGCAATGCCCTTATGACCTAGTGTCAGAGGTCACACGCTGTCACTTCCTCCATATTTATTTGCAGTGGGCTGCAATCACACCACTGTACTCCAGCTTGGGCAATAGGGCAACTATTCTAAAAAGAATAGTTGAACTAAACTATAATCCAATTGCCAAAAACAACTAGCTCACATCATAAGCAGATCGTTATGTACCATAGCAAATGCTTGTTGTTGCAGCTTCCCAGACAGCTCTCTTCCTTCTTTTGGTAGCAATGCCTTGATTTTCTTTTAGATAACAAAGCATTCCTCACTTTCAGTTAGTGTGGTGATGTTGAGGCTGATTCCACCACTTAGTTCTAGCTATGGGCTCACGACTCAAGCTAGGCTCTCGTCCACGCTGAGATTTGAGCTGAAAGTATTGGCAAAAGGCGTACTGCTTCCACTGGGATTGCTCAACTGTTGGTGCCTGCCTGGGAAGGAAGTCACTACAGAGGAAAGCAGAGACCAGAATGGAAGAGAGAGGTTTCTTGACGCTATCTTTAGAATAGTTGGATCCCGCTGCACATGGGGTACAGATATACCTCTGGACTTTGCAGAAAAGGAATCCTTTTTTAATCTAGTGTAGTTTGAACTGACATCTAATTTTTGCTATAAAGAGTCCTGATTAATACATGGACCAACATGAAAAGGTGTCTATGAAATACAGCAAAGCCAAAAAGGCAAGATGCAAGACACATACAGATGAATTCATTTTTTTTGTCAAAAAAGAAAATAAAAATTGTACCTAGTATGCACCCAAAAAAATTAAGGTAAAAACATTTTTTAATTAAATAAAATAAAAATAATAATCCTGGAAGAATATATACTAAACTGTTATGCGTGTTCAACTCAAAAATAGAGAGAGAGAGAAAGAGGATGGAGTTTCTCTTTGGAGAATGGCATACAGGGGATTTTTGCTTTCTATATATTTTCTTATTTAAACTTTTTTTATATTGAACATATATATATGATTATCACTTTAAAAGTGAATATGACAGTGAAAAAATGGAAATAAGTATCTCATAACAGGGGAGTAATTAAATAAATAATGACATCCATGCAACGAAGACTATTAAAATTCATGTTTTAAATGAGTATGTAATAGCATAGTAAAATGATCACTATTTATGGTAAATGAAAAAGTGGTGCACAAGTGGCACAATGGAATTACAGCATTGTAGATAGAATAAAGGTAAAAGAACCAAGTGCTTAACAGTAAGGACTCTAGCATCAGGTGGCCAGGACTCAATTCCTAACCTGATCACCTGACCTATATGACTTTCAGAAAGTTCATGTCTCTGAACTGATTTTTTTTCTTCTGTGAAAAGTAGAACATGGTAATAGCACCTAGGTCACAAGGTTGTTTTGAAGAATAAGTTAGATAATTCATTTAAGGTGCCTGGAAAAAATATGAAAAAAAATACACCAAAATTTTAATAGTTGGGTTTTTTTGGGGAGTGGTGGGGTGGCAGATGGTGAAGTTACGAATATATTTTATTTTCTCCTATAAGCTTTCTATATTTTTTAAATGATAATGAAAAAATGAAATTAGTATGTCTGGTTTCCTGTAAAATACAATAACGATTGAGAGAAAAAAATGTTAGCAATAATATCAGTATCTCAGACAGCTTTAGCACAACTTCCCATTTAGATGGTAGGTCTGTAACAGCACTACTAGATTTACACCCAGATAAAAATGTGTGGGGGCAGGTGGGGTGGCTCCTGCCTCTAATTCCAGGACTTTGGGAGGCCGAGGCAAGAGGACTACTTGAAGCCAGGAGTGGGAGACCAGCCTGGACAACATAGTGAGACTCCCACCTGTATAAAATAAAAAATAAAAAATTAGCCAGGCATGGTGGTGCACACCTGCAGTCCTAGCTCCTCTAGGGGCTGAGGCAGGAGGATCGCTTGAGCCCATGGATTTGAGGCTGCAGGGAGCTATTACAGCATTACTGCACTCCAGCCTTTGAGTGAGACTTTGTCTCTAAAAAATAAAAATGTATGAGAAGGGAAATCCTGGGAAAGTTCACAATCAAAAGAAAACACTTGAAGGAAGTAATAATAATCTCTTGTATTCGTACAGTGCTTTTTACTTTACAAATGCCATTGAATTGTCCAAAAAGCCCATACAGATATTGTTATTTCCTCTTTACCAACAAGAAGCTGATGCTCAAAGAGATTAAATGACAAAAATCACACAATTTGCAAATAACCAGGGTGGGTCTTGAATTCAGGTTTTCTAGGTTAAAAAGAAAAAAAAAAAAGATGAAAAAACGAACACAGCATTAGTGTGTTTTGGAATCCGGAGAACCTTTTCCTAGGAGTTGCCCATGATCATAACATTAGATATTTTTTCCTGTGACTGACTTATTTATTTATTTATTTATTTGATACAAAGTTTCACTCTTGTCACCCAGGCTGGAGTGCAATGGCACAATCTTGGCTCCCTGCAACCTCTGCCTCCCAGGTTCAAGCAATTCTCCTGGCTCAGCCTCCCAAGTAGCTGGGATTACAGGCATCTGCCACCACGCCTGGCTAATTTTTGCATTTTTTTTTAGTAGAGATGGGGTCCCACCATGTTGGCCAGTCTGGTGTTGAACTCCTGACCTCAGGTGATCCGCCTGCCTCGGCCTCCCAAAGTGCTGGGATTACAGGCATGAGCCACCACACCCAGCCGTGTGACTCATTTTGAAAGGTCTTTTCATGCCTTAGGGAAATTCCACAATATTATTTTTATCCTTTAAAAGTACTTTGTTTTTGGTGTTGTTTAGTTTTTAATCAGGCAAAAATTTTTAGTGCATGATTTCTTGTGTAGTTCTTCAAAAATAATCAAATTTCGGGAGAATAGCTCCAGAGGTTTTTAGTGTGTGTAGATTTGCACCGGGATAGAGATGAGCAAGGAAGATAGCAGTAGAATAAGGAACTCCTCTTATTCGCCAAAACTGGAGAAAATATTTACAATCTAAACATTAATGACCATAAAGAAGTCAAGGCATTGAAAGGTAATCAGTCTACATACAGAGGGAAATGACATGTGGATTTGTAAAAATAGGCAGGAGCCTTAAATAAATCTGAGCCTTAAATAAATAAATAGTGTGTTTGTCCTAAAGGCAGTGCAAGAAGTCTGCCTCTCACACAAAGACCAACAGAGGCCATTAAAGGGAATTTTAGGAAGGGAGTGACATTGTCAGAATGGCAACAGAGGAAGTTGATTTTGGCAGCCGCTTTGGAAAAGGACTAGAGGAGGAAAAAAATCTGGAAAGGAGGCTTTTCTCAAGGGGAGTAATGACTATACAATGCACATAGGTGAAGTTATAAAGATGGAAAAGATTGAGCACAAAGAGCCATCTATTTCAAACTTTTATGGAACTGTTCTGGTTTTTAAATCCTTTTAATCAAATCTTGTCATCTATCTTTCCACTATACTTTGAATTTAGCTTTCATTAAGACTTACTCAAAATCATTATAATAATAGTGTATTTTAAAATTGTTTGGACCACCTGCACTGGTAAAATCAGCCATCTCCCTACTATCATACCACTTTCAGCAGGATAGAAGGGAAGGCCACACAGCTAGCAAGGCTGCCACCTGCCTCTCTCTCCTACTAAGTGCTAAGAAACCAGGTACAAAGCTGGGGCTATGTATTAACCGCATGTAGCATTCTAACAAGACTCGGATGTTTGATCAGTTTCCTAGTGCAGCCATCTGGGCATTCCAAACTCCAGTAATAAACATTAACACCTTGGACTTGAAATGTTAAAATAAAACTCCCATTGTTTCAAACATCATTCTGTGTCATTAATTTATGTTAAGAGTATTGGAGGGTGGGTAAAAGGCTGTTATACTTTTAATAGCTTTTAGCTTGTTGGGACATGAGTTTCAATTCTTTGAACTGTAGTCCAGCACAGTTCATTGTTGGGTAAACACTTAGCAGCCTGTAAGTTTTCACTCGGTTTGGTTTTGTTTTAAACTGTTGCTAATTTCATTTGCTTTGAGCTGCTTTGAATTTTTAAACTATGTCCAGATAAAAGGTGAATGTTAATAAGTGTTTTAACAGTTACATTAGGAATTAATATTGCAACTGCCAAAAAGAAAATAATATAATAACAATTATTTTTTTCTATTTTTTTCTTTTTTTAGAGGCGGGGTCTTGCTTTGTCACCCAGGCTAGAGTACAGTGGCGTGATCATGGCACACTGCAGCCTCAAAATCCTCGACTCAAGCAATCCTCCCACCTCAGCCTCTGGTGTAGGTGGGACTGCAAGCGTGTGCAACCATATCTGGCTAATTTTTTAATGTTTTTGTAGAGATGGGGTCTCTCCCTATGTTGCCTATGCTGATCTCAAACTCCTGGCCTCAAGTGATCCCCTCGCTTCAGCCTCCCAAAATGCTAGAATTAGGCCAGGCGCAGTGGCTCACACCTGTAATCCTAGCACTTTGGGAGGCCAAGGTGGGTGGATCACCTGAGGTCAGGAGTTTGGCCTTCCCAATATGGTGAAACCCCGTCTCTACTAAAAGTACAAAAAATTAGCCTGGCTTGGTGGTGAGCACCTGTAATCCCAGCTACTCAGGAGGCTGAGGCAGGAGAATCACTTGAAGCTGGGAGGCAGAGGTTGCAGTGAGCTGAGATTGTGCCACTGCACTCCAGCCTGGGTGACTGAGCAAGACTCCATCTCAAAAAACAAACAAACAAAAAAAAAAAAGATTGGATAAAGAAAACGTGGTACATATACACCATGGAATACTACTCAGCCAGATAAAAGATTGAATTCACACCTTTTGCAGCAACATAGGTGGAACTGGAGGCCATTATCTTAAGTGAAATAACTTAGAAAGTCAAATACCACATGTTCTCACTTGTAAGTGAGAGCTAAATAATGTGTTCACGTGGACATAGAGAGTGAAATAATAGACAATGGAGACTCAGAAGGGTGAAAGAGTGGGAGGGAGTGGGGAATGAAAATTAAGTAATGTGTACAGTGTACACTATTAGGGTGATGGTTGCACTAAAAGCCCAGACTTCACTATGCAATATATACATATAGCAAAACTACACTTGTACCCCTTTAATCTATATAAAAATAAAAATAAAGCATGCTTGCATTTGTCTTTTATAGCTGTAAACCCATGTAATATGAATCAAAGAAGAAAGAAACATGTTGTTTTTGTTGTTTGTGTGTGTGTGTGTGTGTTTTTTTTTTTTTTTTTTTTTTTTTTTGAGACAGAGTCTCACTCTGTCACCAGGCTGGAGTGCAATGGCATGATCTCGGCTGACTGCAACCTCCGCCTCACAGATTCAAGCGATTCTCCTGCCTCGGCCTCCTGAGTAGCTGGGACTACAAGTGTGCACCACCATGCCCAGCTAATTTTTGTATTTTTAGTAGAGACGGGGTTTACCATGTTTACCAGGTAGGTCTGGCTCTCTTGACCTCATGATTCGCCCGCCTCGGCCTCCCAAACTGCTGGGATTACAGGCGTGAGCCACCGCACCCGGCCACATGTTGTAATTTTTTAAGAAAGGAAGACTGATACCCATCTTCCCTTAGGTGACCACCAGAATTAATCCCATTATGCCAAATGTCGTAAACTTCAGGGCAAACAGAAGTCCAAACCAGCTGCTTCATTCATTATCATTCAGACAGTTTAGTATTGTCATGGATCTGAGCCAATTTCCCACTCCTCCCCAACCAAACAAATTCTTCCACTGTGTGCTTTGGAATTCATGGTTCCTCTTTCTCTAACTGAAGTTTGACTCACCTTTGAAGAAACTACATTCTCAGCTCTCTCAGTGGTCACTGTGTTTTCTCCTACATCCCATTTTCATAGGACCTAGAGGTGATATCCTTGTTTCTTGTCGTGCTTTTGGGTATTTTTATGATTCCTCCTCCCTAAAAATAGAACAAAAGGCAACAAGATAAACAAAACCCCTTAACTTTTTTGAAGCACATGTCAACAGACCACTATTCTTCTTTATTGAGTCATCTACCAGTCACTTACTAACTCTTGCTTATTCAACAGAGATTTTAGCATCTAGTTTTCTCTCTCTCTGTCCATCACTATCCCATGTTCCTATGATAGGTGACTTTGGCATCCATAAAAAAATAATCCTTGTAAACACCCTACCCTCTCAGTTCCTTAATCTTCTCTCTCCTTCCTTCCTTCCTCCCTTCCCTTCCTTCCTTCTCTTTCTCTTTTTTCTTTCTCCCTTTTTCTCTCTCCCCTCTCTCTCTCCTCTCTTTCTTTCTTTCACGGGGTGTTGCTCTGTCACCCAGGCTGGAGTACAGTGGTATGATCACAGCTCACTGCAGCCTTGACCTCCTAGGCTCAAGTGATCCTCTTACCTCAGCCCCCTGAGTAGCTGGGGCCACAGGTATACACCACCACACCCAGCTAATTTTTTCTATTTTTTGTAGAGACAGAGTCTCACTTTGTTGCCCAGGCTGGTCTCAAACTCCTGAGCTCAAGCAATCCTCCCGCCTCAGCATCCCAAAGTGCTGGGATTACAGGTGTGAGCCACCACGTGTGGACTTCTCATTTCCAATATTAGTTTCCTCCACTCCATTTCAACAAAACACCATCATGGTCATATACCTTGATAAATGAGAATTTATTATTACCATATCACTGTATCACCCCCAAAATATTGTTTATTTATTTATTTTTCTTTTTTATTGTTCATGACCTAATGGGCAAGAACAAAAAGCTTGACTTCTAGAATCCTATACTCTAATGATCAATAATGTGTTCACGTGGACATAGAGAGTGAAATAATAGACAATGGAGACTCAGAAGGGTGAAAGAGTGGGAGGGAATGGGGGATGAAAAATTACGTAATGTGTACAGTGTACACTGTTTGGGTGATGGTTACACTAAAAGCCCAGACTTCACTATGCAGGATATCCATATAGCATACAGCATGACATATGATACAGCAGGATATAAATTCTCTCTAGTGTCCTCATCTTTTTTTCAACTATGTGGCACAACTTTCTTCAAATGTGGCATGTTTTCCTACTCCTTTTATAGAAATAGTCCATTCAAAATGTCTATTTTTACTGTCTTTACTTTGTCACCTTGCATTTTCAACTTGATTCACTTCTTTTCCAGTATTACAGCATCCTAACTACTCCATTCCAGCATTACCCTAGAAAGCTGGAATGGACTGTTTCTCCAAGCCTACTCTTGTCCAGATTCAACAGCAAGCTGGACACAATGGCTCATGCCTATCATCTTAGCTACTTGAGTATGAGAGGATTGCTTGAGCCCAGGAGTTCGAGGCTCAGCCTCGGCAACATAACAAGACCGTCTCTAAAAAAAAAAAAAAAAATTCCACTGGTGACCTCTATCTTGCTAAATCCAGCAGTTGCTTGTCATTTCTCATCTGGCTTGGCCTCTTAACAGCATTTAATTTGACAATCATTCATTCCCTCCTTAAATGTATCTTTACTTGGCTTCCAGGGTCTCCACTCTTGCTTTTTCTACTTCACTGGTCACTCCTTCTAAAGCCTTTCTCTTCTTTTCTTTCTTTTCCTTCCTTTTCTTTCTTTCTTTCCTTCTTCCTTTCTCTTCTGTCTTTTCCTTAATTCATTCCTTCCTTCCTTCCTTCCTTCCTCCCTCCCTCCCTCTCTCTCTCTCCCCCTTCTCCTTCTTTCTTTCTTTTTTTCTCTTTCTTTTTGAGACAGGATTGTGCTCTGTCTCTCAGGCTGGAATGCAATGGCCTCATCATAGCTCACTTTATCCTCAACCACGTAGGGCTCAAATGATCCTCTCATCCCACCTTCCTGAGTGTCTGGGCCCACAGGCACACATCACCACATCTGGATAATTTTTTCTATTTTTTGTAGAGACAGGGTCTCACTTTGTTGTCCACACTGGTCTCAAACTCCTGGGCTCAAGCATTCCTCCTGCCTTGTCCTCCCAAAATGCTGGGATTACAGGCCTGAACCACTGTACTCAGCTCACACCCAGTCTTTACCCATGTTTACAAGGCCCTAATGTTTTGACCCACCTCTCTGACCTCATCCTTATAACTCTCCCTCTTTTACTGCTTTTCTTTGAACATGCCAAACTTGTTCCTGTCACAGAGGAAAAACAAGGCTTGTAAAAAAATCTGATTTTGCTTTTAGGAAAATTCAAAAATTTAGGAAAGTTTAACCAAAAGCTTAGCAGTGTTTTGGTTAATTAAGCATGCTGAGGCCCAATTTAATCTACCAGTTAATGCAAATTGCATTTGTAATCTCATATGTATTTGTGGATTGATTGTTAAGGTGATGAGACAATGAACTCCATGGACATGTCAGAAGACTCATAATCATATAGTACTTTGGTTGTTGCTGACGCTAGTTGCTCTTTAGACAAGTCCACCTTGATTTGGGTTATTCATGTCACAATGCACTTCCTTTTTTTTTCTGGTGTGATGTGAGAAGGAAGATATTGCTGTCATGATTAATATATTAATAAGTATTCATGAAATCTATCTCTGGGTTATTTTTTAATAAACTCAAGGTTCTGTTTCTTCTCTACTCCCTTTTTCTTCATTCCTCCTGTGGAAAAATGCCCACAAATCACTTTTTCCCTTTCTTTTCTCTTCCCTTTATTCTCATTCTCCTCTCAAAACCTGTTAGGAGAAATTCAACTTGCCTCAAATTCTAAGCTAGATTAGGCAATAAACAACCTGAAGGCAGAGACTGTGCCTGTATTGTTTGCTGCATTCACAGGACCTACCACGTTGCTTTGCATATAATTGGCACTAAAAATAATTGTGGAATGAGCAAGTGAATGGAAAATGGAAATTGCTAAGGAGGCAGACTTTTTTGGTTTAGAAGCTAATAGTAAAAAAGATCTAATCTTTGTAGAAATCAAAATGTTTCATGAAGAAAGGTATTGTCATGTCACAAAGTCCAGCAACAGTCCTTTAAGAAACTTCCTAGGAGCATACATTACTCCTGTAAAGCTAAGGCTGAGACCTTCAACAAATGGCCATGATGGTGAAATTTACAACCATTAAATTTCAGCCTTAGCATAGCCTTACAGGCTCTGGAATCCAATGTTGTCAACATACTAAGAAGAGATCCACTCCTTAGAACTGGACTGGCATTATCCAAACTTGTAATAATGGTGTATAAACCAGAATTCCAATTTATTACTTTATAATGAGAACTATAATGATTATAGGAATTGGAATATATGAAGTCTGTATAATCAGTTCATGCCTGTACATAGACCTTTATAAAAAGCCATATTAACTAAGAAGGTTGCCTGGTGAGCAGAAATTTGGAGACGCATCGTAGCATAAAGATTAGGGCTCAGACAGACTTGATTTTAGATCCTGAGTCTGACACTGACTAGCTCTGTGGCCTTGGGCAAGTTACTTAAGCTCTGAATGCCTTCATTTTCTTATCTGTAAAGTGGGGATAATAATAGTCCCACCAATCTGGAGTGGTTGCTCACACCAGTAATCCCAGAACTTTGGGAGGCTGAGGCGGGCGGATCACTAGAGGTCAGGAGTTTGAGACCAGCCTGGCCAACATGGTGAAACCCCGTCTCTACTAAAAATATAAAAGTTAGCCAGGTGTGGTGATGCATGCCTGTAGTAGTCCCAGCTACTTGGTAGGCTGAGGCAGAAGAATGGCTTGAGCCCGGGAGGTGGAGGTTGTAGTGAACCGAGAGTGTGCCACTGCACTCCAGCCTGGGTAACAGAGTGAGACTCCATCTCAAAAAAAAAAAAAAAAAAATAGTCCCTACCTGTACTAGATACTTTTTGGGATGTCTTCACAGGACACACTGGTTTACTTCTCTAATAATAACCACTTTCTCCCCCTTTCTCACTTCCTCCCTCTATGTGGGCCTCTAGTAACCCTATTTTTATATTGTGACCTTGCACCACTGTTCACAGGGAAATAAATAAGGGGTGGACTCCTTATTTAGGTAGGGCCAATCAGGTTCTCTTTCACAGGAATTTGCAATTTAGACGCAGAGATTATATCCAGTCTGGTCTGTTTGCTTGAATGAAGTCATGTAAACTTGGGATTGGAGGCTGCCTCTGTGGAGTTAATGATGCCTGTTCACGTGCGGCCAGAGTTAGTTGAATCTGGGTCTGCAGAAAAATGGGAGAGGGGAAGGAAGCAGGCTTGCCCAGGGAAGCAGAGGCTGGGACCATAAGCACTGGAGAGAGAGCCTGGAGTATGCTTGCCACCTCCCTATTCCAGGCCCTTCTGAGGCTCAGCAGCCTTCTCCTGTCTTAAGAAGTCCCTGTGTCTTCTCCCAAAGCTCCCCTTCTTGCTTTAGCTAGTCAGGGTTGGCTTTTCTCATTTGCAACAGAAGAACCTTGATCAGCCAAGGGTGGTGGCTCACGCCTGTAATCCCAGCGTGAGGGAGGCCAAGGCGGGTGGATCACTTGAGGTCAGGAGTTCCAGACCAGCCTGGCCAATGCGGTGAAACCCTGTGTCTATTAAAAATACAAAAATCAGACAGTCGTGATGGTGTGTGCCCGTAATCCCAGCTGTTTGGGAGGCTGAGGCATGAGAATTGCTTGAGCCCAGGAATCAGAGGTTGCAGTGAGCCAAGATCATGCCACTGCACTCCAGCCTGGGCAACAGAGCAAGATTCTGTCTCAAAAAAAAAAAAAAAAAAAAAACAAAAACAAAAACGAACCTTGACCAATACAGCACTACATGATATTTTTAAGAAGTCAGCAAGTGAACACATGTAAAGCACATGTAATAATAATATTCTTACCACTTGGATTGACAAACTGAGGCCTTCAATCATGGCATCCTTTCTCCATAAGGGCTTGAATAAAGGCTGCCAGCAATTTTCTATGACTCTCCTATTTGTATACCTCTGTAGCTAACCATTCGCATTCTGATGGACATGCATATCTTTTTAGATACAATGGCACATATTATCCATTCCTGACAAGTCATGTAGGATTGGGAGCCATTCTGTCTCTTTTTGGTGATTCTGGACTTCTCTGATTCATTATGTGTTGGCTTTAAAATGAATTCCAAGATGACCTTTAGACCTCTCTCATTTCCAGAATCCTTAAGGATGCTTATGTGTGGTCCATAAATACTGATAGTAGTTTGTGCTCCCCTGGGCCTGCCCATTGATAGATACCAAATATATTAAGAGGACTCTGTTGTCTGTCCTAGTCTCACCCTCCTCAGATTCGTTAACAGGTTTCTTTTGAGACAGAGTCTCGCTCTGTCACCCAGACTGGAGTACAGTGGCGTGATCTCAGCTCACTGTAATCTCCGCCTCCTGGGTTCAAGCAATTCTCCTGCCTCAGCCTCCAAAGTAACTGGGAATACTGGCATCCACCACCTCACCTGGATAATTTTTGTATTTTTAGTAGAGACAGGGTTTCACCATGTTGGCCAGGCTGGTCTCGAACTTCTGGCCTCAGGTGATCCACCCACCTCGGCCTCCAAAAGTGCTGGGATTACAGGCGTGAGCCACCATGCCCAGCCTTCACTTACAGGTTTCTTAGGGCCACTCGTAGGGGATACAGCCAGACTACTCTATCTCCCCAGCTGCTCTCAATGGACTGGACTGACATTATTCAAACTTGTAACAGTGGTGTATGAACCAGAATGCCAATGATAAAATATTATACTCTTGCTTTCTCCAAATTTCTGTTAACTTTCTTAGACAGCAGTCTCCTGAGACCTTTCTCTGTGATGTAGGCAAGGGCAGTGAAGAAATCCGGGGAATAGTATATAGGCCAGTTCGATTAAAATATCAGAGAATAGTGGGAGATGGCACTGGAAAAACAACTTGGGGTCTGTAATGTAATTGTCATTAAAGCAAACAAATCAACCAACAACCACAACAACAACCCAGATTCTCTGAGACTGGCAGAACCTTCATCTACAGATGGGCACGGTGGCTTATGCCTGTAATCCCAGCACTTTGGAAGGCCAAGGTAGGCAGATCACCTGAGCTCAGGAGTTTGAGATCAGATTGGCCAACATGGGGCAATCCCATCTCTACTAAAAATACAAAAATTAGCTGGGCATGGTGGCAGGCACCTGTAATCCCAGCTACTCAGGAGGCTAAGGCACGAGAATCACTTGAACCAGGGAGGCAGAGGTTGCAGTGAGCCGAGATTGCGCCATTGCACTGCAGCCTGGGGGACAGAGTGAGAAGAATTTGTCTCCAAAAAAAAAAAAAAAAAAAGAAGAAGAAGAAGAAGAAGAAAAACTTTCATATCCAGGGAGAGAGAGATGAACTTGAAACCCAGATACTTTCTCTCTCACAATCACTCAACAATGACTTCTGCCTCTGCTATCTTGGCCATGAGTTACTGCTGTCTCACTGGCACTGCCACTTAAGTGCTATTGCTACCATTTTTACTGATTTTGTGGAAATTCTTCAGTCATAAGCTCCCCAATATGAAGGACATTTTTGATGTCAGTACCATTTTGGAGGCTAGAACAAATTGTTTTCTTACTTGCATGAAAATTACCAGGCTGACATTGTACAGGCTAAAAATGTTCACATAGCAGAACTTCTATAAATAGATCCAAAATACTAAATTGTGTTAAGTGGGATTTCACAACAGCCACCAGATACCTACATATGGTTTGTAAAACTCGTCTAGTCTATGGAAAATGTGACCTGCCAAAATACTGAGGCATGCAAAGTTGACAATTTTCCTGTGCGGGGGTGCGGGGGGCAGGGAACCCTCACAGATAAAGATTTACATTGCTTCATTGAGTGAAAGAGCAAAATTCTCTAGAAACATATCCTCCTGCCTCCTCTTTCCTCTTCACTGTTACCTGAGTTTACCTAATAGCACCTTTCATTCTTCTTCTTCTTTTTTTTTTTTTTTTCTAAAAAGATCAAGTGATGCTTTCAGCTGTAACAAATTATGGCATGTTTACCAAAACCTTCTTTCTTTGTCTTGAAAAGTGTAATCAGCTTTAATTCAGAATTAGACTTAACGGCAAGGTGTCTCTTTGAAGGACAATTTAGATTATTGTTCAGTAATTGTGGATTTTTTTCTATGTTAAAAGGCTAATTTACTGTAAGAGGATTTCTTTTTTTTAGTTTGTTTTAGTATGGTGGCCCTTTATTACATGTAGCAGATAAAAAATTTCTGGTGTGATAAACATCAGGAAAAAATGACTTCTCTATTATCATTTTACCAGTGTGGCTACTTTATTACTAATCTGCTTATCATTTACATAATTAATAAATTAGTATCATATATACATGTTTTCCCAAAGTCTGGCCTAAAATTCAGGCCAGATTTACACTTGCAGAAAGATAGTAAAACATTAAGGCTTTTATTTGAATGGTTCAAACAAATGAAAAAGAACCCAAACACTACTCAATGGATGAATCTATTATTAATAATTTTCAGATAATTATGGCAAAGCTGTTTTTAAGAGGAGTATCTGGATGACCAAATTATCTTTTTCACTATATCTATGATAGATGACATCACAGATATATTTATTTATAAATCTTTGTTGAGTTATTATGCTAATTGACTAGCAAGATTACTATGTCTGTATACCTTTATGTGGCTTTTGCAATACCTAGGAGCTACCTGGAAAGTGCTGATGAGTAAAGCTAAATTTAGAAGATAAACATTGGAAAAGATCATGGACTAGGGTCTGAGCCAAGCCTCTGGTCCCACAGAGCCCAACTTCTTCATGTCTTCCTGCCTCCTCTTTCCTCCTCACTGTTACCTGAGTTTACCTGTATTAGTCTCTTTTCATGCTGCTGATAAAAACACACCTGAGACTGGGTAATTTATAAAGAAAAAGAGGTTTAATGGACTCACAGTTCCATGTGGCTGGGGAGGCCTCACAATCATGGTAGAAGGTGAAAGGCAAGTCTTACATGGCGGCAGACAAGACAGAATGGGAGCCAACTGAAAGGGGAAACCCCTTATAAAATCATCAGATCTCGTGAGACTTATTCACTACCATGAGGACAGAATGGGGGAAACAAAATGGGGGAAACCATTATTCAATTATCTCCCACTGGGCCCCTCCCACAACATGTGGGAATTATAGGAGCTACAATTCAAGACAAAACTTGGGTAGGGACAGAGCCAAACCATATAATTACCTAACAGTACCTTTCATTCTTTTTTTTTTTCTAAAAAGATCACACGATGCTTTCAGCTATACCAAATTATGGCATATTTACCAAAACTTTCTTTCTTTACCTTAAAAAGTATAATGGGCTTTAATTCTGAATTAGATTTAAAGGCAGAAAGACAAACAAACAGGCTTATCCAGAATCTATAATGGAATCCAAAATGCTGCCCATTAGACTTTTTCCTTAACTTTTATTGTACCTAGTCACAGGGCAAAAAGCAATTGAATTTCCTCCAGGAGAATGATGATGTAACTAGCTCAAATGGGTCCCATTGGATACAACTGAAAGAGAGATCCTTCTTTTTCCTGCATGCTGGCAAAAATGATACCATTGCAATAATTTAATAAAAAAAATTATTGTCTTAACTGCTGGCATCAGAATTCTTCTCAGCAAGAATTTCAAACTGTTTTTGTTTGGAAGAATGTCTCAATAAATGATTAAGACCCTGAGGTCTTGTCTATCAGCTGGTTGCAAAACTTGAGAGAGGAAGTCAAAATTGTTTAGTTTAGGAATTTGTTCCCTAGGAGGAGAGACATTTTTGGCTACTGAGAGAATGTTCAGAAGATGACAGAGGAGGGAAAAGCGTGTGTCAAGAGTGAGCATGACCCAGAGGTTATGGCAGAGGACCATGAGAAACCGTTGGTGCTAGGTGGCTGAAAGGATGCTAAAAAAGAGAGTATGTTAAATCCTACCCGGACAGCGGCTCATGCCTGTAATCCCAGCACTTTGGGAGGCCAAGGTGGGAAGATCACTTAAGCCCAGGAGTTTAAGAGCCAGCCTGGGCACAAAGGGAGACTCCCGTCTCTACAAAAAAATTAAACAATTAGCCAGGCTTGGTGGCACGCTCCTGTAATCCTAGCTACTAGGGAGGCTGAGGAAGGAGGATGGCTTGAGCCTGGGAGGTCGAGGTTGCAGTGAGCTGCGATCATGTCGCTGCATTCCAGCCTGGGTGACAGATCAAGACCCTGTCTCAAAAAAAAAATAAAAAATAAAAATAAAATCCTACTTTGAGTTGTTTTCCAGGCTATGCCTGATGTGACAGCTCTCGTCAACTCCTAGCTCTACTGTGAAATGGGCCACACTTACAGTGTTTCTGTACATTGATTGGAAGAGTCTCGGAAGTGAGTCCTGAGGAAAGAGAGAATAAGCCTGGAGGCAAAAGTGGAAACATAATTCCTCAGTCCCACATTCCTGCCCTGGTAATTCACAAAAATCCTCCAGAGGGCTTTTAGAGTTGTTTAAGGTACACACTCAGGCTGATTTTCTAATCTTAAGGGGCCAGGTGTCTCCAGCTTGCATCTAGGAACATGGGAAGGAATGTGTTTCCTTACGACTTCCAGATAAAATACAGGACACTCAGTTCAATTTGAATCTTGGATAAACAGAGGGTACTGTTTTAGGGTAATTATGTCCTGTGTATTGCATTGGGTATATTTTTGCAGGGACTACAGATAGTCCTTGAGTATTAATGGTTCAATTTATGACTTTTCAACTTCACTAGCAATAGGCATTCACTAGAAACTGTACTTCAAGTACCAATACAACCATTCTGTTTTTCACTTTCAGTATAATATTCAATAAATTACATGACATATTCAACACTTTTTTTTTAATAAAGTAGGCTTTGTGTTAGGTGATTTTGCCCAGCTGTAGGCTAATGTAAGTACTCTGAGAATGTTTAAGGTAGGCTAGGCTCTGATGTTTGGTAGGTTGGGGGTATTAAATGCATTTTCTATTTATGGTATTTTCAATGTATGATGGGTTATTGGATGGAACCACATCATAAATCAAGGAGCATCTGTACTTTCATAAGGGTGTCTTCTGATACCCAAGGCAGCTACCTTGTTGAATTTGAGCCTCCTTCCCAGTGAACAATATAATTTCTTGGAAAAGAGACTAGGATCTGAACCAAGGCTGTGGTTTCGTAGAATACATCTTCTTTATTTCTTTCTGCCTCTCTTTCTACTTCACTCTTATCTTTCTCCTGCAATTATTTCCCATAATTCTTTAAACTAGAGGCAACTGGCACTGTACTAAGGGAAAAAAATTGAAAGAGAGCCTGTAGTTAAGTTTCCTCTGTAAAGTAGTGGATAATAGTTCTTATTTATGGAATTGTGAACTTTCAATGATTTGGTATATTTAAAGCATTAAGAACAGTAACTAGCCTAGGTAAAATACTAGTGTTGGACTCTAGGACCTAGAGTCTAGAGTGCAGAGTCTAGAGGTCTAAGCATCTAGGGTCTAGAGGCCTTTGACTATTGTAATCACTACTCTTGCCTCCTCACTAATCCATTCCTCACACTGTAGCTAGTGATCTTTTAAAAATGCAAATCTGAGCCGGGTGTATGGCATGTGCCTGTAATCCAGCTACTCGGAAGGCTGAGGCAGGAGGGGTGGCTTGAACCCAGGAGTTTGAGACCAGCCCAGGCAATATAGTGAGATTTCATCTCATAAAAACATTAATAAAAATAAAAATGCAGACCAGGCGCGGTGGCTCACACCTATAATCTAGCACTTTGGGAAGCTGAGTTTAGGAGGATCATTTGAGCCCAGGAGTTCAAGAGCAGCCTGGGAAACACAGTGGGATCTCATCTTTACAAAAAATGTTAAAATTAGCTGGGTGTGGTTTTGTGTGCCTATACTCCGAGCTAACTCAGGAGGCTGAGGTGGGAGGATTCCTTGAGCCCAGGAGTTTGAGGCTGCAATGAGCTATGGTTGTTCCTCTGCACTCCAGCTCGTGTGACAGAGCTGGACCATCTTTCTGAAAAATAAAATAAAATAAAAATAAAATGCAAATCTGAACATGTCATGGCCTTGATATTAAACTTTCAATGGCTTTCTACTACTCTGAATAAAGACCTATTAGGTGCTGAAGTCTTTCCTTTTATCTGTTTCTCCAACTTCACTGCCTTCCTCCCTCTCCTTCACTTTGCACTTTCCAGGCACACAGGCCTTATTTCAATGCCACCAGAGTGCCGCACATGCTGTGCCTTCTGCCTGAAATACTTTCCTCTTTCCCATCTCTCACTTCACTAATTTTTCAGTCCTTGTCAAAGAATTCTTCCTCAGGGAAGCCTTTCTAGATTGCCTGGTCTAGATTACAATTCACAGTGTAGATCCTCTGTACTTTTCCCTCAGAGCCATTTATTATAGTTCTAATTCTTACACCATAAGCTCCATGAGGACAGGGACCATGTCTATCTTGTTAACCATTATAGTCCCAGGCCTAGCATAGTGCCGGACACATACTAGATACTGAACTGAAAAAAAAAATTGTTTTTTAAAAAGGAATTAGAATTACATTAAATCAGAGGGCCTCACACTACAGCTCATGGGCCAAATCCAGTCCGGCATCTGTTTTTCTATGGCTGGCAAGCTAAGAATGGTTTCTACATTTCTTAATGGTTGAAAAAAAATCAAAAGAATCATGATACTTCTTGACACATGAAAATGAAAAGAAATTCAGTTTCAGTGTCCATAAATAAAGTTTATTGGAACATAACCCTACATATTAATTTATAAGATATTGTCTTTGACCACTTTCAGGCTACAGCAGCAGAGTTGAGTAGTTGTAACAGAGACCATATGGCCTGCAAAGCCAAAAATATTTACTATCTGGCTCTTAACAGAGAAAGTTTGCTGACCCCTGTGTTAGACAATAGTATTTTGGGTCTCTGGGGCAGCTTGTGTTCAAAAGCACCTGCAGGTGGCTTTTCTCAATTGTCAACAGTTTGCTTCTGTTGCTGAAACAAGTGGTCCATTTATTTGGCTTAGTTGGTAAGATTAATTAATGAGGGTTTCCTTTGTCCTTTGTTTTTCTGCTTCTCTGTCAACAGACAGAAGCCCCCCAACAGAGATCAGTCATATGGCATACTCCTTTGCCAGCGGTATGCTCATGTAACTGATTTACCTCCCAACCAAAAAATTTCCCAGTTCTTTGGATAATTCATGAATTCTTTTTCAAATGGGATAATGAGTTGATAGGTGGTGGCAATACATTTAAATAGAGTGTCTACTTTTTTTCATCTATTTTCTGTCAACTCATAAACTAGGAACAGATTAAAAACTGCTTTCTGTCATCTTTTAAAGTTAGAAATTCATACTTACTAGAGCATTACTTTAAAGCACACATAAATCTAACACATTTTAAGATAGTTTCAAAATAATTTCACCGCAGTACTAGATAACCATTCAAACAGTGGCAGACTAGCTGAGCTCAGTGATTTATGCTTGTAATACCAGCTACTCAAAGAGACCAAGGCAGGAGGATCACTTGAGGCCAAGAGTTTTAGATCAGCCTGGGCAACACTGAAAGACCCTATCTCAAAGCCAAAAAAAAGAAAGAAAGAAAGAAAGAAAAGGAGCAGTGACAGATGAACTGTTCATTCCTCTAAATAATTAAAAAGTCTAATCTGAAAACCACTTTATACGCTCTTGGGTCCTTAATTCACAGATATTTTTAGTAATAGGTAGACAAAGAGGGTTAAACTGAATATAGGTGTCTTTATTTATATAGTGCCTTTTACTTCTCACTCTGTTGCCCGGGCTGGAGTGCAGTGGCGTGATTTCGGCTCACTGCAACCTCCGCCTCCCCGGTTCAATTGATTCTCCTACCTCAGTCTCCCGAGTAGCTGGGACTACAAGCTTGCGCCACCATGTCCTGCTAATTTTTGTATTTTTAGTAGAGACGGGATTTCACCATGTTGGCCAGGCTGCTCTCGAACTCCTAACCTCAAATGATCCACCTGCTTCAGCCTCTCAAAATACTGGGATTACAGGCATGAGCCAACACACCTGGCCAGGAATATTCTAATTTCTAAACCATCCTTTAAAGTAGATGCAAAGAGGCTGGCTCATGCCTGCAATCCCAGTGTTTTGGGAGACCGAGGTGGGTGGATCACTTGAGGTCAGGAGTTTGAGACCAGCCTGACCAACATGGTGAAACCCCGCCTCTACTAAAAATACCAAAATTAGCCGGGCATGGTGGTGCAACCCTGTAGTCCCAGCTTCTCAAGATGCTGAGGCAGGAGAATCTCTTGAACCCGGGAACCAGAGGTTGCGGTGAGCCGAGATCTCACCACTGCATTTCAGCCTGGGCGACAGAGCAAGACTCTGTCTCAAAAAAAAAAAAAAAAAAAAAAAAAGTTGCAAAGAAGCACCTGATCAAGTACCGGTAAAGTGCAAAGAGTATTCTAGACACAACTAGAGGTCTGTGCAAGTTTTCATAATGTTAAGTTTATTTAATTCAATAACTTTCATTCTGATGTTACAATCTTCCCCATTTTAATTTTTTAATTTTTTTTAGAGACAGGGTCTTCCTCTGTTGCCCAGGCTGGAGTACAGTGGTTTGATCTCTGCTTAGTGTAGCCTCAACCTCTGGGCTCAAGCAATTCTCCCACTCAGCCTTCCAAGTTTTTTTTTTGCCTTAAGACAAGGTTGCACTCTGCCACCCAGGCTAGAGTGCAATGGTTCAATGATAGTTCACTGTAACCTTGAACTCCTAGGCTTAAGCAATCTTCCTGCCCTGGCCTCCTGAGTAACTGGGACTACAGTCATGCACCACCACACCAAGCTAATTTTTTGATTATTGTTTTTTTGCAGAGATAGGGTCTTGCTATTTTGCCCAGGCTGATCTTGAACTCCTGGCTAAAGTGATCTGCCTGTCCTTGGCCTTCCAAAGTGTTGGGATTACAAGCATGAGCCCCCACACCTGGTCTGGCTTTAAAATATTCTTATTTTATGAAATAATGAGAATAGATAGAAGTTTTATTTATATTTATTTTTGTACCTTACACGGAAAAATTAAAAAGTTGATAAGCTTATGTCAGTTCCTAAAAATTCCTTGGAAATTTTACCAGTTCATGAAATAAAAAAGTCTGAGAACCAGTGATCTTTTACTAATTGATAAGATAGATTTGCAATAAAATATCAAGTAATTAGAATGCTCCTAGAATGGTCTTGTGGTTAATTAGATTTTCACATTGTAGGTTAACTTTTTGGTTTCAGCTGTGCTCATTCAGCTCAATTTGACATGCTGTACTGAAAGCCTCACTTATGCCAGTCATCATACTAAATGATGCCCATGCGATGATACATAATCCTGGCTTTGCTCTGTGAGAACAAACCAGACTAGTACAAGAGACAGGAAAAGAAACATTTAAGTTCTGTATTCAAAGTGATACCTATAACAAAATAGTATATATGTAGTAGAAAAGTAGCACAAAGAATAATTAAGTCAAGGAAGGGAGTGCAACTAGAGAAGACTGCATAAAGAGGGCAATGCTTCTATTGGGCCATCAGTTTGATGGATGGATTGAAGTGTCCTTCAGATGAGCAAAGAGGGGAAAGCTATTCTACACAAAGGGAATGGCATTGAAGCTTGAAAGAACATGATAGTTGATATTGAGAGAGCAGACACTTCCAGTGTCAAACGAGGGAGTGGTCAGGGAAGAAATTTGAGAAGAAGCCTATAGTCAGATTATAAAGAGACTTGTACGTTTTGCTGCGGTGTTTATATTCAGAATGTGCCTAGAGAAATCTCTAAAGGGTTTTAAGCAAGAGATAATTGGAAAGCTTTCTAAAAATGTATTAATATCCACATTCTACCCAGTAGGTGAAATATACTGAACACAATTGAATTTTTTACTGATAATTGCAGACCTTTCAGTGACATACTCAATGAATATCAGTTCTTATTTTACAAAGCAACACATTTAACTTTAGAGAGTGAAGGACTTGGACCTCCTCTGGGAGACCTAGGAGACTGTGGAACTATTTCCTGGAATTTTTTCATTAAATCAAACTACTGTGACTTATTTTCTTTTAACTTATTCTCATCAATATTAATGGGACAGGGGAAATGATTTTGGTTGACAGCTTCCATTAGTTGGATTTTTTTTTTGAAAAAAAAAAAAAAAAAAGACAGGATCTTGCTATGTTGCCCAGGCTGGCCTTGAACTTCTGGGCTCAAAGCAATCTTCCCATCTCAGCCTCCCCACTAGCTGAGATTACAGGTGTGCACCATCACACCATGCTCTGGATTTTTAAAAATTTTACTATAGAAAAATCTCTGGTGAATACATAGTCTCCACGCAAGAGCTTTGAAGGAAATAAAGGGTAAAAACTGTGCCCCTTATAGGTGGAGATTCATGACATACTCTCTGGAGAATGGATACATATTCATCATTTTCTCCCTATTCTTTTTTTTTTTTAGACGGAGTTTCACTCTTGTTGCATAGGCTGGAGTGCAATGGCAACATCTCAGCTCACCGCACCTCCGCCTTCCAGGTTCAAGCGATTCTCCTGCCTCAGCCTCCTGAGTAGCTGGGATTACAGGCACGCGCCACCCCGCCCAGCTAATTTTGTATTTTTAGTAGAGACGGGGTTTCACCATGTTGGTCAGCCTGGTCTCGAACTCCTGAGCTCAAGTGATTTACCTGCCTCGGCCTCCCAGTGCTGGGAATACAGGTGTGAGCCACTGCACTTGGCCCCCATTTTCTCACTATTCTTAACACATAATAGTCGCTATATAAGTGTGTGGTGAACTGGAAAGAATTTCCAATAGGAATGGTAACATAATTTTTCAGAGGAAAAATAATTACTGGTTAAACTATGGAACCTCTTTGAGGGGTACATTTGCATATAAACAGGGAGAATAGTGATCATAACATATTTCACTTTTTTTGTATTTTTTATTTTTGACACGGAGTCTTGCTATGTCATCCAGGCTGGAGTGCAGTGGTGCGATCTCAGCTCACTGCAACCTCCGCCTCCCGAGTTCAAGCCATTCTCCTGCCTCAGCCTCCCGAGTAGCTGGAATTACAGGCATGCGCCACCACGCCCGGCTAATTTTTGTATTTTTAGTAAAGACGAGGTTTCACCATGTTGGCCAGGCTGGTCTTGAACTCCTGACCTGAGGTGATCTGCCTGCCTCGGCCTCACAAAGTGCTGAGATTACTGGCACGGTGTGAGCCATGGTGCCTGGAGGTATTTCACCATTTAAAAGACTTTAACAAACATCTATATACAATAATTTAAAAAGCTTTATTTACATTAGCACATTGGAGAAGGGTGTGTGTGTGTGTGTGTGTGTGTGTGTGTGTGTGTGTGACAGAGTGAGACTCTGTCGCCCAGGCTGGAGTACAGTGGTGCAATCTTGGCTCACTGCAACCTTCGCCTTTCGGGTTCAAGTGATTCTCCTGCCTCAGCCTCCCCAGTAGCTGGGATCACAGGCCTGTGACCATTCCCACCAGCTAATTTTTGTATTTTTTGCAGAGATGGGGTTTCGCCATGTTGCCCAGGCTGGTCTTGAACTCCTGGCCTCAAGTCATCCACCTGCCTTGGCCTCCCAAAGTGCTGGGATTACAGGCGTGAGCCACTGCACCCAGCCGAGAAATATTCTTTTTTTAAAGAGTGGGGATTGGGCTTAGAATGAGAAACTAAGGTAGAGAGATAAAGTCTCTCTGAATGAGAAAGTACAACTTGTAAAATTCTCCAGGGTTAGAACTGGGGCTGTGTTCATCAACACTGAACATTCTTAAGAATAACCTCTACGTTGTAAGCTCCAGGTTTGTAGATTTTTAAAATTCTTCTTTGCTGTGAAATGCCAGTAGGAGTATTAGTACCAGGAAGTTGCATGTGTGGGCTAAAAAGTGATAAATGATCCTATTGTGGGCAAATATGAAATATTTAGAGAAAAGAATAACACAAATTATACTTGAAAGGTGATAATCTCAGCATAGTTGGTTCAATGCAAGTAAGAGAATCTAGAGGTTACTGTAGACTGCCTTCTCTAGTTTATATGCCCAGTCTGCTAGTGCAGCAAAAGAGGGCAGTAACAAGCTGGATATCATAGGGCAGGTGTTTTAGAAAGAACCTGAAAACATCACTTAGACCTTGAACAAAAGCTGCAGGTGTGTACATGCCTGAAACACTGGATATCTTTATCTCCAGAAGATCATACTAGATATCAGTACATAGTATCTTCTTCTTCTTATATTCTAATGTAGAATATTAGAACCCAGAAGCAGTCTCAGAGTTTGAGAGTGGTAAGTGAGTAAACCAGAAGTATTAGTTTAGCTTGGCTGCAGTTTTATTATACAGTAAAATCAGAATAGGCTAAGCATAGGGATTTAGTTATAGGGACTTAATAGGGAGGATGTGTGTATCTGTGAAGGCCATATAAATGCAACCCAGATAGTTCATCGTCTCTTGCCCCCACTAGTGATACCTAAACCACCTTCCTGCAACGTTCCCTTTTGTTTCCTGCTCTTTCATATTTTCGGGAATCCTCATGAAATTTTTCACCTGTATTTGGGGAAAAGTCCTATGAACTACCAACTACTGATGTTTACTTACCCTTCTCTGTCATCATCAAGCCCCTTTTCTAGGGTACTGCTGAGCACTGACACTTCCTTGGCACCATTAGATTATACTGGGGTATCACTGCAAATGTACTAAAGCCCCCGGGGTACACAGTCTTCAAGGTTCATCGGCAAAGAGGGAGAGAACACATAACCATTTTCCCCTAACATTCTTAGATGGGTACCGAAGCTGTACCTGTACTCAATTTTAGTGGAAATAAACCTTTTAGTTCTTACAGCTCCAGTGGGAAACTGGGGAAACTCTAAAGCAGACCCCGCACTAGGCTTCCCCATAATTTCTTCTCTTTTCAATGCGTGAGGTTCTGCTCCATGGTCAAGCTTCTGGTATCAGATTCCCTCTTTCCCTTAGACAGACTCGTTTTCTCCTGAGAGGCATCTCAGTTGTTCAAGTGACCTGGGGTGTTTTTCCTACAGTTCTAGCAAGGGGGAACGAAGTCCTACACTTTGAGGATGGCATAAGGGTACCATCTACTTAATTTTTTCAAAAAAGTAACAGGTCTCGTGGAAACGCGGGAACGTCACAGAGGACGTGACTTAAACGGAACTTGTAATGGAAATGATTTTCTAAATGAACAATTGCGAGACAAGCAAGGAAACCTCCAGGTTTGCAGATAACTTGATTAAAGCTCTTCCGGGTGGCAAAATGCCAGTGCAATCAATGGTATGAGTAGGGCGGACAGTGGATGAAACTTGTTGAGTAAATCTCAGGAGGAATTAGCACTGGACTTTCAGGTATTCTAACTCAATTCTAACCATTCCATTCTCTGGATCATTGGATAAGGTTCCGCAGGATCCGGGCGCCAGCTCTGGATACATTACTGATCGGGAGAAAATTTTGAATTTTTCTCTTGTCCCTTTCCAGCTTTCCTCAATATAGGATATGAGTTTGTCCTCGACCCCTAACAACATTTAAAGGTAAAGTCGCTCCTAGAAGGCAAAGCGGAGAGGACTTTGCGGCTGTGTTTCTCAAGCCCGTAAAGAGAGAGTAATAATGGTAGGGAGCGTGCAGACTAGCTCTTTCCTTGCCCAATCAAGTGTACAGGAAGATGTCCTTTCACCAATAAAAATAAAGTTCGCTTTCCGGAGGCGGGAGGGTGAGCCTTGACTGCCAGGGCTCCAAAGCAACGTTAGAGGCGAGGGCAGAGAATGATTAGAGGGAAGACCAACCCGGGAAAAGGGGCGGGGAGAAGGTAGGAGCAACTTTGAGCGGCGGCTGGCCAGGCCAGTGGAGGGCGAGGACTGCTGTTCCTGTTGTAGTGTTTCTCGCCAATCAGGAAGGCCAGGGGGCGGGCGGGGTAGGGAAGGGGTGGGAAGACCTCGCAGCACAGCCGGGCGCCCGTCGGGCTCTGGGAGAGAGCGAGAGAGAAATCCGGTTAAAATCAGAGTCGGAGGGAGGTTTAACCACAGATCGGTTCCGATCGGATTATTCCTTAAAGGGGACGCGCCATTGTCAAGAGAACGGAGCCAGGGGCCCGAGGGCGGGGACCGGCGGCGCTGGAGGAGCGAGGCAGCTGTACTAGGACTGGGAACGGGTAGGTGTTGACTGGGGAAAGGCGCTTCATTTTACTTTCTCTTCCAGCCCCGGGGCAGGCGCCGGGATGCCCGCCGCCGGCAGCCCAGCCTGGGCGGGAGACGAGGTCGTCGGCCCTCGCCAGCTGTCCTTCCTGGTGGGCGCCGAGGGAAGGCGGTCCAGGATGGCTGGCAAGCGGCGCGGCGCGGCCCGGGCCGGCGCTCGTAACGGACACCAAACCGCGGCGCAACCCCAGCCTCAACCGAAAGCCCGCCCGAGCTCCGGCGGTTCCGCCGGCAGCGCCGCGCGCCCGTCTCTCCCGCACGTCCCCTTCCCCTCCAGTGCCTGGCTCTTCTCGCGCGCGCCCGGGTACCCCTCGCGCGCCGCCTTCTCGCGCGTCCTGCTCTGGTCGCGCGCCGCCTCGCCACCGACTCGCGGGAGCCGCCCCGCGGGAAGGAAGGCGGTGGCAGAGGTGGAGGAAGACCGGCGACCACGGCTCCGCCGCCTCGGCTGGGAAGGGAGGGCTGAGGAGCAAACTTAGCGCGGCGGCTGGCGGGCCCCGGCGGGCAGGGCTGGCGGGGACCGGCGGAGCGCGCCAGCCCAGCCGGGCATTGTCCGCCTTTTCCCTTGCTCTGGTCTCTCCGCCCACTGCTCGCGGTCCTGGGGAGGGGTGCGGGCGCTGTGCCCGCGCAGCCCCGGGCCGTTGGCGTACCCCGGGACCCGGAGTCTTCCGGAGCCGGAGCCAGCCCTGCGGACACCGCGGCCACCGCCCGCGAGCTGACTCGGCCTGTAGATTGCCTGCTGCTCTCAGCCTCGGCACCGGGCAGGGTGCCTGGGCGCTGAGCTCTTCTTTGCAACTTTTATTTGCCGTTTGATGGAAGTTGTTGCTTCCGGGCGGCAGGTTCTTTGGGCACAGCCTGGTTTCCTGCGTTCTGGAGAGGCTGGTTTCTAGGGCGAAATGATTTATTGCTGCCGGTCTTTCCTGCCATCCTAGTTTAGTTCCTCGCCACCTAAAATCGCATTTTTGTGGATTTGCAATGATATGGGAGCATTAATCTTTCCTAGGCCAAGATTTGAAAAGAAAAAAAAGGGGGTGGGGGTTAGGGTGTGTGCTGGTGAGGAGCAAGAGTTCTTAGTAGAGCTGAGTTTGCCCTTACCTTTGAACTGCGGAAAATATTACTTCGATTCACTGGCTGGGGTTCTTTTGGAAGGGTAGGGGAAAAAAGACACAGCAAGACAGGTTGCCAGGGTCTGTCGGATTGGGGGGGAAAAAGGGTTTTGATGGAAGTAAAGTTGGTTTTATAAAATGCTGTGCTGCCTAGGAGATATCGTCTGTAAAGTTGATTCTGCTACTGAATTTACAGCCATTATAATTAGTACCAACAGCTTTTACTATTGATAAAAACTAGTATAAGACGTCTTTTCATCTTGAGCATTATCACTCTGCTTAATCTGTCAATACTTGCCGAGGAAATCAGAGATAGCACATTCCTTGTTAGAGGCCTTAGTGAAGAATGTTTTCATAAGCATTCATTTTTGACAGTTTCTTCTTGTGCAATACTTTATGTAGAGTACTTGCATGTGCAAGTTACAACCGTATAAACAAAGTAGCAGTGGGTGTGTTATTCTCTGGTCTTTTTTCTGCTACTCATTATCAAAAATAGCATTCCATCGTGTCTTGTCTTCCACTCTGAATTATTTTGTAAAATTAGTTCTCTAAAAGAGGGAATTCTGTTGGAACATGTGACCCAGTTTTTTTTTTTTTTATTAAAGCAGTCCAACTTTTTAAAGCGTTCATCGATTAATTTATTGTCTAGTAACTTCGGAGTGGTGTGGAACATTGTAAATTCACAGGCTCAGCAGTAACAATAGAGAAACTACTTGGGAAATTGGAAGCCAATATCAGATAATGTTTGAAATAAAAATCTATTCTTCTCACAGAATTTAGGAAATAAAGACACACAAAAACAAATTCTTTGGGTTCAAGTGATCCTCCCACCCCAGGCTCCGTAGTAGCCGGGACTACAGGTGGGCACGACTGCGCCTAGCTAAAATTTTTATTTTTTGTAGAGATGGTGGTCTCACTTTTTAATTTTTCGTATAGACGGCTGGTCTCCAACTCCTGGCCTCAAGCGATCCTTCTGCTTTGGCCTCTCAAAGTGCTGGGATTACAGACTGAGCCACCGTGCTTGGCCGTTTGTAGTAATCTTGATGGTATCTGGCATTGTTTCACCTAATATTTCTTCTTTTTTGTTTTTTTCTTTGATCCATTTCTGTGATAAGGATGTCAGGCAAGCAGCTAGGCATAATCTTCCTTCCCATCTCATAATAAAAGGAGACGGTTAAACCAAGTTTTTAAATGTCTGTCTTTGTTTACTTACCAATTTATTTAAACAATAAAAGAATTTCTCAACTTTTAGAAGAGAACATATGAATAAAACATTCAGAAATAATTATCTTTGAAATATCTAGACTGTATTTCCTGAAAAAGACTTTTTCCTCTTTTGTGCTTTCTACATTGTTTTAAACACATTGTTTTATATGCACACATTTCTTGAGTTATGAACTGTTTCTTGAGATCCTTGGGAGCCAGAATTATCCTCCATTTCTGTGCAGATTCACTGTATCACCTCGGACCTTTTTAGTACCCAATAAATGTCTTATTTTAGGTCTTTGTGACAGAAAAAGATAATGTCCTGTAAAGGCCGCTTGAGTTATTTAATTTTTTAAATAAACACCTTTCTGAACATTTTATACTAAAGGCCAGCAATTGGCTTACTGTTGGGGGAAGATATGTCAATCTAGAGGTTCTTTGTTCTGTGTACAAAATTGTGATTTGTTTATAATATCTGTTCCACAGACATCTTTTGTGATGGTGAACACATTGTCACAATTATTCACAATTATTCAGGACTAGGTTTTATGTGTCAATAAGATCTGTTGAGTATACTTTTATTTAAAGGGTATTATGTAAAGTAGAAACCGATGACAGAGTATTTATGGAGATAAAGTAGAACTGGATGACAGTCTTGCTCTAAATAGTTTTTGTTTTTTTTTTAAATTAGACCCAGAGCCAGCAAATCAGATGTATACAGTTTAATGAGAAGATGCAAAATTACGATTCTTAGGAAAAGGACAGTGGGTATGTCAGTGCAGTAACAAGTACAAAGTAACAGTGACACAGGATTCATGTAATTGAAATGATTGAAGTGGACAAGTTTTCATGGCTTTAGCAGATTTTAGAAAATATATTTTTAAATACATTTTTTAATAAAGTAGTTTTGGGGGTAGACTAGGTATATGTTGTCTACTCGAGCTATTTTTATGTATAAAATATTTTGGGGAGACAGAGTATGTGCTCTGAATTTCAACTATTGTTACATAGTGACAGGGATCATCCATCTGGCCCTGCTCAGATGTCACCTTGTCTGCAAGCTCTTCCTCTGTTCTCCTAATCCCAGGTGATTGTTCTTTGTTTTTGCTCCTGTAAAATCCTCTTACAGTACAAGCCATGGTCTGACTTACAGTATGGCTGTGTGTATATTTCTTTTATTAGATTGTGGAGTTTGCTAAAATTAACAGAAGTTAGAGCCCTTTCATTTTTACTGTTGCCTAAAGTACTTGGGCAGTTTTAATAGCCCACCAGTATTCTAGAAAATCACTTACTGTAAAGAAGTTTAAATTTAGTTTTATTTGGGTTTGGAAAGTGTGTATTTATGTTTAAAGGAGAAAAAGTTTTTGCTTATCAAAGTTTCACATGCTTGTTGTAAAATATTAATATGAAAGAAATGCATAATTTCAAAATTAAAAGTGGCTGGGTATGGTGGCTCATGCCTGTAATCCCAGGACTTTGGGAGGCTGAGGCGGGAAGATGGCTTGAGCCCAGGAGTTAAAGAGCAGTATGGGCAACAAAGGGAGACTCTGACTCTATTTAAAAAAAAAAAAAAGAAACGAAAAGTGTCACATAACACTGCTCCTATCACATTGTAACATTGTTAGTGGTTGTTTATTCTTTCAGGTTTTTTTTTTCCTTTTTTTCTTTTTCTTTTTTTTTTTAACCTCTGTATAGGACTGTCTTAAACTGTCTCTCATGCTTGCAAATTTTAGTTAGTAAATTACATTTATTGGGAGTGGGGAAAACTAATCATTTTTTATATACTTATCTTTAAAAATAATTTCTCCAGGCCTAGTAATTCTGGCAATTCTGGTTCCTTTTACCTTTTCTTAGGATACAAAGCTGCCACTAGTATGTTTGTGTTCAAAATGTAGACTTCATACTCTGCAAAAATTGATCAAAACCTGTGTGCCTGAACAGTTTATCTGCCTTTACCCCAGAATATTTTTGGAGTACATACTTTAATTTCTTCTTATTTCTTGATTATTCTTCTCAAGAGAGAGAGGATTAAAAATTGCTTTGAGACTCCCAGCGGGCACTCCTCATAGTAGCCCAAGGAGAAATGTAGATTTGTTCATGGTGGAATCACTCAAACGTTAAGTTGCTAATTATAAAAAGGGGGCTACAGTTTAGGCTGGTGAAGTAGGTGAGAAGAGTCTGTTGTTCCACGTCCTTCTTTAAGCTACCCCAGAGGGCAGAAAGGGTTTCCAAAGGATCCTAAATAGAAAACCCAGCTGTAAGCAGCCAGGCGGCCTAATCAGCTGAAAAAAAAATCTTTCATTTAGCAGACTTTTGAGAACTGCATCTATAGTGTGTACCATGCTAGGCATTGAGGGTAAGATTAAGTTTGTATCTGTCACAAGTTATGAGCTCCTCTGAGCAGGAACCTTAAATAGACCAGTGCAGAGTGGAACATGTGGATTAAAGGTAGCTTAGATGAAGTGCACCCTTTGGTGAACTTATTATTCACTCATTTGTTTATTTTTCGGCATAGCCTCTTCCAAAATAGCCTAGCACACAAACCTGGGCTTCCACAGGAGGTGGGTTAAGGTCCATGGAACCTCTTGAATTAAACTTGTTAGCTTAGAGTTGTTTTTTGGGATTGCAAACACTGCTGTTCCTGTGGGGCGAAATATTTCTGAAATTCTGCAAACGTAATTGTGTCTTTCCTTATACTTTACAGGTATCGTGCATTTCAAAGAATATCATTATGAGACTACATGGGTATCCTAGCAAATAACTCATATTTTGCTGACATAGTAGTAATACATTCTTTTAAGCTCAAAATGCTATAATAAATACATGTCTTTACCAGGATTTGTGCTTTTTGTTACGAAAAATATTATTTTGAAAAATCATTGGCTGGACGCGGTGGCTCACGCCTGTAATCCCGGCACTCGGAGACTGAGGTGGGCGGATCACTGAGGATAGGAGTTCGAGACCAGCCTGGCCAACATAGTGAAACCCTGTCTCTACTTAAAATACAAAAAAATTAGCCGGGTGTGGTGGCACATGCCTGTAGTCCCAGGTACTCTGGAGTCTGAGGCAAGAGAATCGCTTGAACCCAGGAGGCGGAAGTTGCAGTGAGCCGAGATCACGCCACTGTGCTCCAGCCTAGGTGACAGAGCAAGATTCCTTCTCCAAAAAAAAAAAAAAAATTATTTGTATTAAAATTCAGTGTGAAATATTTTTAACTTTGACAAAATAGATCCCCCTACCACCCTCCTTTTCCCATTCAGTCTTTATATTTGTGGGGGAAAGATTGGAGTGTTAAGAAAGGGACCATGTAACACTGTCAGTGATGGTGTGTTGACTGGGCCAGGAATAATATCTGACAGAGGGGTAGTAGTTCCTGTGGAATTTGACCATAATGCAGCAGTTTTGATATGTTAAGTTTTGTGAAGAGTTAAAATTTTAAAGTGACAGCTTTTTTGAAATATAATTCGTATGCCATATAATTTACCTATTAAAAATGTACAATTCAGTGGTTTTTATTCTATTTCAGAGTTGTATACCATAACCTCAATTAATTTTAGAACTTTTTCATCCCATCCCCACCCCATCCCCAGCCCTAGGCAACCACTGATCCATATTCTTTGTTTCTATATTTGCCTATTTTGGACATTCTATATAAATAAAAAATAACATTTTATTAAATGTACATTCCTGCGTAACTTGATCCCTCTCAATGTGTGTAAGTACTGTAAATAGATTCAAGTACATCATTCCTTGATGTGGGTAGCTCCAAGTTTAGAAAGGTACTTATTTATGTATTTATTTGATACAGAGTCTCACTCTGTTTCCCAGGCTGGAGTGCAGTGGTGCAGTCACAGCTACAGTTTCCACTGTAGCCTCCACCAGCTGGGCTCAAGTGATCCTCTCACCTCAGCCCCGTGAGTAGCTGGAACCACAGGCATGTGCCACCACACCCAGCTATTTTTTGTAGAAAGAGGATCTTGCCATGTTGCCTAGGCTGATCTTGAACTCCTAGGCTGAAGCTATCTGCCTGCCTTGGCCTCCCAAAGTGCTGGGATTACAGGTGTGAGCCACCGTAGAAAGGTTTTAAGAGAAAATTTAACCCATCATTATTCTACCTAAGCCTGGAGAATAATAGGAAATTTTTTTTTTCCCCTATGAAAACCATTAGACTCATTCTGGTAACACTTCCTTATACTAACATAATCATTTGATGACTCTTTTCAAGTAAACAATTTAGGTTTCGAGTTCTGCAGACTGGACTCAAATAAAGGGCAATACTTTAAAGGAAGTTAAAAGTACTTAGTTCTAATCGTTGATGAATGTGATGTGACATTTGCCCCTTACTGGTTAAAAAAATAGTGCTTCGTAGATTGATCATGATGGATTTGCATTACTCTTGCATATTGCTAGTGACTTGGTAGACCCTTAATAAGTGCTTATTGATTGGCTGATCACTATGATCACAGATATTTTCATCAGCTCTACTAGTCTTTATCTTGCGTCTTATAATAATAATGATAGATAATCTGTTGACTACTTGCTAAGTAGTGTGATAAGTAATTTATATGTACCATATTTTAAGGTAGGAGGATGCAGTTTACATTTTGAGAATTTTTTGTAGTTGTCTCTGTTGATTATACTTTTACAGGCTTCTGATCATTTCTTTGTCTTTTTAAGACTATTTTGAGTGACTATTTTTGATCAAATGTAAGACACTTTGATGCTGGTGCTTCCTTGATCTTTCCAGGAGGAATCAACTGAACGTTTTCACCAACGACATCCCACTGTTGGATGACAGTAGTTGTAAGATACACCTCTATTTCAGCGTCCATACTTCAGAAAGGTTAAAAGTGTTGTTGTTGTTAAAAGCATCTGAAAGTTGATGAAAAAGGAACATTAGTTTGTTTACTTACTGCAGTGCAGCCTTGCTTTTTAGGATATAAACCACTCACGTGTTCTTTGTTGCCTGAATGGATTTCAGTGTAGTATTTCCACTTCTCAGAATTCTTGTTTTGTTCTGCTTTTTTTTTTTTTTTTTTTTTTTTTGGTAGGTCTCTTCATTTCAGGGTAAGCTTCAGATGTGATTTAATTTAGTTCAATAGTAAAGAATGCTGGAAAGATAATTTGTAATTTTATTTTTCCATTTTAAAACTTAAGATGGGTTATGCCATCTATAATACTGGTTAAAAATATTAGTTTGATGAATGTGCATCTTAATAAATGTACATTCCTGTGTAACTTGATCCCTCTCAATGTGTATAAATAGTATGAGTAGATTCAAGTACATCATCCCTTGATGTATGTAGATCCAAGTTTAGAAAGGTATTTATTTATTTTTTTGACACAGAGTCTTGCTCTGTTGCCCAGGCTGGAGTGCAGTGGTGCAATCACGGCTCACTGTGGCCTTTACCGGCAGGTCTCATGTGACTATCAAGTGAATTACTATCAAAAATAGAGGTTCAAAATAATCTTAAAAAGACAAAGACTTGCTAGCCTGTAGAAGTGTAAAGTATAGTTAATGGAAACAATTACAAAAAATTCTCAAAATATAATCTGCATCCTTCCACCTTAAAAGATGGTACATATACATTATTAATACTTATACCTTACTTATTAAGTAGTCAATAGATTTAGTGACATTCGTATGTCTGGGATGTCAGTGAACTCACAACAATTTATTTGCAAAAGGAACTCTAGCCAATTAGTGTCCTCAGCCAGCAATGTACAGAGAATCATATTTTGTTTGTTGGTGAAACCATTCCTTTCTAAATCATGTCTGCTTTTGGGGGTTGATTTGCTTATTACTTTATTGTTAACTGTTATCTCTTTGTTTGCTCTCATTATGCCTGCCCATAGTAGTCTCCTCTTTATAATTTGATGTTTTCAGTGTGCTGTGGGAACAGAACCCCATACAGTACTTGCTGAATGGTGGATAAAAATGACAGCATGTTCTTCTGGGTGAGGAACCAGAAGACTTTCTGTGCATGGAGCTTTAGTGCTAGGGACTTGTTGTTTTTTACTGCTTAGAGGACTCGTGCTTTTTTTCTGGTTTTTGACTCTGTTTTGGCTAAGTGATGCTTCTGGATAGCCGAGGATGGTATAACAGGATGGTAGATGCTACCCTGTGGATGTTTAACTTCCTCTGAATAATAAACCTCTAAAAATTGTCTTGTTAAGTCTAACTCAAGTGGATGGAGAAGAACTGTTTTTCCTGTTAGAATGACTTGCTAGTCTACTTCTTGTAAGAACCATCAAAACCCTAAGCATGTATACTAGGATACTTAGATCTACTGGTATATTGTTACAATGTAAGTCAAAGAGCAGATATTAAAAGTCTTAAAGCACTATGAGATTGCTTGTAAAATAGCCAGATGTGTCTGTTACCTAAATATTTTTGTTTAAACTGGATCTTAATCTGTTTTCTTTGAGGTAAAATTATCTTTATAGATGCATTTTTCTGTATTTGTGTTGATACAATTTAGACCATGTCTTGTATGTAATATTCCTGATACTACTGAACCCTTAATATACTTTCAGTAAATACTAGTTACAGTTTGTCATGCATTTTTTCATTGTTTCACCTTTTCCTGCCTTAGAGTTAATGTTTTTGGAGCTAGAATGTCCTTAGGAATGATACAGTAGAATTTCTGCATTTTATAGATGAGAATGAGACTGTGACTTGTTTAGAATTGTTCTTTTTCTGCAGATGTAGATTTGAAAGGAAATAACAAAAAACAAACAAAAAAAGAACTGTGCTTTGATTCTTAGTTTAGTATTTTTCCTGTTCTAACATTTTTCCTGTTCTAATGTTCTTCCCAAGGTAAAAATTTTAAGGGAGGGATAGTAGCTTGGAATTTTGTAGCCTCTGTAACAGAAGTCTGCAAAAATTTTATTTCAGCAGTATAAAAAATTGAGTCTTCATTCCCAATATGTGTATGCTTATTTATTGTAAACTATATACTATAAATTATGTTCATAATAAGACATTAACCCGGGCGTGGTGGCTCACACCTGTAATTCCAGCACTTTGGGAGGCTGAGGCGGGCAGATCACCTGAGGTTGCGAGTTCGAGACCAGCTCAACCAACATGGAGAAACCCCATCTCTACTAAAAATACAAAATTAGCCAGGCGTGGTAGTGCATGCCTGTAATCCCAGCTACACAGGAGGCTGAGGCAGGAGAATCACTTGAATCCGGGAGGCGGAGGTTGCGGTGAGCCGAGATTGCACCATTGCACTCCAAACTGGGCAACAAGAGCGAAACTCTGTCTCAAAAAAATAAAAAATAAATAAAAAATAAAAAAGACATTAACAAAAAAATGTGATAAGGATGAAAAACATTTTCAAATAATTTAAAATATATTAGTTCCATGTTTTTGATCCTACTTAAAATATTAGTAATTTGTAAAATAAGAAAAATGTGATTGAATATCATCACTTAAACATTTTTTTTTAAATTTTGAAGTATTTATAGACTCATGGGAAGTTGCGAGAATAGTACAGGGAGTCCTGTGTCACCTTCATTCAGCTTCTCCCAGTTGTAACATCTTACATAAGATAACATATTAATAACCTTAACTAGGAAACTGATACAATATCGTTAATATTCAGATTTCATGTTCTTTAATGTGCTCATTTGTATGTATATGCGTGTGTACAGTTCTATGCAATTTGATAAAATTCTTGTATATGCCTTTGTATGTGTATGTACAGGTAGATTTGTATAACTGCCACCACCACAGTCAAGATATAGAACTGTCCCACCACTGCCAAGAAACTCCCTCGTGAAGCTCAAGGTTCCCCCCTACCTCCTTTTCCGTATTTACTGGCAGCCACTAATTCTCTTTTCACTCTATCATTTTGAGAATGTCTCATAAATGGAATCATACTGTATGTAACCTTTTGCGATTGACTTTTTCACTTAGTATAAAGTCCTAGAAAACCATCCAACCTGTCTCACTCAATAGCTTATTTCTTCTTATTGCTGAGTAGTATTTATTGTATGAACGTAGCAGAGTACATAGTTTAACTCTTCACCTGCTGAAGAACATAGGAGCTATTTCCAGGTTTTGGCTGTTAACTAAAAAGCTGCTGGGAATATTTATGTGCAGTTTTTAGGTTTTCATTTCTCTGGGATAAATGACCAAGAGTGCAATTACTGGGTCATACTGTAAGTGTATGTTTAGTTTTATAAGAAACTACCAGACTGTTTTCCAAAGTGGCTGTATGTTTTCACCAGCAATATATGGAAAGTTCCATTTCATCGATATGAAAGTTTCTCTATATCCTCTCCAACATTTCGTATTATCATTATTTTATATTTTAACTGTTCTAGTAGTATTGTATTGATAATGTTGTGGTTTTAATATGCCTTTCCCTAAATTAACTGTTTCCCTAAGGGGCAAATGGGATTGTTTTTTATTGTAGAGTTTTGAGGATTCTTTATATATTCTAGATAGAAGTTCTTTGCCAGTTATGTGGTATGTAAACATTTTCTCTGCATCTGAAGCTTGTCTTTTTATCCTCTTAATAGATCTTTCATAGAACAGAACGTTTGCCTTTTCGTATAGTCCGTCTGTTATTTATTTTTTTTGAGACAGGGTCTCATTCTGTTACTCAGGCTGGAGTGCAGTGGTGCAATCATGGTTCACTGCAACCTCTACCACCTGTCAAGTGATCCTCCCATCTCAGCCTCCAGAGTAGCTGAGACTACAGGCCTGCACCACCACCATGCCCAGCTAATTTTGTTTTTGTTTTTGGTAAAGACAGGGCGTCGCTGTGTTGTCCAGGCTGGTCTTGAACTCCTGGCCTCAAGCAGTCTTCCTGCCTCAGCCTTGCAAAGTGTTGGGATTACAGGCATGAGCCACTGTGCCGAGCCATATAATGCATTTAATCAATTTTTTTGTTCTATGAATTGTACCTTTTTTTTTTTCTTTGAGACAGAGACTCGCTGTGTCACCCAGGCTGGAGTGCAATGGCGCACTCAACATCCACCTCCTGGGTTCAAGTGATTCTCCTACCCTAGCCTTCTGAGTAGCTGGGATTACAGGCGCCCGCCACCACACCCGGCTAATTTTTGTATTTTTAGTAGAGACAGGGTTTCACCATGTTGGTCAGGCTAGTCTCAAACTCCTGACCTTGTTATCTGCCTACCTCAGCCTTCCAGAGTGCTGGGATTACAGGCGTGAGCTACTGCAGCCGGCTGAATTGTACTTTTTGTGTCAAGTCTATGGACTCTTCACCAAGTCCTAGGTCCTGAAGATTTTCGCCTCTGTTTTCTTCTGAAAGTTTTATGTTTTACAAAATAATCACTTTTTTACCTTATATTTTTGATAAAGCACTAATATTGGTAACAGAGCAACTGCCAGTGCTACGATTTTCGTTTTGTTTGCTTGTATTTTGATGTATTAATATTATGCGTAATCTGTCCTTCTTTGTAAAAATCTTTTAAGAATCCATTTGTGCGTTTGTGAGTGCTATCGCAATTCAGATGAGATCTGTAAATCTACTTAGTTGGGCACCTGTAAGCTGCAGTGTGTTGCAATATGCTGGAAGGGAACAAATGAGAGGACATCACAAGGCATCCCTCAGGGTGTGCAACTGCCACCTTTCCTTTAGGAAACCTTTACGTACTGTATTCAGTGTCAGGAAAAGAAACATCCCTGAGTATTTTAAGCTAGAAGAGGTTTAATGCAAGGTGCTTACCGAATTATTAGAAGGGCCAAGCAGCAGTTTTAGGGTGGACTGCCACATTTGACTCCAAATCAATCAGAGGTTACCCACAAGGGGATCTCTGAGGGCACCGCTGGGGCTGTGCTGGAATCTAGAGCTTGTGCTGTTGGCGTCCTTGCCTCTGGATACTCTACAGACTGGAGAATGGACCCGTAGCTGCAATCCAGGATTAGGAAGTTGGAGGAAGAAGCCTCTGCTGCTGCCACCACTACCACACTGCTTCCCACCACCCAAGATGAGAAAATGCATGCTGTACATTAGGTTTTCAGAACTTACTCATCTTATAAACTGAAAGTTTGTACCGTTTCACCAATATTCCCCTTTTCTCCCACCCACTGGTTCTGGCAACCACCATTCTACTCTGTTACTCTGAGTTTGGCTTTTTAAATTTTAGATTCCATATATTAGTGAGATCATGCAGTATTCGTCTTTCTGTGTTTGATTTATTTCACTTAGCATAATGTCCTCCAGGTTCATCCACGTGGTTGTAAATGGCAGGATGTTCTTTTTTAAGGCGAATAATATTCTGTTGTGTGTGTATGTGCATGATATGGTTTGGCTTTGTGTCCCCACCCAAATCTCATGTCGAATTGTAATCCCCAGTGTTGGGGGAGGGACTTGGTGGGAGGTGATTGGATCATTCGGTCAGATTTCCCCCTTGCTCTTCTTGTGATAGTGAGCGAGTTCTCAGAAGATCTGGCTGTTGTCCTTTGAAAGTGTGTAGCACATCCCCCTTCCCTCTCTCTCTCCTACTGGCCATGTGAAGGCGGTGCGTGCTTCCTCTTCACCTTCTGCCATGATTGTAAGTTTCCTAAGGCTTACCCAGAAGCAGAAACCTGTACAGCTTGCAGAATTATAAGCCTTAAATATCTCTTCTCTATAACTTACCCAGTCTCAGATATGTCTTCTAGCAGTGTGAGAACAGACTAATACAGTGGATATATATTTATTATATAATACAATACATATTTTATATATAATATATAAAATATATAATATATAATATATAGATATATATTATGATTTTTTATCCATTCATCTGTTTTTTAACATCAAAATTCATAATTTTAATGAATTGAAAACATTAAATCTATGGAAATCCGTGAATCTACAGAAGAAAATGCTTATTTGACATCATTTAAGGTGACTCTTAAATCACCTCCTTACTTTGAAAACTGGTATTTAAAGGTGTAAAGAATTAAGCCTTTGCACTACTTGATGAATGCCTTTACAAAAAAAGAAAAAAGAATGAAGCCTTTGTTCTGACTTCCTAGCACTGATTATTTTGAGGAATTTTAAATTGTATTGTATGTGATATTGTTTCAGTTGAGAGGTAAATCTTCTTGGTTTTGAGATGCATCCTGTGAGTCTGCTCTCGGTTCCTCCTACTCAGGGCCCCCTGTGACTGGGTGGATCATGGCTCTTTGCCTTGCTCTAGCTGAGAGATCAGAGCTGGTTGGAAGTGGGTGATATTGGGAAGGCCAACAGCCTCAGAGCCCTCCTGCATCACATCCCTGCACAAGGGCCTCTGAGTAGGCATCAGGCTGGCCCATTCTGCTTAGTGAAATATACCAGCATGTCTCCAAAAGTCACTGATTCCTGGGGCCTGGAATCTGACCTCTTTTATTGACAGCTGTCATCTGACCTCTTTTATTTGTGTCTTGAAGGAAGGTAAAAGTCTCAGGAGTGTGGACTCTGACTAGCCCCTGCAGCTTCTCAGGGAACAGAGATTGTAGCCATCGTGTGTAGTTCCTCACAAACCAGACTCACAACAGCACATTATGGCTATTGTGAATAACGCCACAGTGAACGTGGGAGTACAGATATCTCTCTGAGATTGTGATATTATTTACTTTGGATATATACCCAATAGTGAAATTGCTGGATCATTTGGCAGTTATATTTTTAATTTTTTGAGGAACCTCCATACTGTTTTCCCAGATGACTGTACCAATTTACATTCCCACCAGCGTATGCAAGCATTCCCTTTTCTCCACATCCTCACCAACACTTGTTATAGTTTGATACTGGCCATTCTGGGTGTGAGATAACTCATTGTGGTTTTTACTTTGCATTTCCCTGATGTTTAGTGATATTGAACACCTTTTTATATACCTATTGGTCTGTTTGTATGTCTTCCTTTGGAAAAATACCTATTCTGTACCTTGCCCATTTTTAAATTGGGCTTTTTTACTGTTGTTATTGAGTTGTATGAATTCCTTATATATTCTGAAAATTAACCTCTTTTTGGATATATGGTCTGTAAATATTTTCTCCCATTTTGTAGGTCATCTTTTCATTTTGTTGTTTCCTTAGTTGTGCAGAAACTTGTTAGTTTGACATAGTCCCACTTGTTTTGCTTTGTTGCCTTTGCTTTTGGTGTCAAATCCAAAAAAAAAATCATTGCCAAGACCAGTGTCATGGAGCTTTCCCCCTATGCTTTTTCTAGTAGTTTTATGGTTTCAGGTCTTATGTTTAAGTCTTTAATCCATTTTGAATTGATATATGTGTATGTGCAATATAAGGATCCAATTTCATTCTTCTGCATGTGACTATCCAGTTTTCCCAAACCATTATTGAGGAGACTGTCCTTTCCCCCTTGTACATTTTTGGCACCTTTGTTGAAAATTAGTTTACTGTATATTTATGGGTTTATTTCTGGGCTCTCTATTTTGTTCTATTGGTCTCTATCTGTTTTTATGCCAATCCTATACTGCTTTGATTGGTATAGCTTTGTAATGTGGTTCAAAATCAGGAAGTGTGATACCTTCAGTTTTGTTGTTTTTGGTCAAGATTGCTCTAGCATTTGGGGCCCTTTGTGGTTCCATATGAATTTTAGAAATCTTTTTCCTGGCTGGGCATGGTGGCTCACACCTGTAATCCCGGCACTTTGGGAGGCCGAGGTGGGGGGATCACTAGGTCAGGAGTTCAAGAGCAGCTTGGCCAACATGGTGAAACCCCGTCTCTACTAAAAATTCAAAAATTAGCTGGGCATGGTGGTGTGCGCCTGTAATCCCAGCTACTTGGGAAGCTGAGGCAGGAGAATTGCTTGAACCTGGGAGGTGGAGGTTGCAGTGAGCCAAGATGGTGCCACTGCACTCCACACTGGGCAACAGAGCAAGACTTCATCTCGGGGAAAAAAAAATCACTTTTCCTATTTCTGTGAAAAATGCCGTTGGAATTTTGATAGGGATTGCCCCAAATCTATAAATTGCTTTGAGTAGTATGGTTGTTTTTACAAAATAATATTCTTTCAATTCGTGAACATGGGATATTTTTCTATGTAATGGTGTCACCTTCAATTTCTTTCACATACAGCTCTATCCCTTCCTTGTTTAAATTTATTCGTAAGTATTCTTCTTGATGTTGTTGTAAACAGGATTGTTTTCTTTTACAGATAGTTTATTGTTAGTGTATAGAAATGCAGTTAATGTTTTTTCTTTTCTTTTCTTTTCTTTTTTTTTGAAACAGAGTCTCGCTTTGTTGTTCAGGCTGGAGCACAGTGGCATGATCATGGCTCACTGGAGCCTTGACCTCCTGGGCTCAAGTGATCCTCCTGTGTCAGCCTCCCACGTAGCTGGGACCATAGGCACACACCATCATACCCGGCTAACCTTTTGATTTTTTTGTAGAGACAAGGTCTCACTTTGTTGCACCGGGCTGGTCTTGAACTCCTGGACTCAAGCAGTCCTCCTGCCTTGACCTCCTAAAGTCCTTGAATTACAGGTGTGAGCCACGGTGCCTGGCTTCAATTAATTTGTGTCTGTTGATTTTGTATCTTGCAACTTAACTGAATTTAATTTATTTATTTATTTATTTATTTTTGAGATAGAGTCTTGCTCTGTCACACAGGCTGGAGTTAAGTGGCACAATCTCAGCTCACTATGACCTTCGCTTCTTGTGTTCAAGCTATTCTCCTGCCTCAGCCTCCCGAGTAGCTGGGATTACAGGCACCTGCCACAATGCCTGGCTTAATTTTTATATTTTTAGTAGAGACGGGGTTTCACCACATTGGCCAGGCTGATCTGGAACGCCTCACCTCAGGTGAGCCGCCCGCCTCATACTCCCGAAGTGCTGGGATTACAGATGTGAGCCACAAAGTCCAACCTGAATTCATTTGTTAGTTTAATTGGTTTTTGTGGAATCTTTAGGGTTTCCTATATATAAGATTATATACGTTAAAAACATACAGTTTTACTTCAGCCTTTCCTATATGGACTTCTAGTACATGTCGAGTGGAAGTAGTAAGAGTGGGTACCCTTTTCTTGGCTGATCTTAGCGGAAAACCTTTAAGCTTTTCAGTGTTTAGTATGACCTTTGCTGTGAGCTTATCATACATGGCCTTAGTAAAGCTCAAATTTTAACTTTAAGATAACAAATACATGTAATCCTCTAGGATTTTCTTTACTCATTGCCTTGATCATCTTACTTTTAAGGGGTACATGTACTCCACTTTGAATTTAATACATTTTGAATGATTAAGTATTAGGAACATAGGTCTGATGTGACTTTTTTTTCCAAGTTTTTTTTTAAGAGACAAGGTCACACTCTGTCATCCAGGTTGGAGTACAGTGGTGTGAACATAGCTCACTGCAGCCTGGAACTCCTGGGATCAAGCGATCCTCCTGCCTCAGCCTCCCGAGTAGCTGGGACTGCAGTTGCATGTCATCATGTCCAGCTAAGTTTTAAATTTTTTTTGGAGACAGGGTCTTGCCAAGCTGCCCAGCCTGGTCTCAAACTCTTGGCCTCAAGCAATCCTCCTGCCTCAGCCTCTCAAAGTGCTTGGAATTAGAGGCATGAGCCACCTTGCCTGGCCTCCAAGTATTTAAATTTATCCAAAATCTCTCAATTTCTGAAACCATATCTTTTTTTTTTTTTTTTTTTTTTTACAGATCTGTACAAATATAAAATATTGTTGTTTGGGGAAAGTCATTAAATTCAGTCAACATAATTCTTTCTTTACTATTAGGACCTGAGCCTTGTCTCTGTTTAACACCTGTATTTTTCCTAGCTTTCCCTGGAGAATAGTATAAAAGGTTGGGTCTTTTCCTAGAACCATGCTTTTATGCCAGAAGTCACATAGCCAGAGTCATCATTATTTTGATATATTTTTGTTGAAAATAATTAAAGTTTGATTTGTTTTATTGTATACTTTGGATTTTATTCCTGGATAGAGCAACTTTTGGCACAAAACTAAAAATGAGACATGCAAAAATCCTTGCAAAGACTGGTTTTATATGGTATGTGATGGTGATCAATTTAAAATCCAATAAAATAAGTTGTATGAAAAATTTTAGTGTGTGTTCATGTGCATTTTTCCAGTGAGAGGTTTGTGGTTTTCATCAGATTCTCAGAGCAGGGCCCAGCACACAAGAAAGATTAAAAATGGCTCCTTTAGAGGTATAAGTTACATCAAAGACATTTGCCAATCACCTCAACACCAAAGCTTCTGCCATCTGTCACATACCCTCCCCTGATTTCCATCCTGTGTCTGTAACCTTTCCTTAGGGACATTAAAAATAGAATTTATTGTTACCCAAGTGTTTAGGAATAGGCCAAGAAGCAACACAAGAGTTCATTATTAGAGGAGAAGAGACACTTGGAAGTCAGTTATATTACCCCAGCAATCATTTTTTTAAGAAGGATGTTCATACATTCACATATGGTTGATGGGATCCTGCAAAACAATAGGCTCTATGTGTCAAGATATGTTAAAATGTTCATAATATCTAAGCCAATATATTACACTTTGGGGAATGTCTTCATCAGTTCTGGCTGCAATAACGAAGTACCTTAGACTTCATGGTTCATAAACAATAGAAATTAATTTCTCATAGTTCTGGCAGCTGGAATTCTGAGATCTGCATGCCAGCATGGTTGGATGCTGGTGAGGACCCTCCTCCAGGTTGCAGACTTTGGACTTCTCTGTGCATCCTCACTTGGTGGAAAGAGAGCTAGTTAGCTCTCTTGCCTCTCCTGGGCACTAATCCTATTCATGAGGAATCTACCCTCATAACCTGATTACTTCCTAAAGGTCCCACCTCCTGTCATCACTTTGGGTAGAGATGTAGCCATACGCCTAACAATGGGGATACATTCTGAGAAATGTGTCCTTAGTGACTTTTGTCATTGTGCGAACATCATAGAATGTACTTACTCAAAACCAAGATGGTACAGCCTGCTACACATCTAGGCTGTATGATATAGTCTCTTGCTCCTAGGCTACAAACCTTTACACCATGTTACTGTACTGAACATTGTAGGCAATTGTAACAAATAAGTATTTCTATGTTTAGATACTTACTCGTCTAGATACTTTTCTATGTTTAGATACTTTCTTGTATCTAAACAAAGAAAAGTACAGTAGACATAGGGCATAAAAGATTAAAAAACCTATATAGGGCACTTATGAATGGAGTTTACAGGAGTAGAAGTTGTTCTGGGTGAGTTAGTAAGTGAGTGGTGAAGTGAATCTGAGGGCCTAGGATATTACTGGACACTTTTATATGACTGGCAGTGCAGAGATTTGTTTATATCAGCATTACCTCAGACACATGAGTAGTGCATTGCCTTTTGACGTTACTGTGGCTACAGTGTCACTAGGCTATAGGAAGTTTTCAGCTTCATTATAATCTTGTGGGACCAATTATAATCAGTCGTTGATGTAACATCATTATGCACCCACGATTTTATATAAATATGTTGGATAGTCACATCTGTGTCACCTTTTCACATAATTTTACCCTTGTTTCTTAATATATGGCCTCTTCTCATTCACCAAAGCCTACATGGAATATAGCATGGTGAAAAGTAGAAATGTAAAATTATTTTTTTCAAACAAAATTATATACAGGGATCTCAAATATAAGGAGACAGAAGGAGAAAGTGGTTTTGGTTGAAGTAGAAAGCAAGAAGATCCTTACTTTTTGTATATTTCCTCTTCAACACACACACACACACACACACACACACACACACACACACACAGACAGAGTAATAATAGAGAGTAGCGAGGGTGGCCGGGGGCGGTGGCTCATGCCTGTAATCGCAGCACTTTGGGAGACTGAGGCAGGTGGATCACTTGAGGCCAGGAGTTCTAGACCAGCCTGGTCAACATGGCGAAACCCCTGTCTTTACTAAAAATAAAAAAATTAGCCTGCCATGGTTGTGCACGACTGTAGTCCCAGCTACTCGAGAGGCTGAGGCATAAGAATCACTTGAATCCAGGAGGCGGAGGTTGCAATGAGCTGAGATTGCACCATTGCACTCCAGCCTGGGCGACAGAGTGAGAGTCTGTCTCTAAATAAATAAATAAACAAATAAATCTACAGTTAACATCATACTTACTGATGAATGACAACATTTTCCCTAAGGTCAAGAACAAGACAAGGTTATTCTAAAAGTATTCCACATTGCCCTGGAGTGCTTGCAATAAGGCAAGGAAAAAACAAAACAAACAAACAAAAAAACACAAGGCATGTGAATTGGAAAAGAAGAAGTAAAACTCTTTATTTGCAGACTATATAATAATGTGTATAGACAACCCTAAGATAAATTCTTCAGAATCTAGAAAAAAATGATTAGAACAAGTAAGTGAATTCAGCAAGGTCACAGGATTATAAAATCAGTGTAAAATGAATTTTATTTCTATATAACAGCAAAGAACAATTAGAATATAAAGTGAAAATTAATATACATGCCATAATTGGAAGGTTGAGGCATGAGAATCTCTTGAACCCAGGAGGCAGAGGGTTGCAGTGAGCTGAGATTGCACTACTGCACTCCAGCCTGGGCCACAGAGCGAGACTCCATCTCAAAAAAAAAAAAGTGAGGGCTTCAGAAATAGACTGATGAAGGGTGGAGTCTCTGAATCTTGGTTCTGTTGTACTTCAGGTCAAGTTATTTAAAGTCTCCAAAAATACCATGGGTAGCCTTAGATTCTACATATATAAAATGAGGGAAAAAAAATTCCTTTAGAGTTGTGAGGATCAAATAAGATGTAAAGGATGCACATAACATAGTGCTTGTGCTAGGCAGAATAGGAGCCCTCCAAAGATGTCCACACCCTAATCCCTAGAACCTGTGCATGTTATGTTCCATGGCAGAAGGAATGAAAGCACCAGATGGAATTGAAGTTGCTAATCAGCTGACCTTGTAATAGGGGGGTTAGCCTGGATTACTGGCTGGGCCTAATGTCATCACAGGGGTCCTGAAAAGTGGAAGCAGAAGAGTCAGAACCAGCAAGACCAGACGCAGGTTGCTCACACCTGGAATCCCAGCACTTTGGGAGGCCGAGGCGGAAGGATCCTTTGAGCCCAGGAGTTTGAGACCAGCCTGGGCAACACAGTGAGCCCTCATCTTACAAAAATAAATTCAAAAAATCAGGCAGGCATCCCTGAGTGAAGGAAGTGGGGCACCCTCTAAACTTCTAAAGCCAAGAAAACGGATTCTTAGCTGCTGACATCTTGAATTTAGCTGTGAGACCTGTTTTGGACTTCCGACCTCCAAAACTGTAAGATAATAAATGTGTGCTGTTTAAAGCCACTACATTTGTAGTACATTTTTACAGCAGCAATGGGAAACTGGTATAGTGCCTACAACATACATATTGGTAGCTAAATAAACATTTTATTTCTTAACACAACCTGCTAACCTTAACCCTTGTCTGCTACAACACATCTAGTTTTCCTTTTTGTGAGAAAAAGGTGTCCATTTTCTTTTCACTTGAGCCTCAGAAGCCTGTTTCTTTCTTTTTTTTATTATTATTATACTTTAAGTTCTATAGTACATGTGCACAATACGCGGGTTTGTTACATATGTATACATGTGCCATGTTGGTGTGCCGCACCCATTAACTCGTCATTTACATTAGGTATATCTCCTAATGCTATTCTCCCCCCTTCCCCCAACGCCATGACAGGCCCTGGTGTGTGATGTTCCCCACCGTGTGTCCCGGTGTTCTCATTCTTCAATTCCCACCTGTGTGTGAGAACATGCGGTGTTTAGTTTTCTGTCCTTGTGATAGTTTGCTGAGAATGATGGTTTCCAGCTTCATCCATGTCCCTACAAAGGACATGAACTCATCCTTTTTTATGGCTGCATAGTATTCCATGGTGTATATGTGCCACATTTTCTTAATCCAGTCTATCATTGATGGACATTTGGGTTGGTTCCAAGTCTTTGCTATTGTGAATAGTGCCACAATAAACATACGTGTTCATGTGTCTTTATAGCAGCTTGATTTATAATCCTTTGGGTATATACCCAGTAATGGGATGACTGGGTCAAATGTTATTTCTAGTTCTAGATCCTTGAGGAATCGCCACACTGTCTTCCACAATGGTTGAACTAGTTTACAGTCCCACCAACAGTGTAAAAGTGTTCCCATTTCTCCACATCCTCTCCAGCACCTGTTCTTTCCTGACTTTTTAGTGATCGCCATTCTAACTGGTGTGAGATGGTATCTCATTGTGGTTTTGATTTGCATTTCTCTGATGGCCAGTAATGGTGAGCATTTTTTCATGTGTCTGTTGGCTGCATAAATGTCTTCTTTTGAGAAGTGTCTGTTCATATCCTTTGCCCACTTTTTGATGGGGTTGTTTGATTTTTTCTTGTAAATTTGTTTGAGTTCTTTGTAGATTCTGGATATTAGCCCTTTGTCACATGGATAGATTGCAAAAATTTCCTCTCATTCTGTAGGTTGCCTGTTCACTCTGATGGTAGTTTCTTTTGCAGAAGCTCTTTAGTTTAATTAGATCTCATTTGTCAATTTTGGCTTTTGTTGCCATTGCTTTTGGTGTTTTAGACATGAAGTCCTTGCCCATGCCCATGTCCTGAATGGTATTGCCTAGGTTTTCTTCTAGGGTTTTATGCTTTCAGGTCTGCCATTTAAGTCTTTAATCCAGCTTGAATTAATTTTTGTATAAGGTGTAAGGAAGGGATCCAGTTTCAGCTTTCTACATATGGTTAGCCAGTTTTCCCAGCACCATTTATTAAATAGGGAATCCTTTCTCCATTTCTTGTTTTTGTCAGGTTTGTCAAAGATCAGATGGTTGTAGATGCATGGTATTATTTCTAAGGGCTCTGTTCTGTTCCATTGGTCTATATCTCTGTTTTGGTACCAGTACCATGCTGTTTTGGTTACTGTAGCCTTGTAGTATAGTTTGAAATCAGGTAGCATGATGCCTCCAGCTTTGTTCTTTTGGCTTAGGATTGTCTTGGCGATGCAGGCTCTTTTTTGGTTCCATATGAACTTTAGTTTTTTCCGATTCTGTGAAGAAAGTCTTTGGTAGCTTGATGGGGATGGCATTGAATGTATAAATTACCTTGGGCAGTATGGCCATTTTCACGATATTGATTCTTCCTACCCATGAGCATGGAATGTTCTTCCATTTGTTTGTATCCTCTTTTATTTCATTGAGCAGTGGTCTGTAGTTCTCCTTGAAGAGGTCCTTCACATCCCTTGTAAGTTGGATTCCTAGGTATTTTATTCTCTTTGAAGCAATTGTGAATGGGAGTTCACTCATGATTTGGTTCTCTGTTTGTCTGTTATTGGTGTATAGGAATGCTTGTGATTTTTGCCCATTGATTTTATATCCTGAGACTTTGCTGAAGTTGCTTATCAGCTTAAGGAGATTTTGGGCTGAGACAATGGGGTTTTCTAAATATACAGTCATGTCATCTGCAAACAGGGACAATTTGACTTCCTCTTTTCCTAATTGAATACCCTTTATTTCCTTCTCCTGCCCTGGCCAGAACTTCCAACACTATGTTGAATATGAGTGGTGAGAGAGGGCATCCTTGTCTTGTGCCAGTTTTCAAAGGGAATGCAGCAGCCTGTTTCTTTTACATTTTTCTTCACCTTTCATTTTCAGTTCATTTCTGTTTCTTTTTCTTTCCCACTACCTTGGAATATGCACAGAGCTGCCTTGTCTTGGGGAGTCCTCAGCTTGAGCCTGCTTTCCCTATTAGTCACCACACTACAGTCACCCAGATGAACTAGACAACCTTAAATGTCTTCGGAGGTATCAGATGATTTTTCACCTTAGAGACAGAGTCTCACTCCGTAGCCCAGGCTGGAGTGCAGTGGCGCAATCATGGCTCACTGTAGCCTCAACCTCCTGGGCTTGAGCAGTCCTCCCACTTCAGCCTCCCAAGTAGCTTGGACTACAGGCGTGTGCCACCACACCTGGGGACTTTTTAAATTTTTTGTAGAGACAGGGTCTTACTGTGTTGCCTAGGCTGGTCTTGAACTAATGAGCTCAAGCAAACTTGCCACCTCCACCTCCCAAAGTGCTGGGATTACAGGCATGAGCTACTTCTCCTGTCAATTTTAATTCTTCATTGGATTTATTATATTTGATATAAATTACTGTAAGTATTTGAGTGCGTGTCTTCTAATAAACACTATGTTGGTTGTGGTAAAGTTAGAATAGTATGAGAGGGGTCACTTCTCTGAAGGATCCAATTGTAGACAATTAGCAAATTATCAGACAGTTAACAAGCAACAAATACCAAACAACAGATGGCTTAGTGTCAGAGTGAGTGGCAGAGACAGTAGGTATCACAGGAAGGGCAAAATAGAGGTCATTTTAGACTGGAACAATATCTGACAGTGTTGTGAGAGTGATTTGAGTGAGGAATGTGCTCTTAAAGGAATTACAGAAATTGGTTTTAATAAAATCTACATTATTGGAAACAAAAGTTTACCAATTAAATTGTATTTTGGGAAACACATGGGGGAACCTTTTTTTTTTTTTTTTGAGACAAAGTCTTGCTCTGTTGCCTAGGTTGGAGTGTGGTGGTGCAATCTTGGCTCACTGCAGCCTTGACCTCCCAGCTCAACCAATTCTTCCCGCCTCGGCCTCCTGAGCACCTGGGACTACAGGCATGTGCCACCACGCATGGCTAATTTTTCATTTTTTATAGAGATGAGGTCTCCCTGTGTTGCCCAGGCTGTTTTCAAATTCCTGGGCTCAAGCAGTTCTCTTCCCTCGGCCTCCCAAAGTTCTGGGATTTGGTGGCATAAGCCACCAAACCTGGCCTCTTTTTTTTTTTTAATTGAATTTTTGATGTTGAGGACAGACTTGTAGAATTTAAACAAATTATAAACTTAAGTTGCAATAAATTGACACATTTGTCTTGATAGTCTCAAGTAGAATGCATGAGATAGTTCCTTGTGTTGCCTTGAGTGATACATACTGTTTTTTTTATTTTAATGTTGGAATAAAAATCTCAGTATGTTTTGAAGCCTAGTATGATCTAATCTAAGGTCATTGTGCTTTATGTACCAAAAACATTGGCTTTGATTACATTTTTAAAGAAAAGTATCACATGGCCTCAATAAAGACAATTAGGTTAGCCTTGTTTTTAGAGAGGATTATTAGAGTGTGGGTCAGGAGAACATATAAGGTACAGTATAACTGGATTTCAGCTGGAGATTTTGCAACGTTTCTCTCTGACAAGGGGGATAATGTCAGCTGAATAATGTTGGCTGGATGACCATACAATTAGGTAGAAATGTGATTGGTTGAGGCATACCTCAAAAGTTAATGAGTAATGAATTGGTGACAACTGGAGAGAAATTTCTAGTGGCATGTGGAAATTCACTGTCTATTTTTTGTAATGATGTGAATGAAAATGTTGAGGCTATGTGTATCAAATTTCTGGAAGAAATGAATTTTCTAGGGTTAACTTAATGGAAATAGTATTTCTGAGTGAAATAGTGGGCCATGGCTAATGGGATAACTTAGTGTGGAGCTGGATGTGAAGTTTCATACATGGGTTAAAAAACCAACTGCACAGTTACAAGGGTGAGGGAGATGTGACTGAATATAAACAACGTCAATATTTTAATTAATAAACTCAATTTGGATATAACATGTGACTACCAGATGGCTTCACAGAATCATAGTCTAGACTAATAGAAGGAGGAGGTTGAGAAGAGGGAGAGTGCTAGTCTTACATTATTCTGCAATGTACACAGTTCTGTACACAATGCTACACCCAGGGTATTGTGTTCAGTTCCAGTTGTCACAATTGAAAACGATTCAGGGCCGGGTGCAGTGGCTCACGCCTGTAATCCCAGCACTTTTGGAGGCCAAGGCGGGTGGATCACCTGAGGTCAGGAGTTTGAGACCAGCCTGGCCAACATGGTGAAACCCCATCTCTACTAAAAATGCAAAAATTAGCAAGGCATGGTGGCTCATGTCTGTAGTCCCAGCGACTTGGAAGGCTGAGGCGGAGGCTGCAGTGCGCCAAGATCATGCCACTGCACTCCAGCCTGGGCAACAGAGTGAGACTCTCATTTAAAAAAAAAAAAAAAAACCCCAAAAAAACCCCAGAAAATCACAAGTGTGAATGAAGATATGGAGAAATTGGAACCTTACACATTGCTTGTGGGAATGGAGAGTGGTGCACATGCTGTGGAAGACAGTTGGGTGGCTTCTCAGTTGAATGTGAAATTGTCATATGACTCAAATATTCTACCCTAGGTATATACTCCCAGATAACTGAAAACAGGTATTCAAACAAACACTTGTATATGAATGTTTATAGCAACCCTTATTTACGTTAGCTAAAATGTAGAAACAACCCAAATGTCCATCAGCTGATGAATGAATAACCGAAATATGGTATGTCCATGCAATGGAGTATTATTCAGCCATAAAAATGAAGTACTAACTATTATAAAGTGCATGAACCTTTAAAAAAAAATCACATATTGTATGATGCCATTGATATGAAGTATCCACAACAGGTAAATCCATAGAGACACAAATTTGTGGTGTGGTTACCAGCAACAAGGAAGAATGGTGACTGCTTAGTATGTGTATGGGGTTTCCTTTTGGGGTGATGAAAATGTTTTGGAAAGAGATAGAGGTGTTGGTTGTAAAATATAATGCATGTACTTAATGCCACTCAATTGCACACTTTAAGATGGTTAGTGGATTTTACCTTAGTTTTTAAAAAGTGTCAATACATATAGATTAATTAAATAGTATTGAGAGTTTACAAATAAGTCTTTACATTTATGGTCCCTTGAATTTTTTTTAACTAAACATTTTTTTTGGGCAAGGGCACCAAGACAATTCAGTGGGGGAAATGCGGGATCTGTTCAACAAACGATACTGAGACATCTGGATTTCCACATGCAAAAGAATGAATTTGGGTTATTTTCTCATACCATACATAAAAATGAACAAAATGGATCATAGACCTAAATGAGAAAGTTAAAATTATAAAGTTCTTAAAAAATATGAGCAAATCTTGGTTGACTTTGGGTTAGGCAAAACTTTCTTAAATAAGACACCAAAAGCACAGACAACAGAAGATTAAATATTAGACATAAATTGGATTTCATCAGAATTAAAAACTTTTGTGCTTCAAAGGGAGACTATCAAGAAAGTGAAAATGGGAGAAAATATTTGCAAATCATATCTAATAAGGGACTTGTACCGAGAAAACTCTTACAACTCAGTAATAAAAAGATAAAGAGCCCAATTAAAATGATGATTAAATTGGTGAATTTTATGGTATATGAATTATATTGCAATAACAACAGTTAAAAAATGAGTCACCTAGAATATGTTCAGAGGAGATTCCTAGTCTTGTGAAGGGACTCAAATTGAAATCCTTCTTTTCTCCACCTTCCCCCCTAACTTCTCTCAGTTGTACCTTTTATACTGACAAGCTTGTAAACATGACTTCTGTAACTTTGAAGTCACTGGTGCTTTATTTTTATATTGAGCCTAAATTTTTTATGTAAATACTCATTGTAGAGCTGAGTAGTAAGTTTTAGGCACATCCTTCTCTACTTGTTTAATGTCATGATCCTGTGCCAATAGAAAGAAGATCTCTTATTAGCAAGGTCAGTGGATTTTCTTTCCCTGCAATCCATCAGTTGTTAAAAATCATGTCATGTTTTTTTCCACACTTGAATTATGACGTTCTTGAATAATTCCTCCTCCCCTTCTGCCCTGCTCACTCCCCCCGACCCCTCAACCACCTAATCATTTCAGTTGTTTTTGGCTGCAATTAACGGACTCCAACGATAGGCGCCACCTGATTTCCCTGGCCTTCTCTTACTGCTAGTAGCTGCTGCAGCTCCCAGCATCTGTTTCTCACATTGTGCTAAAAGGCAGGAAGAAGGGAATAGAAGGTGGGGGCTGCTGCTTCTGGATCTTCCCCTTTTGTAAACATACTTTTGAAAAACTTTAAAACTTACAGAAAAGTTGTGACAATAGTAATGTGAACTCTTGTCTAGCTTTCACCTATATTCATCAGTTATAAACATTTTATCATGTTGCTTTTTTCTTTATCTTTGCCTATATAACTGGATGTATATCTAGAGTTTTTATCTTGGTGAATCTTTTGAGAGACTTACAGATATCATGACTCTTTACCTTAAATACTTCAGCACATATCACCAGAGAAAAAGGACTTTATCAATGTGATCATTCATGGAACGATGATTAAATTCAGGAAATGTAACATTCATTGTTAATTGTTGAAGCAAATGCCAAGGCAGAATTACAATTGCACAAAAGTAAAAGGAGGAAGCAGGGTTGGACAGATGAGACTATCAGATTGTGATTATACTTTGTCTGCCAGCTCCAGGGGCAGATCCGGAGTCAAGATGGTTCATTAGAGGAGCTTCTCATTGGGCAGAAATTGGTCTATACCACTACCTTTCTTAGTTATAAGATAGCTGGAGGCTGTCCAAAGAATGTGCAAGTCTTTTGAAAACTAATGCCAACATAAATAAAGCTAACAGCTAGAGCTCTCAGTTTACCCATCCTTCTCACACCTGCCAGTGAGTCTTTTGGATGTGAGTGGTGCACCTCCACATCCACTACGATATAATACTATTGTCCAGTATATAGTCCATATTCACATTCACTATTTGCCCAATAACGTTCTTTATGGCAAATCCCCCACACCCCGCATCAGATCTCTCATCTTATCATTGAGGAAAGTCTTTCAAGAAGCTTCCCAGATGACTTTCCTGTATGTTTCGTTGGTTTAAACCAATCACTGGCAAAGGAGAATGGGATTTTCAGGATTACTTCAGACCTGTGGGATTCATCCCATGGGTCTGGGGGAGGGGCTCCTAATCAGGTGCTTAGGAAATCAGGTGACCAAAAAAAAAAAAAAATTGAATCTCTTTAGCAAGGCATAAGGGAGGAAGGCTGTGGATATACAACCAGCAATATTCTGCTGCAGTTTTCTGTTGTATGTCTTTTATTTTTAATTGAAATATGCATTCCTGTCATTAAGGCAGCTTCTTAATTATTCTGTCTTTTGAACATAATCCATTCCTTTTTTCCTTTCATGGAACTCACTAGTTTTCTGTGTTAATGGGATGAATTATTGTCTATTCCTGCTGCACAGCTGCCATTCTGGGACTTCTTTTTCATTTTACTCTTGGATTATTTCCACTGTTTCTTTTGTATCTCTTGTCAGACTTCATTGGTTTCCATCCTTGTTTTGCTAAAGGACTCCCCGAAATGATGTCCTGGACATGCCTTTATTCTGCCTTCTCACTTGTTTAATCATTTGGGATATATAAGTTTAAGCCAAATTATTTTACTTTGGAAATTTTTCAGACAGTGCTCTCTGTCTTCTACAGTTGAGAGTTTCTGATTTTAGTCAGATTCTTAATTCATGTTTTATTCCTCTCAAATTATTTTAAATCTTCATCATTGTGAAATTTCATAGAAATTGTCTAGATTTTTTTTTCATAGAATAGAGGGGAGGTCATTTCCTCTCATTCATTTTTAAGCTGATTCCCTATCTTATTTTGTACCTGTACTTTATTACTGATCTTCTTTTATTTGGGATGATTTTAGTATCTGTGTGGATTGTCCATCTAATACCCTTGGCCTTTCTAACAGATATTGTGCCTATTAGTAATTCTTCTCTTTCTTTTGCTAATTTTATCTAGGCATTTAGTGCTTGTATGTTTCACGTGCCCCTCAGTCCCAAGGGGCAACTGTAAGTGTTGCTCAGCCTGAAGTCAGTTCCATTCCCCTTGCCAATGATTGGTTCAGGTATAGTGATACACAAGGGAAGTCTGCTGGGAGTCTGGTTTCCTTGAATTTATAAGGTATACTCCTTTTGGATATAGTAATGTAAGCTCATGATAATTGGAGCTGCTGTAGCCATCTTGGGTCATAGGGGGAAAAGTGAAATGAAGAATGACTCTCAACTCAAGATTAACTTGTCAAATTGAACTCTTGATCCCCAGCTCCCTCTCCATAATTTTTTGTTTCATCTTTCTAGTTGCTTGGGCCAAAAATCTTGCAATTATCCGTAACTCTTCTCTTTCTCTCACATCCCACATTCAGTTCGTTAGAAGATCCTATAGGCTCCTTCTTTTAATTATATTTACAGTCTTACCACTTTTATTATTTGCACTGCTAGCATCCTCTTCCAAGCTGCTACCATTGCTTGCCTGGGGTACTGCAATAGAACAGTGCCTACCCAGAGACTTTTATTTTTCTTTTATTTCTTTTTTTATTTTTATTTTTTTTGAGATGGGATCTGACTTTGTCACCCAGGCTGGAGTGCAGTGGTGTAATCTCAACTCACTGCAGCCTCAACCTCCCAGGCTCAAGCAATGCTCCTGCCTCAGCCTCCCAAGTAGGTGGGACTATAGGTACATGCCACCACGCCTGGCAGATTTTTGTATTTTTTGTAGAAATGGGGTTTCCCCATGTTGCCCAGGCTGATCTCGAACTCCTGGACTCAAGCGATTTGTTCGCCTCGGCCTCCCAGAGTGCTAGTATTATACGCGTGAGCCACTAAGCCCAGCCTCTTCCTTTTTTTTCTTTTTCTTTCTTTTTTTTTTTTTTTTTTAATAGATGGAGTCTTGTTCTATCAACCAGGCTGGAGTGCAGTGGTATGATCACAGCTTACTGTAGCCTTGAACTATTGGGATGAAGTGATTCTCCTGCCTCAGCCTCCTGAGTAGCTGGGATTATAGGTTCATACTACCATGCCTGGCTAATTTTAAAAATTTTTTATAAAGACAGGGCATCACTATTTTGCCTGGGCTGCTCTTGAACTTCTGGCCTCAAGTGGTCCTCCTGCTTTGACCTCCCAAAGTACTGGGGTTACAGGTATGAACCACTGTGCCTGGCCCAGGGAGGTTTCTTAGGGCTCAACTAGACAGACCTTTGGATTGCCACAGACCACATTTGACATCAGATTCACTTGGGAGGATATGGGACAGGAAACACGGCTTGCCATCAGGGAAGCTCCAGGTCTTCTCTTTGGTGGGGGTACTTGTAGCAGTCCACAAAGAGAACAGCCAGAACATTCTCTATGCCACTGCCTGCTTCTGGGTGAATCCCAGGTGTGAGTAATGAGGCTCACATGAGTGGGTATATCACTAACATGGCTTAGGAGCCCCATCCTCCGCAAGTCATTATTTTGCTTGACAACCATGAGCTTCCAGGATCCCGACAAGGCACATGGCAAATTACAGGAGTCCTCACACTAAGAGAAGCCCTAAGCTATGGCCAGCACAGGTATTTATAGTTCCTCCCAGTCCTTTCGCAGTTTACCAGTGGGTCATTTTTACCATAAGCAGTGTTGCCTAGTAACATAGCTGACATTCTGCCTGTATGGTTTCCACGGGAACAGAGCTGATAGCTGGGTTAAACTGAATCCAAGCCCAATTTCTCATGCTGAAAGACAAGAGTTTTGCTAACACTTAAGTCACAAATATAGCCAGAGGTTTCCCTGCTTCTGTGCTTCTCTGTTAGTTTCAGTAGCCGGAGTGATTCTTTCAAATGTATGGTGGATCACATTACCTGCTCTCCGCCCTGCAGTGGGTTCCCTCCTTACCTCGGAGTGCAGTTGTCTACAGGCCTTACCTGAGCTGGCCCCTCTCGGCCTTTCTGACCTTTTCCCCTACCGTTTCCTTGCTCATCTGTTATGATGTTGCTTATCGCCTTGCTGTTGCTGTAATATGCCAGATATGTTTCCACTTCGGGCCTTCCTTGACCCTTCCTGTGGCTAGAATGTTCTTACTCCTGATGTCCACCTGGATGACTCTCTTGCTTCCAATCTGTGTTGAAATGTCAAGTTTTTTGACAACTTGTATTCTGACTACTTAAAAATTGCAACCCCTACGCCATCTCCCACACTTGGCCACTGCATGATTCTTACCTACTTTTTCTTCTGATAGCTTCGCAATCTACTTACTATAATATCTTGTTTATTGTCTCCTGCTGTTAGCAGTTGGGCTTCATGAGGGCAGGATTTTGCATCTGTTTTGTTCATTGATACATCTCAACTGCCCAGGACAGTGCCTGACACACAGTTGATGCTTGGTTTTTATTTTTTTTCTTTTTATGTGGCTTAAACAAGATAAGTATCTACTTCCCATCTGTAGCTGGGGAAAGGTGGAGGGATAACTGATGTAGTTAACATGTGTCTTCCGTGTCTGGGCAGTTGTTGTGTTCAGTCAGGAGGAAGGAGGAAAAAGGAGGAAAGAGATCCCGGCCAGGAGGGCACATGTGCTCCTTCCCAGATGCCAACCTGCACTTTTTATCTTTGCTTGGCCAAAACATTGTCATATTGCCATAAACAATTATAAGGAAAGCTGGGAAACGTAATGTTCAGGTGGCTAGCTATATCTATAGCTATAACTTCGGAGTTCTATTTTTACAGGAGTGGCGAATGGATGTCAGAGTCCAATTTGATGCATATATATAATTTTTATTTAAGTATTTTTTTTTTGAAACGGAGTCTCGCTCTGTTGCCCAGGCTGGAGTACAGTGATGTGGTCTCAGCTCACTGCAGCCTCTGCCTCCCAGGTTCAAATGATCCCCCTGCCTCAGCCTCCCAAGTAGCTGGGACTACAGGCACACACCACCACACCCAGCTAATTTTTCTATTTTTGGTGGAGACAGGGTTTCCCCATGTTGGCCAGGCTGGTCTCAAGCTCCTGACCTTAAGTGATCTGCCCTCTTCAGCCTCCCAGAGTGCTGGCATTACAGGCGTGAGCCACCACGCCTGGCCTGATGCTTAATATTTTTAAATAAGCCCATCCTCACACAGGGCTCGCAACATTCTTAATCTTCATGAAACCCTCTTAAAATAGCACTTTTATTATCCCTTTTTTATAAGCATGGAATTTATGAGTAAATTTTCATGGGAAGACTGGTTTAAGTTGAGATTGTGGCCATTTCTTTGATATAGCAATACATATGCTATTTTTTATTTCCCAACAATTTCACCGTTTTGTTTTAATGGCAACCAAAGCTGAAAACATGATTTGGAAAGATATGTGGGAACAACTGGAATTGGAGCCAGATGAGGTAGAACTCTACCTTGTCAAAAAAACTGTCTTGTCAAAAATCTATCAGGATTCTTCACAACTTTTATGAATTGAATTCATCCTGTTTTATTTTATTTTTCCTCAAGTTAATGAGATGATCTTTGGTAAAGTCCATATTGCTGATGTATCAAGAAATAGATTATGAATTCATATATTGATTGTTTTTAATCTGAATAAAATATAAATTTGAATAAAATAATTGTAAAAGTAATATTCTATCATGCCTGCTTTCTTCACATCTGGCATCCTGTTTACACCAGTACCAGTTTTTGTTTTAGGTGAGAAAAATATTTCCAGACAATCCTCACTCTTGAGGATTTTTTCCATTTCTTGGGAAATAACCTTTGTTGATTTTTTCCCCTTATCACTCACTTTAAAATTATCTCCAACAAGTACTGTCTTGTTTATTAAGTCCTCAGCATATGAATTACAAATGCAAGAATGTTGTTACTTCTCTTCCTGGAATCTTTTTTTGGGGGGGGATAGGGGAAATATATTTGTTTGAGGGAACCTCCCTCTCTCATTGACTAATCTTCTCTCCCCAATCTCCCAGCCCATTGTAGGATCAGGGAAGGGTTTTGCTCTTTTTCCAGGAATTGGCCTGTCCTCAGTATCAATATTGCTTTGTGAAAAACTACCCTAAAACAGTCGTTTTTAAAAGACACAATCATTTATTTTGCTCACAAATGTGAGAGTTGCCTAGGCTCCACCAGGCATTTCTCACGTGGGTTGTCTTGCAAAGCTACAGTCAGACTATGGCTTGGGCTGGGGTCTTCATTCACATGTCTAGCACCTGGCCTGGGAAGAGTCAAACAGCTGGGACTTTTCTAAGTGTCTCTTGATGTGGTCTCTCTACATGGTGTGTGGCCTCAGAGTAGGTAGAATCACAGCAGTCATAGGTACGTGCATAGCAGTAGCTGTGTGGCGTTTTCTGACCTGCCTTAGAAGCTGGCACCACTTCTGCCACATTCTGTTTGTGGAGGCAGTCACAGACTGCTCAGGGTCAGAGGACATGGATCCAACTTTTGGTAGAAAGAGTGTCGAAGAATTTGCAGACCTGTTTTTTGTTTGTTTGTTTTCTTTTTCTTTTTTTTTTTTTTAAAACGGAGTCTTGCTCTGTCGCCCGGGCTGGAGTGCAGTGGTGTGATCTCGGCTCACTGCAAGCTCCGCCTCCCGGGTTCACGCCATTCTTCTGCCTCAGCCTCCTGAGTAGCTGGGAATACAGGCACCCGCCACCATGCCCGGCTAATTTTTTGTATTTTTAGTTAGCCAGGATGGTCTCGATCTCCTGACCTCGTGATCCGCCCACCTTAGCCTCCCAAAGTGCTGGGATTACAGATGTGAGCCACCGTGCCCAGCTGCAGACCTGTTTTAAAACACTGCATGACTCTTCAACTGCTACCTGTCAATAGACCAGTTAGTAGTAGAGAAATCCAGATCCTTAGAGAAGAGGGCTGTGCCGACTCCTAACCACAGTGACCCATCCTGTGGGAAATGCAAATGTATGTGCCTTTGCTGTTCACGCACGGAGGTGCTTGATTGATTTGAAACATTCCTCAGTGATTTTTAATGAACTTATATCTTACCAGTAGTTCCAAATTTTCTTTTTGACATTGTACTTAATTCAGGACTCAAATTCAGGACTCATGGAAATCAGTTAACCACCATATATATTTTTTTTATTTACTCTAAGATACTGAGTACCTACATTGCACTAGACATCTTTAAATCAATCATCTTCTAAATGTCTCAATCTGTTTTCCTTCCTTTTCAATTTCATAGTCACTGTCCTATGACAGGCCTTTATAATTTCTCACCTAGATAATTATTGTCCTCTCTTAAGTCTTTCTTCCTTTAGTATCTGCCACTGTATATATCTTTCTTTTATTATTATTATTATTTAAGTTCTAGGGTACATGTGCACAACGTGCAGGTTTGTTACATATGTATACATGTGCCATGTTGGTGTGCTGCACCCATTAACTCGTCATTTACATTAGGTATATCTCCTAATGCTATCCTTCCCCACTCCCCCCACCCCACAACAGGCCCCGGTGTGTGATGTTCCCCACCCTGTGTCCAAGTGTTCTCATTGTTCAGTTCCCACCTATGAGTGAGAACATGCAGTGTTTGGTTTTTTGTCCTTGCGATAAGTTTGCTGAGAATGATGGTTTCCAGTTCATCCATGTCCCTACAAAGGACATGAACTCATCCTTTTTTATGGCTGCATAGTATTCCACGGTGTATATGTGCCACATTTTCTTAATCCAGTCTATCATTGATGGACATTTGGGTTGGTTCCACGTCTTTGCTATTGTGAATAGTGCTGCAATAAACATACGTGTGCATGTGTCTTTATAGCAGCATGATTTATAATCCTTTGGGTATATACCCAGTAATGGGATTGCTGGGTCAAATGGTATTTCTAGTTCTAGATCCTTGAGGAGTCGCCACACTGTCTTCCACAATAGTTGAGCTAGTTTACAGTCCCACCAACAGCCACTGTATATATCTTTCTAAAACTCAATTCTGATGATTTTGCTCCCCTGATTAAAAGCCCTCTTGGACTATCTATCCAAATTCCAGCCTAGCTTTTTGACCTTATTTCTTGCCAATCCCTATAAATGCACAATTTATTCTAGCTATACTGAATTTCTCAATGTAATCATAATTTACTGGGACATCTATTATCCTTTGCCGCCTTCTTTGTACACAGAAGCACTATTCATATTGTATTCTTTTTTTTAAAGTCTGTTTTTCATATTGAGTGCCTATCACTTAAGTTCACACTATATTATGGGTGGGAGATATTGAGGATTTCATAATAAACATTGTAATCTTTGCAAATAGCGCAAATATGGTAAATACAATAGAAACTTTTTGTGGTTTGAAATGATTCCTGTGATTTGACTAAGTATGGGAAGGATTTTTAAAACAGTTAAAGTTATCCCAAATGAAAGATTTTAGTTCTGTAGTTTGGTTTCACATGTCACTGTTAACTGAGACATTTCTCCTTAATGCAGTTTTTAGTTGATCTCTCAGATGTCACAGGATTTATTTAACTGCTTTGCTGCCTTTGATTTAAGAAAAAGAAAAAAAATCAGGCATATGCAACTATTTGTTGGTTTTCTCTGATTCCATTCTCTAACATTTCTTTGGGGTTCCCTGTGTAACTCAGTGACTTTGAAAGAGTAAATATTAATTTATGAAGTAGTTAACATTTTTTTCCTTGTCATTTATAATGCCTGTTAGTTTCACAGGCTGACTGGCTTTCTTTCCTTCTTTTCTTCCTCTCTCCTTCCCCTCCTTCAACAATATATAATAGCTTTATTAAGCTGTAATTCATATACCATAAAATTCACCTTTGCAAAGTATACAATCCAGTGGATTTTAGTATTTTTACAGAGTTGTGTAACTATCACCAATGTCTAATTTTAGACCATTTATATCACCCCCAAAAAGAAATTTCTTACCCATTAGCAATCACCCCCCTCCCCTACTAATTCGTACTATTTCTATATATTTGGTCACAGGCTTTCTTAACATTCTTAGTAAATACATTTACTGACCTATTAATTACAGAAATTCATCTAGATGCTCACATAGGTTGTGTTAGGGTTCTGCAGAGAAACAGAACCAAAAATGTGTATGTGTGCAGTGCACACACATGTACACATGTATATGGGGGTGGTGGGAAGACAGGGAAAGGGAGAGTTGTTAAATTGTTAAATTTTTAAAAATTGGCCCAAGTGATAGTGGAGGCTTGACAAGTCAAAAATCTGCGGGGTAGGCTGGAGACCCAGGGAAGAGTTGTAATTCAGTCAGCTAGCAGAATTCCCCCTTCTGAAAAGGTCAGTCTTTCTCCATCAGGGCCTTCAACTGATTGGATGAAACCCACCCTTTTGGAGAGTAATCTGCTTTACTCAGAGTCTACTGATTTAAGTGTTAATCTCATATAAAAAATATCTGGACAGAAACATCTAGAATAATGTTTGACCAAACATGTGGGTACCATGGACTAGCCAAGTTGACACATAAAATTAATCACACAAGTATTCACTGAGATGTTTAAAGGTAGAAAAGTAGAAAGAGCATTGAATTAGGGAACAGGAGAATTACTTTCTGGTCTTGGTATTACCAGTGAGAGCTTTATCCATGGGCAAACATTTCTGGGCTGTAAGTTTCCCTATCTGTTAAACAAGAGGTTCAACTTGATCAGGTTTCCTTTCTTGAATTATTATATGGAAGCTTGATATTTAAACAAAAAAGCTTGAAAAAACAAGCTAAGTCATCTCTAAGCCTCTTTGAACTTATTGAACCCCTGTAATTGTTATAGTTCTGATTCTGGATTTGTGATTTTTAGGTGTGACGTGGTTTTCTAGGAAAAGTAACACCTAGATAAGAATTTAGTGAAAGGCTTGTAAATTCAGTGTTCTTTCTACTTTTCTGCCTTTGATTACATAATAGATTAGCATTGCCCTAATTCAATTCTCTTTCTACTTTTCTACCTTTAAACATCTCAGATTGTCTGAGTGTGGTGGCTCACACCTGTAATCCCAGCACTTTGGGAGGCTGAGTCAGATGGATCACTTGAGGTCAGGAGTTCAAGACCAGCCTGATCGACGTGATGAAACTCTGTCTCTAGTAAAAAAAAAAAAAAAAAAAAAAAAATTATCCAGGCGTGGTGGCGCACACCTGTAATCCCAGCTACTTGGGAGGTTGAGGCAGGAGAATCACTTGACCCCAGGAAGTGGAGGTTGCAGTGAGCCAAGATTGTACCATTGCACTCCAGCCAAACTCTGTCTCAAAAAACAAAAAACAAAAAAACAACAAAAAATCTCAGATTACCCTCCAAAAGGGTGGGACAAGTAAAATCACTCTTGGCAAATTGAAATTTCTGTAAACAATTGGTATTATGTGTAGTTTTAATGATTGGAGTTTTTTGGGGGCTAGTGATGGTACCTGAGAGCACTTTATTTTGTTCAGGCATGAATAATGCCTGAATTGGATTGTGCTAGTGCATGACTAATACTAAGAATGAATAGCAGTCCTGAGTTGGTCTGTTACAGTAGGGAATAACTGACAATATCAATCTATTTTAAATACCATAAAGATGATATTCAGAGCTGTGAGACTGGATAAGTTGGAGTATAGATAGAAAAGAGGTCCAGAGACTGAGTCCTGTGGCATCCAACATGATGAAGTTGGGAGAGTAAGAACTAGGAATGAAGATTGAGAAGGACTGGCCAGTGGAGGAAAACTTACACAATGTGATGTCCTGGAAGCCAAATGAGGGAACAGTTTCAAGGTCAACAGCATTTTATGTGCTAATTGGTTAAGTAAAATGAAGACTCCAAATTGTGTTAAGTAAAACTTCATGCTACTAAAAATTAACGTCAGACTTTAAAAGGTGCACAACATATAAAGTAAAAAAAATTCTTTCTCATTGAAAAAAGACAACTTTTCAGAGTAGTTTCAGGTTCACAGCAAAATTGAGAGGAGGGTACAGAGACTTCCTGTTTCCTTCCTGCTCCCACACATGCATAGCCTCCATTGTCAACATACCCCTCCAGGGGGGTACATTTGCTACAATTAATGAAGCTATATTGATACATCATTGTTACCCAGAGTCCATAGTTTACATTAGGGCTCACTCTTTGGTGTTGTACACTCCATGGGTTTGGACAAACTTCTAATGACATGTATCCACTATTATAGTATACAAAGTAGCTTCATTGCCTTAAAAATTCCCTGTGCTCCACCTGTTTATCCCTCATCCCTCCTGCAACTACTGATGTTTTAATTCTCTCTATAGTTTTACCATTTCTGGAATGTCATAGAGTTGAAATCAGCCAGTCAGTTTTCAGGCTGGCTTCTTTCACTTAGTAATATGCACTTAAGTTTCCTCCATGTCTTTATTATTACTATTATTATTATTATTATTATTTTGAGAGAGGGTCTTGCTCTGTCGCCTGGGATGGAGTATAGTGGCGCCATTTCGGTTCACTGCAACCTCCACCTCCTAGGCTCAGGTGATCCTCCTGCTTCCAGGTAGCTGGGACTACAGTCATGTCCAACCATGCCTGGCTAATTTTTCTTTTTTTTCAGACAGAATCCCTCTCTGCTGCCCAGGCTGGAGTGCAGTGGTGCAATCTCTGCTGACTGCAACCTCCACGTCACGGGTTGAAGCAGTTCTCCTGCCTCAGCCTCCTGAGTAGCTGGGACTACAGGCGTGTACCACCAAGCCTGGCTAATTTTTTGTATTTTTAGTAGAGATGGGGTTTCACTGTATTAGCTAGGATGGTCTCGATCTGATTTCGTGATCCGCCTGCCTCGGCCTCCCAAAGTGGTGAGATTACAGTCATGAGCCACAGTGCCTGGTCATTTTTCTATTTTTTTAATAAAGATGAGTCTTCGCCATGTTGCACAGGCTGGTCTCAAACTCCTGGGTTCAAGTAATCTACCTGCCTCAGCCTCCTAAAGTGCTGGGATCACAGGCGTGAGCCACCACACCCGGCCTCCATGGCTTTTTATGGCTTGATGGCATATTTCCTTTTAGTGTTAAATAATATTCCATAGTCTGGATGTAGCACAGCTTGCTTTTTTTTTTTTCATCAAATCTATTCACCGACAGAACAATGTCTTGTTTGCTTCCAAATTTTGGCAGTTATGAATAATGCTGCTATAAGTATCCATATGTAGGCTTTTGTGTAGAAATATGTTTTCATCTCCTTTGAGTAAATAACAACGAATAAGTGCTGGATGTGTTTGATAAGAATGTTTGGTTTTGTAAAAAACCACCAAGCTGTCTTTCAAAGTGGCTGTTTCATTTTGCATTCCCACTAGTTTTTCTTGCCTCACATCCTCACCAGCATTTGGTTTGTCATTGCTCTGGATTTTATCCATTCTGCTAAGTGGGTAGTGGTATTTCATTGTGGTTTTAATTTGCATTTCCCTGATAGTGTCTGATATGGAGCATCTCTTTGCATGTGTGTTTGCCATCTGTATATCTTTGGTGATGTGTCTGGCCCTTTAAAAAAATCAGGTTGTGGCCGGGCATGGTGGCTCACCCCTCTAATCCCAGCACTTTGGGAGGCTGAGACAGGCAGATCACCTGAGGTCAGGAGTTCGAGACCAGCCTGGCTAACATGGTGAAACCCTGTCTCTACTGAAAATACAAAAATTAGTCAGGCATGGTGGTGCGCACCTGTAGTCCCAACTACTCAGGAGGCTGAGGCAGGAGAATCACTTAAACCTGGGAGGTGGAAGTTGCGGTGAGCAGAAATCGCGTCACTGCATTCCAGCCTGGGTGACAGAGCGAGACTCTGTCTCAAAAAAAAAAAAAAAAAAAAAAATCAGATTGTTTTCTTATTGTTGAATTTTAAGAGTTCTTTATGTATTTTGGATGCTACTTTATCAGATGTAGGTTTTGCAAATATTTTCTCCCAGTCTGTGACTTTTCTTTTCAGTCTCTTGACAGTGCCTTTCACAGAGCAGAAAATTTTAATTTTAATGCAGTCCAGCTATCTTAATCTGTTTTTTATTGCTTCTAACAAATTACCTGAAACTAGGTAATTTATAAAGAAAAGGAATTTGTTTCTCAGTTGTAGAGGCTGAGAAGTCCAAGGTTGAGGGACTGCATCTTATGAGGGCCTTCTTGCTAGTGAGGACTCTCTAAAGTGTCCCAAGGTGGTGCAGGGTTTCACATGGCTGCGTGTTCTAGCTCAGGTCTCTTACTTACAAAACCACCAGTTCTGTTCCCATGATAACCCATTAATCCATTAACTCATGAATACATTATCTATTAATCCAAGAATTTTGGTGAGAGCCCTTATGACCCAGTCACCTCTTAAAGGCCCTGTGTCTCAATACTACCACATCGAGGATTAAGTTTCAACATGAGTTTTGGAGGAGGCAGACATTCAAACCGTGATACCAGCTTATCAGTTTCCTGCCTTTGGTGTCATATCTAAAAAGTCATTGCCAAATTCAAGGTCAGCTAGAGTTGCTCCTATGTTTTCTTCTAGGAGTTTTCAAGTTTTGTATTTTAGATTTGGGTCTGTGATTCATTTTGAGTTTTTTTTTTGTGGTGAGTTTAAGGTCTGTTTAGATTTCTTTATTTATTTTTTTGCATGTGAATGTCCAGTTGTTTCAGTACAATTTGTTCAAAAGGCTATCTTTTCTCCCTTGTATTGCCTTTGCTCCATTTTCAAAGATTAGTTGTTTTTTTTTTTTTTTTTTTTTGAGACGGAGTCTTGCTCTGTCACCCAGGCTGGAGTGTAGTGGCACAATCTTGGCTCACTTCTGCCTCCTCCTCCCAGGTTCAGGCAATTCTCCTTTCTCAGCCTCCTGAGTAGCTGAGATTACAGGCACATGCCACCATGCCCTGCTGATTTTTGTATTTTTAGTTGAGATGGGGTTTTGCCATGTTGGCCAGGCTGGTCTTCAACGCCTGGCCTCAAGTGATCCACCTGCCTGGGCCTCCCAATGTGCTGGGATTACAGTCATGAGCCACCGTGCCCAGCCAGTTGATACATTTATGTGAATCCATTTCTGGGCTCTCTGTTCTGTTTCATTGATCTGTTTATCTGTTCTTTCACCCTTGTCTTGATGAGTGTTGCTTCATAGTAAGTGTTGGGTTGGGCAGTGTTAGTCCTCCAACCTTGTTCTTTCCTTCCATATTGTGTTGGCTATTCTAAGTCTTTTGTCTTTCCACATAAACTTTGGAATCAGTTTGTCAATACTCACAGAATAACTTCCTGAAATTTTCATTGAGATTGCGTTGACCCTATAGATCAAGTTGGGAATAACTAACATTGTTACAATATTGAGTCTTCCTGTCTGGGGGCGGTGGCTCACACCTGTAATCTCATTGCTTTGGGAGGCAGAGGCAATAGGATTTCTTGAGGCCAGGAGTTAAAAGAATAGCCTGGGCAGCATAGCGAGACCCTGTCTCTACCAAAAAAAAAAAAAAAAAAAGTTAGCCATGTATGGTGGCATATTCCTGTAGTCCCAACTACTGGGGAGACTAAGGCTGGAGTATCACTTGAGCTCAGTAGCTTGAGGTTACAGTGAGTAATGATTGCACCATGCACTCTAGCCTGGGTGACAGAGTGAGACCCCATCTCTTTGAAACAACAACAACAACAAAAGCTTGAGTCTTCCTATCCATGAACATAGAATATGTATTTATTTAGTTATTTGATTGCTTTAATCAGAGTTTTGTAGTTTTTGTCATAAAGGTCTTACACAAATTTTGTTAGGTTTATACCTAAGTGTTTCATATTTTGTGGTACTAATGTAAATTGTGTTATGTCAAATTCTGTGTGTTCATTGTTGGTTTATAGGAAAGTAGTTGGCTTTTGTATGTTAACATTGTATCCTGCAACCTTGTTATAATTGTTTATTGGTTCCAGTAATTTTTTTGTTAATTCTTTTGGCTTTTCTACATAAATGATCCTGTCATCTGTGAACAAACACAGTTTTATGTCTTCCTTTTCAATCTATATACTTTTTATTTCCTTTCCTTATTTTATTGCATTAGCTAGGACGTCTAGTATGATATTGAAAAGGAGTATTGAGGGGACACCATTGTCTTGTTCCTTATCTAAGTGGGAAAGCTCCTAGTTTCTCACCATGAAGAATGAGGTTAACAGTAGGTTTTTTGTAGATATTGCTTGTCAAGTTGAGGAAATTTCTCTCTAAATTTACTGAGAGTCTTTATCATGAATGAGTGTTGTATTTTGTCAGATGCTTATTCTGCATCTATTTATATGATCACATGACTTATTAGCCTGTTCCTGTGATGAATTACATTAATGATTTTAAATGTTGAGCCAGCTTTGCATATCTGGGATAAATACCTTGGTTGTAGTGTATAGTTCTTCTGTTACATCGTTAGGTTTAGTATACTCATATTTTGTTGAAGGTAATTGCATCTATGTTCATGATCGATATTAGTCTGTAGTTTTCTTGTAATGTCGTTTCCTGGTTTTGGTATTAGAGTGATACTAGCGTCATAGAATGAGTTTGGGAGTATTTCCTCTGCTTCTATCTTCTGAAAGAAATTGTAGAGAATTGGTATAATGTCTTTTTAAAAGTTTGGTAGAATTCACCAGTGAATGTGTCTGGACCTGGTGCTTTCTCTTTTGGAAGGTTATTATTGATTCAATTTCTTTAATAATATAGGCCAATTAAGATTGCCTATTTCTTCTTGTGTGAATTTTGGTAGATTATGGCTTTCAAGGAATTGGCTCATTTAATCTCAATTATCAAATTCATGAGCAAAGCATTGTTCATAGTATTCCTTAATTATTCTTTTAATGTTTATGGAATCTGTACTATTGGTTGTCCCCTCTTTCTCTCTCTTTTTTTTTTTTTTTTTTCTGTGATGGAGTCTCGCTCTGTGGCCCAGGCTGGAGTGCAGTGGCATGATCTTTGACTCACTGCAATCTCCGCCTCCAGGGTTCAAACGATTCTTGTGCCTCAGCCTCCTGAGTAGTGTGCCTGGCTAATTTTTGTATTTTTAGTAGAGATGGGGTTTCGCCATGTTGGCCAGGCTGATCTGAAACTCCTGACCTCAGATGATCCGCCTGCCTCAGCCTCCCAAAGTGCTGGGATCAAAGGTGTGAGCCACCACGCCCGGCCACCTCTTTCATTTCTAATATTAGTAATTTGTGTCCTGTGTCTTTCTTCCTTAGTTAACCTGCTAGAAGCTTATCAGTTTTATTGATCACATTGTTCATAGTATTTCTTTCTTTCTTTTTCTTTTTTCTTTTTTTTTTTTTTTTTTTTCGAGACAGAGTCTCAGTCTGTCGCCCAGGCCGGAGTGCAGTGGTGCGATCTTGGCTCACTGCAACCTCCGCCTCCTAGGTACAAGCGATTCTCCTGCTTCAGCCTCCCAAGTAGCTGAGGTTACAGGTGCTCGCCACCATGCCTGACTAATTTTTGTATTTTTAGTAGAAACGGGGTTTCACCATGTTGGCCAGGCTGGTCTTGAACTCTTGACCTCAGGTGATCCGCCTGCCTGGACCTCCCAAAGTGCTGGGATTACAGATGTGAGCCACTGTACCCGGCCTGTTTATAGTATTTCTTTATTATCCTTTTAATGCTCATGGAATCTGTAGTATTGTCTCTGCTTTCATTTTCTAATATTAGTTGTTTGTGTCATGTCTCTTTTTTTCTTAGTTAACCTGCTAGAAGCTTATCAATTTTATTGATCTTCTCAAATAACTAGCTTTTGGTTTTCTCTATTTCCTGTTTTCAATTTTGTTGATTTCCACTCTAATTTTTATTTTTCTTCTCTTTACTTTGGATTTAATTTGTTCTTCCTTTTCTAGTTTCCTAAGGTAGAAGCTTAGATTACTGATTTTAGATTTTTCTCATTTTCTATGTATGTATTTAAGGCAGCAAAATTCCCCCTAAGCATTTCATTTGTTGCATCCCACAGTTTTGATGTTGTATTTTCATTTTCATTGTGGTTAAAATATTTAAAAAATTCTCTTGAGATTTATTTTTTGACCCATCTGTCATTTGGAAGTGTGTTGTTTAATCTCCAAGTATTTTGGGATTTTTCTACCTGTCTCTCTGTTATTGATTTTTAGTTTAATTCGATTGTGGTCTGAGAGCAGATATTGTGTATTTTTATTCTTTTTTTTTTTTTTTTTTTTTTTTATTATACTCTAAGTTTTAGGGTACATGTGCACATTGTGCAGGTTAGTTACATATGTATACATGTGCCATGCTGGTGCGCTGCACCCACTAATGTGTCATCTAGCATTAGGTATATCTCCCAATGCTATCCCTCCCCCCTCCCCCGACCCCACCACAGTCCCCAGAGTGTGATATTCCCCTTCCTGTGTCCATGTGATCTCATTGTTCAATTCCCACCTATGAGTGAGAATATGCGGTGTTTGGTTTTTTGTTCTTGCGATAGTTTACTGAGAATGATGGTTTCCAATTTCATCCATGTCCCTACCAAGGATATGAACTCATCATTTTTTATGGCTGCATAGTATTCCATGGTGTATATGTGCCACATTTTCTTAATCCAGTCTATCATTGTTGGACATTTGGGTTGGTTCCAAGTCTTTGCTATTGTGAATAGTGCCGGAATAAACATACGTGTGCATGTGTCTTTATAGCAGCATGATTTATAGTCCTTTGGGTATATACCCAGTAATGGGATGGCTGGGTCAAATGGTATTTCTAGTTCTAGATCCCTGAGGAATCGCCACACTGACTTCCACAATGGTTGAACTAGTTTACAGTCCCACCAACAGTGTAAAAGTGTTCCTATTTCTCCACATCCTCTCCAGCACCTGTTGTTTCCTGACTTTTTAATGATTGCCATTCTAACTGGTGTGAGATGATATCTCATAGTGGTTTTGATTTGCATTTCTCTGATGACCAGTGATGATGAGCATTTCTTCATGTGTTTTTTGGCTGCATAAATGTCTTCTTTTGAGAAGTGTCTGTTCATGTCCTTCGCCCACTTTTTGATGGGGTTGTTTGTTTTTTTCTTGTAAATTTGTTTGAGTTCATTGTAGATTCTGGATATTAGCCCTTTGTCAGATGAGTAGGTTGCGAAAATTTTCTCCCATGTTGTAGGTTGCCTGTTCACTCTGATGGTAGTTTCTTTTGCTGTGCAGAAGCTCTTTAGTTTAATTAGATTCCATTTGTCAATTTTGTCTTTTGTTGCCATTGCTTTTGGTGTTTTGGACATGAAGTCCTTGCCCACGCCTATGTCCTGAATGGTAATGCCTAGGTTTTCTTCTAGAGTTTTTATGGTTTTAGGTTTATCTGATCTTTGACAAACCTGAGAAAAACAAGCAATGGGGAAAGGATTCCCTATTTAATAAATGGTGCTGGGAAAACTGGCTAGCCATATGTAGAAAGCTGAAACTGGATCCCTTCCTTACACCTTATACAAAAATCAATTCAAGATGGATTAAAGATTTAAACGTATTTTTATTCTTTTAATTTTGTTTTATGGCCCAGAATGTGTTCTATCTTAGTGACTGTTCCATGTGAGTTTGAGAAGAATGTGTAACCTGCTGTTGTTGAATTAGTCTATAGATGTTAGTTATATTCATTTGGTTAATGGTGTTGTTGAGTTCAGCTATGTCCTTACTGCTTCTGATTCTGATCTGTTTGCTTCTGATAGAGGAATGTTGAAGTCTACAACTCTAATAGTGGATTCATCTATTTTTCCATGTAATTCTATCAGTTTTTCACTCACACATTTTGATGTTCTGTTAGGCACACACACACATTTAGTATTGTTATGTCTTTTTGGATAATTGGCCATTTATCATTATGTAATGCTAATCTTTATCTTTGAGAACTTTCCTTGCTCTGAAGTCTGCTCTGTCTAAAATTAATATAGCTACTCCCACTTTCTTTTGATTAGTGTTAGCATGACATCTCTTTCTTTATCCATTTACTTTTAATCTATATGTGTCTTTATATTGAAAGTGAGTTTCTTGTAGACAACATAGTTATGTCTTGTTTTTTTGATCCACTCTGACAATCTTTCTTTTAATTAGTGCATTTAGACCATTGATGTTTAGAGTGATTATTGATGTAGTTGGTTTAATATCTACAATATTTGTTATTCTTTTCTATTTGTTGCCCTTGTTCTTTGTTCCTATTTTTGTCTTCTACTCTTTTTATGCCTTTTGTGGTTCTAATTGAGCATTTTATATGATTCCATTTTCTTTCCTTTTTTGATATGTGAATTATATTCCTTTGTTGCTTTTTTAAGTGGTTGCTGAGAGTTTGCAATGTGCATTTAGTGGTATAGTGTTACTTTTAAGTTGTTAGTGGTATAGTGTTACTTTTAAGTGGTTGCTTGAGAGTTTGCAATATACATCAGTAGTGTGAGTACCTTATTATAATAAAATAATCCTAATTTCTCCCTCCTCTCCATTGTATCATTGCTGATACATGTCACTTCTACATAAGCATGCACATATATATGTATATATGTATATAGACACATATGTATGCATATATAATTTAATACATTGTTGCTATTATTATTTTGAACAACTGTTTCCTGGTAAGTTAATTAGGAGTAAGAAAAAGAAAAGTTTTTAATTTACCTTCACTTGTTCCTTCTCCAGAGTTTTTCCTTGCAGATCTGAGTTTCTGAGCTATATAATTTTCCTTTTCCTTTTTTTATTTTTATTTTTAAAGAACTTCTTTTAACATTTCTTTCAAGGCAGGTCCACCAGCAACACATTCTGTCAATTTTTGTTTCTATGAGGAAGTTTTTATTTCTTTTTTACTTTTGAAGGATAATTTCACAGGATACAGAATTCTAGGCTGGTGGGGTTTTTTTTTTTCTCATTATTTTTTATTTTTCTTGAGATGGAGTCTCGCTCTGTCACACAGGCTAGAGTGCAGTGGCATGATCTTGGCTCACTGCAGTCTCCACCTCCCGAGTACAAGCAATTCTTCTTCCTCAGCCTCCCGAGTGGCTGGGATTACAGGCGCCTACCACCAAGCCCAGCTAATTTTTGTATTTTTAGTAGAGACGGGGTTTCACCATGTTGGCCAGGTGGTCTCGAACTCCTGATCTCAGGTGATCCACCTGTCTTGGCCTCCCAAAGTGCTGGGATTACAGGCATGAGCCACCACACCCGGCCTTTTCTCACTACTTTAAATATTTCATTCCACTTTCTTCTTACTTACTTTCTTTTTTTTTTTTTAATATTGTTATACTTCAAATTCTGGGTTACATGTGCAGAAAGTGCAGTTTTGTTTCATAGGTACGCACATTCCATGGTGGTTTGCTGCACACATCAACCCGTCACCTACATTAGATATTTCTTCTAATGTTATCCCTCCCCTAGCCCCCCACCCCCCACAGGCTCCAGTGTATGATGTTCCCCTCCCTGTGTCCATGTGTTCTCATTGTTCATCTCCTACTTATGAGTGAGAACATGTGATGTTTGGTTTTCTGATCTTGTGATAGTTTGCTGAGAATGATGGTTTCCAGCTTCATCCATGTCCCTGCAAAGGACATGAACTCATCCTTTTTTATGGCTGCAGAGTATTCCATGGTGTATATGTGCCACATTTTCTTTATGCAGTCTATCATTGATGGACATTTGGGTTGGTTCCAAGTCTTTGCTATTGTGAATAGTGCTGCAGTAAACATATGTGTGCATGTGTCTTTATAGTAGAATGATTTATAATCCTTTGGTTATATGCCCAGTAATGGGATTGCTGGGTCAAATGGTATTTCTAGTACTAGATCCTTGAGGAATCACCACCCTGTCTTCCACAATGCTTGAACTAATTTATACTCCCACCAACAGTGTAAAAGCATTCCTATTTTTCCACAGCCTCTCCAGCATCTATTGTTTCCTGGCTTTTTAATGATCACCATTCTAACTGGCGTGAGATAGTATCTCATTGTGGTTTTGATTTGCATTTCTCTAATGACCTGTGATGATGAGCATTTTTTCAAATGTCTGTTGGCTGCGTAAGTGTCATCTTTTGAGAAGTGTCTGTTCATATCCTTTGCCCATTTTTTGATGGGGTTGTTTGCTTTTTTCTTGTAAATTTATTTAAGTTCTTTGTAGATTCTGGATATTAGCCCTTTGTCAGATGAATAGATTGCAAAAATTTTCTCCCATTCTGTAGGTTGCCTCACTCTGATGATAGTTTCTTTTGCTGTGCAGAAGCTCTTTAGTTTGATTAGATCCCATTTGTCAATTTTGGCTTCTGTTGCCATTGCTTTTGGAGTTTTAGACATTTTGCCCATGCCTATGTCCTGAATGGTATTGCCCAGGTTTTCTTCTAGGATTTTTATGGTCCTAGGTCTTATGTTTAAGTCTTTGATCCATCTCGAGTTGATTTTTGTATAAGGTATAAGGAAGGGGCCCAGTTTCAGTTTTCTGCATATGGCTAGCCAGTTTTCCCAACACCATTTATTAAATAGGGAATCTTTTCCCCATTGCTTGTGTGTGTCAGGTTTGTCAAAGATCAGATGGTGGTAGATGTGTGGTGTTATTTCTGAGGCCTCTGTTCTGTTCCATTGGTCTATATCTCTGTTTTGGTACCAGTACCATGCTGTTTTGGTTACTGTAGCCTTGTAGTAAAGTTTGAAGTCAGGTAGCCTGATGCCTCCAGCTTTGTTCTTCTTGCCCAGGATTGTCTTGGCTATGCAGGCTCTTTTTGGTTCCATATGAAGTTTAAAGTAGTTTTTTCCAATTCTGTGAAGAAAGTCTGTGGTAGCTTGATGGGGATAGCATGGAATCTATAAATTACTTTGGGCAGTAAGGACATTTTCATGATATTGATTCTTCCTATCCATGAGCGTCGAATGTTTTTCCATTTGTTTGTGTCCTCTCTTATTTCCCATTATTATTGTGTGGGAGTCTTAAGTCTCTTGATAGGTCTCTAAGAACTTGCTTTTTGAATCTGGGTGCTGCTGTATTGGGTGCATATGTATTTAGGATACTTAGCTCTTCTTGTTGAATTGATCTCTTTACCATTACGTAATGGCCTTCTTTGTTTCTTTTGGTCTTTGTTGGTTTAAAGTCTGTTTTATCAGAGACCAGGACTGCAACCCCTGCTTTTTTTTTTGCTTTCCATTTGCTTGGTAGATCTTCCTCCATCCCTTTATTTTGAGCCTATGTGTGGCGTTGCACGTGATGTGGTTCTCTTCAATATAGCACACTGAGGGGTCTTGACTCTTTATCCAATTTGCCAGTCTGTGTCTTTTAATTGGGGCATTTAGCACATTTACATTTAAGGTTAATATTGTTATGTGTGAATTTGATCCTGTCATTATGATGCTAGCTGGTTATTTGGCCTGTTAATTGATGGAGTTTCTTCATAGCATTGATGGTCTTTACAATTTGGCATGTTTTGCAGTGGCTGGTATTTAGTGTTTAGTGATTCCTTCAGGAGCTGTTGTAAGGCAGGCTTGGTGGTGACAGAATCTCTCAGCATTTGCTTGTCTGTAAAGGATTTTATTTCTCCTTCACTTATGAAGCTTAGTTTGGCTGGATATGAAATTCTGGGTTGAAAATTCTTTTCTTTAAGGATGTTGATTGGCCCCCACTGTCTTCTGGCTTGTAGGGTTTCCGCAGAGAGATCCGCTGTTATTCTGATGGGCTTCCCTTTTGTGGGTAACCCAGCCTTTCTCTCTGGCTGTCCTTAACATTTTTTCCTTCATTTCAACCTTGGTGAATCTGACAATTACGTGGCTTGGGGTTGATCTTTTTGAGGAGTATCTTTGTGTTGTTCTCTGTATTTCCTGAATTTGATTGCCCTGCCTTGCTAGGTTGGGGAAGTTCTCCTGGATAATATCCTGAAGAGTGTTTTCTAACTTGGTTTCCTTCTCCCCATCACTTTCAGATACACCAATCAAATGCAGATTTGGTCTTTTCACATAGTCCCATATTTTCTTGGAGGTTTTGTTCGTTTCTTTTCACTCTTTTTTTCTCTAATTTTGTCTTCTCACTTTATTTCATTAATTTGATCTTCAGTCACTGATATCCTTTCTTCCACTTGATTGGCTCAGCTATTGAAGCTTGTGTATGCTTCATGAAGTTCTCGTGCTGTGGTTTTCAGCTCCATCAGGTCATTTAAGCTCTTCTCTACACTGGTTATTCTAATTAGCCATTCGTCTAACCTTTTTTCAAAGTTTTTAGCTTCCTTGCGATGGGTTAGAACATGCTCAGAGAAGTTTGTTATTACTGACCTTCTGAAGCCTACCTCTGTCAATTTGTCAAACTCATTCTCTGTCCAGTTTTGTTCCCTTGGTGGCGAGGAGTTGTGTTCCTTTGGATGAGAAGAGGCGTTCTGGTTTTTGGACTTTTCAGCCTTTCTGCTGTGGCTTCTCTCCATCTTTGTGGTTTTATCTACCTTTGGTCTTTGATGTTGGTGACCTACGGATGGGGTTTTGGTGGGTATGTCTTTTTTGTTGATGTTGATGCTCTTCCTTTCTGTTTATTAGTTTTCCTTCTAATAGGCCCCTCAGCTGCAGATGTGTTGGAGTTTGCTGGAGGTCCACTCCAGACCCTGTTTGCCTGGGTTTCACCAGCGGTGGCTGTAGAACAGCAAATATTGCTGCCTGATCCTTCCTCTAGAAGCTTCGTCCCAGAGAGGCACCCGCCTGTATGAGGTGTCTGTCAGTCCCTACTGAGAGGTGTCTTCCAGTCAGGCTACACAGGGGTCAGAGACCCATTTGAGGAGGCAGTCTGTCCGTTATCAGAGCTCGAACACCGTGCTGGGAGAACAGCTGCTCTCTTCAGAGCTGTCAGACAGGGACATTTAAGTCTGGAGAAGCTGTCTGCTGCCTTTTATTCAGACGTGGCCTGTCCCCAGATGTGGAATCTAGAGAGGCAGTAGGCCTTGCTGAGCTGTGGTGGGCTCCGCCCAGTTGGAGCTTCCTTGCCACTTTGTTTACACTGTGAGCATAGAACCACCTACTCAAGTGTCAGCAGTGGCAGATGCACCTCAGCAAACTCCCACGTCCCAGGTCAATCTCAGACTGCTGCGCTAGCAGTGAGCAAGGCTCCGTGGGCATGGGACCTGCTGAGCCAGGCACGGGAGGGGATCTCCTGGTCTGCCAGTTGCGAAGACCGTGGGAAAAGCACAGTATTTAGGCAAGAGTGTACTGCGCCTCCAGGTACAGTCACTCACGGCTTCCCTTGGCTAGGAAAGGGAAATCCCCTGACCGCTTGCATTTCCCAGGTGAGGTGACGACCTGCCCTGCTTCGGCTTGCCCTCCGTGGGCTGCACCCACTGTCCAACCAGTCCCAGTGAGATGTACCAGGTACCTCAGTTGGAAATGCAGAAATCACCATCTTCTGCGTTGATCTTGCTGGGAGCTGCAGACCAGAGCTGTTACTATTCGTCCATCTTGGAAGCAACCCTCTCTTCTTACTTTCATGGTTTCTGGGGAGAAATTCTGGGGATGTAAATCTTATCTTTGTTCTTCTATAGGTATGGTGTTTTTATCTTCTGGCTTCTTTCAGGATTTTGTCTTTATCTTAGATTTTCTGTAGTTGCGTATGATTTGGCATGTCTAAGTGTAGGTTTTTTGTTTGCTTTTTTTGTTTTTTCAGCATCTCTCCTGCTTGGTGTTCTCTTAACTTCCTGGGTATCTGGTTTGATATCTGACATTAATTTGGGGGAAATTCTCAGTCATTATTATTTTAAGTATTTCTTCTGTTCCTCTCCTTTCCTTCTGGTACTCCCATTTCACACATGTTACACTCTTTGTAATTGTCCCACAGTTCTTGAGTTTTGTGTTTCGTCCTCTGTTTTTTTTTCCCCCACTCTTTTTACTCTTTGCTTTCCAGTTTTTGAGGTTATTATTGAGATATCTTCAATCTCAGATATATATATTTTTTGCTATGTCATCTGCTTTATTGATTAGAGCTCTTAGCATGTTAATCAGAGTTGTTTTCAGTTCCTGATCTGATAATTCCAATGTCTTGCCATATCTAAGTCTTGTTCCGATGCTTGCTCTGTCTTTTCAAACTACATTATTTGCCTTTTAGTATGCCTTGTGATCTTTTCTTTGTAGCTGGACATGATGTACTGTGTAAAAGGAGCTGTTTAATATAGGGTTTTATAATGTGGTGGCAAGGTGTGGAGGAAGGGGAGGTCTTCTATAGTCCTCTGATTAGATCTCAGTCTTTTAGTGAGTCTGTGCCTCTGGATTATCAGCTTCACAAGTGCTTCTCAGTACTCCCTTAGGTGGGACAGTATAGTTAAGAGTAGGCTAGAGTTGGGTATTTCCTGTCTGCCACATGGAAGGCTAGAACTGCCTAGAGTTAGGTATTTCTTTTCCTCCACATGGAAGGCTAAGGCTGACTGGGATTAGGTATTAACCTACCCCCAAGTTAGTTAGGGGTAGTTAGCAAGTTAGTCTCTGGCTAAATAGTTTCTCCTGAGGGCAAGCCTTGTTAAAAACAGAATGTTGTGGTGCATTTCAAAATGGTTGTTTTTCCTCTCTTTTGGAAGTAGGGGGGATTTTTCTGATATTCACTGTGAGAACTTAGGTCAAGCTCCTGGAGGTAAAAGTCAGAAAAAGTGCGATAGGCCCCTTCTGACTGGGTTCCCTGGAGTTTTTGACTCTCAGACTTTCTTACACTGATCCTCCAACAATTTGTCAATTACAGGTCAGGTTTTTCTTCCCTTGCACTGGTTCCCTCAACCTTCTGCTCATGGGTTTCTACTATGGTAAGTTGTGATTCTCTGTATCCTTCTGTATGTCCCTCCAATTTGGGGGGCAGTGGGGCAGTGGTTTGCCTTATGACCTCATTTCTTTTAAGGAGCTAAGATTAGTTGTTGTTGTTGTTTTTTCAATTTGTTCGCTTTTTACTTATTTTGGAGTGATGACTTCCAAGCTTCTTTCAGGTCAGATCAGAAACCAGACGTCTCTTCTTCCCATTTTTTTTTAAGTTGCTATACAGTATTCCTTTCTGGAGGCAAACAGTATTATAAGTTTTAGTGCATCCTTGCAGAGGTAGCCTGCTATTTAAAAATCTTTAAAAATTGAGATGAGATTACTGATTCCAAAGGCACATTCCATTAAAAAAACCTTTATTTCTGTAGTTATAATCCATTTCTCACTATTGATGTCATAGTTGTATGTTTTTCTGTCCATCTCTTAAACTACCTGCCCCTGTCAGATTTTCTTGATTTGCTGAATTTTGATAATTTTATTGGAATTTTCAAATAACTAATATACTAGTCAAGGTAGGTTAGCTTATGCTGCAATAAGAAAAGAATCCTCCAATTATCAGTCGCTTAAAACACAAAGATTATTATTTCTCACTCATATCAAGTTTGTACCTTTCAGGGAAAGTTGTCTTTCCTGTAAAGGCACTATGAGTCATCAATTACTGAGACAGCAGAAGAGAGAGGTTCAGAGCCCAACAATTAAATGCATCTGTGGAAGTTTTTTGTTTGTTTGTTTGTTTGTTTTGGAGATGGAGTCTCGCTCTGTCGCCCAGACTGGAGTGCTGTGGCATGATCTCGGCTCACTGCAACCTCTGCTTCCCGGGTTCAAGCAATTCTCATGCCTCAGCCTCACTAGTAGCTGGGATTACAGGCATACGCCACCATGCCTGGCTAATTTTTGTATTTTTAGTAGAGACAGGGTTTCACCATGTTGGCCAGGCTGGTCTCAAATTCCTGATCTCAAGTGATCCACCCACCTCGGCCTCCCAAAGTGCTGGGATTACAGGCATGAGCCACTGCACCCGCCCGCATCTGTGGAAATTTATAGGTCACTTCTCCTCACATTTCATTGACCAACAGAAGTCACATGACTGTGTCTAACTTCAACAGGGAAAAGGAAAGTAAAATTCTTCATTATGCCCAGAAGGAGAAGGGAAAATGGATAATGTTGTTAATGGCCTCTGTATCTTTATTTTTCTGATTACTTGCTTCGTGTTTTCTTGAAAGTGTCTTGTCATCTCTAACCCTGATTGCAGGTGCTGGTTTGGTAAGCCTGACCACCTCACCACCTACCCCCACAAAAAGAACTTATATCTTAGAAAAGCAAGTAGTTTTGCCTTTCACATCTTTGTTAAGAATTTCAAGGTCATTATCTCTGAAATTCTGAGAATTTCACCAGTCCTCTGTATTTGCCAATTCGTGTCATAAGATTGGTGATTTTTTTTCCTATATAGTAGTTTCCCCTTATCCTCAGTAGATGTGTTCCAAGACCCCAGTGGAAGCCTGAAACCTCAGATAGTGCCAAATCCTATGTATACTATGTTTTTTTCCCATACATACATACCTCTGATAAAGTTTAATTCCTAAATAAGGCGCAGTAAGAGATTAACAACAATAGTTAATAAGATAGAACAATTATAACAATATGCCAGCATCACTACTCTTGTGCTTTGGGACCATTGTTAAGTAAAATAAAGATTACTTGAACACAAGCACTGTGATACTGCGAGAGTGGATCTGATAACTGAGACTGCTCCTAAGTGACTAGCGGGTGGGTAGCATAGACAGTGTGGATGTGGACACACTGGACAAAGGGATAATTCATGTCCCGGGTGGGCAGGATGGAGCAGGACAGCGTGACATTTCATCACGCTACTGAGAATGATGTGCTATTTAAAACTTATGAATTGTTTATTTCTGAAATTTTCCATTTAATATTGTCGACTGAGGTTAACTGAAACCTTGAAAAATGAAACCTGGATAAGGGGATACGGTTGTACACTTTATTTAGTGTTGATAAATAGCACAGGCTGTATCAGAGCTTGACACGAGATTGTATTCTCTCTTTCTCTCAGAGGATAGACAGAGTCTGTTGAAGATTGCAGTTGGTATTTAGTGCAGAGAATTTGATGGAGGGGAGCAATTAAGTGTGGGCCATTTTCTTCTGGGCCTCACCTTAGTGGAGTAGACTGGCAGGCAGGCTCTTGGAGTGGATGGAGCACAGCAGATATGGCCGATGTAAGGGCAGATTGATTCTCTTTTGTCTCATGTCAAAATACCTTTGTGAAAATTCAGAAGTTTCAGATGAAGGGTGAGACCCCTTTCTAATTTCTGATGATGCTTGAATTTTCTCTTTTATATTGATTTAATCATCTTGAGGGATAATGGAACAGGGAGCTAAGTCAAATGTGTATTCTTAGGTTATCATCTGAATATTGCTTCTCCTTTTAAGCTTGTTTGGATAAAGTTTGATTCCAGTATTTAACAGGAATAAAAACAGTTTCAAATTTGTTATTTTTTGGAGACATTAGGTTCCATCTCAACATGGATGTAAAATAAGATATTCAAATATATTGGATTTATGTGCTGAAGGCAACAAGTTTCCCTCCCTTTCTCTATTATTCTACCCTACTCTAAAGTCCTCTAAAGGCAGCACGATGGAAATTTATGAAGTTGTTAATACGCATTTTATTGAATAAACTGTTTGAAAGTATGCATATTGGTGTTTTTCTTTGATTCTTGTCATTTATTATCAGGGGCACCGTTTGTTTAATCAACAAATGTTTATTGAGTTCCTGTGACCCAGGAGATGATGTTGGGGATTGTAAATATCCACAAGACAGCCCCCCCGCACCCAACTCCTGGAGCTTGCTTTTTAGTCGGGTAGACAAACAGTAAACAAATATTGGATGATAAACTCTATGATGAGAAATTAAGTTTGCTTAGAGAGTGATGGTGTCCGTTATTTTAGATAGGGTATGTGGGAAGTCCTCTTTGGAGGGTAGTATTTGCAATGATCTGAACAAAGGGAGGGAGCAAGCCATGCCCAGGGGAAAAGCTTTCCAGGCAGAGGGGTTAGCAAGCACACAGGCCCAACATGGAAATAGACTTGAGTTTGAGGGATAGCAGGAAAACTAGTGTGGCTGGAATAGGGGAAAGGAAAAGTCAGAGATGTTTGGCCATGGACTTTTTCCCCTGTCTTTTATGTAAAACTAGTGGAGGACTTTGAGTATTGGTGGAGTGAATACATTTATATTCCATTTATTTTTAAATTTTAATTTTAATTTCAATTTATTTTTTGAGATGGGGTCTTGCTCTGTCTCCCAGGCTGGATTACAGTGGCAGGATCATGGCTTACTAACGTCTGGACCTCCTGGGCTCAAGCAGCCCTCCTGTCTCAACCTCCCAAGTAGCTGGGATTACAGGTGTGTGCCACCACACCCACCTAATTTTTTTTGTTATTATTATTATTATTATTATTATTATTTTATTTATTTTTTTTTTTGTAGAGTTGGGGTCTTACTATATTGCCTGGGCTGGTCTCAAACTCCTGGGTTCAAACAGTCCTCCTGTCTTGGCCTCCCAAAGTATTGTGATTACAGGTGTGAGCTACCATGCCTGGCTATATTTTTAAAAGATCATTCTGGTTACTATGTGGAGAAATGAGAAATGAGGAGATGCAGGAGTATCATCAGCTAAGAGTCTCCTTGAATTGTTTGGGCAGAGATAATGGTGATTCTGTCTAGAGTAGCAGCAGTGGATTTGGAGATAAATGGTCTGAGTTAGGATATACAGTATTTTGAAAATAGGGTTGACAGAACTTGTTGTTGGATTAGATGTGGGGATGTGAAGGAAAGAAAGGAAATACATGTGACTGCTAGGTTTTTGGCATTAGCAACTAAAATAAGGATGGTATTATTTAGTAAGGAGTTTAGTAAGGAGCAAGACTGGGAGCAGGCAAAGATTTTGGTATATTAAGAGTTAAGGCTGGGAACAGTGGCTCATGGCTGTAATCCCAGCACTCTGGGAGGCTGAGCTGGGTGGATTGCTTGAGGCCAGGCATTCGAGACCAGCCTGGGCAACATGGTGAGACTCTGTCTCTACTAAAAATACAAAAATTAGCCAGGCATGGTGCCATATGCCTTTAGTTGCAGCTACTCAGGAGGCTAAGGTGGGAGGATCGCTTGAGCCCAGGAGGTCGAGGCTGCAGTGAGCTGTGATCACACCACTGCACTCCAGCCTGGGTGACAAAGCAAGATCCTGTCTCAAAAACAAAACAAAACAAACAAAAAAAAACCTGTTAGGTTTGAGGTCCTTTAGACAAAACAAAACAAACAAAAAAAAACCTGTTAGGTTTGAGGTCCTTTAGATGTCCAGGAGGATAGTTGAATTTGCTGATGGCATGATCCCTTAGGAGGAGAGAAAAAAAGATGTGAGATTTTTGTCACCGTGAAACTGATATTCTCAGTTTAAAAAGGTAATATTAAGAGAGAATTGGTGTAAGCTGGAAGTATTTCCTACTCCACTGTCCTCAGTGAGCCATTATAATTTTCTTTTATTTTTCTCCTTTTGGCTTGCTTAGTCTTATTGTGTATCATGATGATTTTTATCTTTCACATTTCTGGTAAATGGTGATTATTAGGAAGTTGAACCAATTGTGTATAAAAAATGTAAAAGACATTTAACAAGGAATGTGCTTCCCAAGGCCCATTGTTTACCACAAAAAGGAAACCACTGACTTTTTGTTACATCAGTGAAGATAACATTATTTTGTGAACACAGTACTCCTTTTATTACTAACGTTTTTTGTACTGTGATCAGAAGAAATTATGAAAACAATAAGTTAATGGGAAATGTAGACATGTTACAAGTGAGGATTTATTCAGTGAAAGCCCTTAGAAATCCTGATTTCTCATCATAACATTTCAGATTTCTCTAATTGTAGAGGTAGTTGCTATTAATATAAATTATGGAAAAATATAGCTTGAGAAAGTCAGTAGTGTGTATTCAGTCATTAATTTCTTGGGTTTTAATAAAACGTTTTAACAAATGTTAACAGAAAATGTAGCAATGCATGGTAGTAGGAATATTCACTTTTATTCTGAAGCAGAGGAAGGAAATCTGTATTTTGGTAAATATAGTTACTATTCTAGTGAGCATATATTTATGGTGTAAGTAGACTATCACAACTTAGTATCTGCTTCCCATTGTTAATTCACCCTTAGTAGTAAAGTCCTCAGGCACTACCCTTGATCTTAGCCAGAAGGCAGAGAACAATTCCTCGGGTAAAGTTTGATTAAAAACAACAAAAATTCATAGAAGACAAGGATATAATAATAGAATTTGGGCTCACTGGAGACCAAGGAATTTTATCTTCTACGCTTTACCCAACTTCCCACTCCAAAAACCAGAACAAAAACCCATCTAAATGTATCTTTGGCCATAAAAAAGCCTCCCCATTTCTGAGCATCTAAGAAACGTACATATGGGCTGGGTGCAGTGGCTCACACCTGTAATCCCAGCACTTTGGGAGGCCGAAGCAGGTGGATCACCTAAGGTCAGGAGTTCAAGACCAGCCTGGCCAACATGGTGAAACCTCATCTGTACTAAAACACATAAATTAGCCGGGTGTGGTGGCGGGTGCCTGTAATTCCAGCTACTCAGGAGGCTGAGACAGGGAGAATTGCTTGAACCAGGGAGGCAGAAGTTGCAGTGAGCCATGATCGCGCCACAGCACTCCAGCCTGGGCGACAGAGTGAGACTCCATCTCAAGTGTATGTATGGAAGCAAGAATCTCAGAACAGCTAGAGATGATAAGATGTTCAAGTTTTAAGCTGTGTATATCATAGACACAATTTTGTTGTAAAAATGTGACCCTTCCACTAGTGTAATGACTTCCACCTTTTATTTTTTAATTTATTTTACTTCTTATAGAGATGGGGTCTCCCTATGTTGCCAGGCTGGTCTCAAACTCTTGGGCTTAAGTGATCCTGCCTTGGCCTCCCAAAGTACTAGGATTACAGGTGTGAGCCACCATGCCCAGCCAATCTCAACCATTAAAAAAAAAAAAAAATCTACATATAGTGTGCACATGTGGCACATTTTCCTTATAACATTACTTGTTTTGTACTTCCCCATTCCTGCCCCTCCACTCTCTACCTCTCTGATTCTGGGCTGGTTAGAGGATACAATGGCCATAGGTGTTTACGTTCTAGTTAGGGAGAAAGGTAATAAGGAATTAAATAAGTATATAAAACCAAGCATATGTTAGATAGTGATGAGTTCTATAATGAAAACAAAATGGAAATAGGATAGTGACATGGGAGGCCTACTTGCTATTATTGTATATTCTTCTGGACCTTTTTCTCGTTTGTCAGTTGGGAATGATAATCATCTACCTCCTTAGAGCTGTTTGGACTTAATAAGTTCTGTGTGAAATGCACCTAGCAGAGTAACTGGCAACATACCTAATTATCAAGTACTGCTATTTTCCCTTTCCCTTTCTTTCTGTAATTTGAGTGTTCCAAATCTATGGTGTAGTGCCATAGAATCTATCTTAGCTAGAGTATGTTTAAACTGTGTCCCTGTGTGGTTTTGGAGTTCTTACGGAAACAGTAAATAACAACATAGATGAATCTTGAGGACATCACGCTTAGTGAAATAAACCAGTTACAAAAGAACAAATATTGTCTGATTTTACTTACATAAGGTACCTAGAGTAGTCAGGCCCATAGAGACAGAAAATAGAATGGTGACTGTCAGGTTGTGACAGAGAGAATGGGTTGACTGTAATGGGTATAGAGTTTCAGTTTTGTAAGATGAAAAGAGTTCTGGAGGTGGATGGTGGTGATGGTTGCCCAACAGTGTGAATGTATTTAATGTACACCTTTTTTAAATTTTAATTTTATTTATTTATTTATTTTATTTTTTGAGATGGAGTCTTGCTCTGTTGCCCAGGCCTGGAGTGAAGTGGCGTGATCTCAGCTCACTGCAACCTCCACCTCCCGGGTTCAAGCAGTTCTCCTGCCTCAGCCTTCTGAGTAGCTGGGATTACAGGTGCATGCCACCATGCCTGATTAATTTTTTGTATTTTTAGTAGAGACCGGGTTTTGTCATGTTGGCCAGGCTAGTCTTGAACTCCTGACCTCATGATCTCCCCACCTCGGCCTCGCAAAGTGCTGGGATTACAGGCATGAGCCGCCATGCCCAGCCTTAATGTACATTTTAAAATGGTTAAGATGGTAAATTATATGTATTTTCCTGATTTTTTTTTTTTTTTGAGATGGAGTCTCTCTTTGTCACCAGGCTGGAGTGCAGTGGCACAATCTTGGCTCACTCCAATCTCCACCTCCTAGGTTCAAGCCATTCTCCTGCCTCAGCCTCCCAAGTAGCTGGGATTACAGGTGCACGCCACCACACCCAGCTAATTTTTGTATTTTTAGTAGGGATAGGGTTTCACCATGTTGGCCAGGATGGTCTCGATCTCCGGACCTCGTGATCCACTCACCTCAGCCTCCCAAAGTGCTGGGATTACAGGCGTGAGCCACCACACCCGGCCTTTAGTGCAATTTTTTAAAAAGTCAGTGATAAAATTATTACCTTGCTCCACTCTTCCCATTTTGGTAGATATCAGTGAATCAAGTTGTTCCTGACAAAATCAGGAAATAGAGGGTGGTTGTTCTTGCATCATGAATCTATGTGAGAGTCCCACAAAATGAAAACGTTATTAGGAATTTTTATCATCTTAACTTCCAGAGGTGTCAAACCTTAAACAGTTGATTGGTGAGCAAAGAGCACAGTGTGGCTGGAAAAGATATTTCTGTTGTTTTGTTTTGTCAATTTATAATATATTTATTGGGCACTTAATTGTCTTTAGTGAACAAGAGTAATAACATTTGTTGAGTATTATCTACCAGCAATTATTCTAAGTTTATGCTTAACAATACTTGATACTAATAATGGTTTGTCATCTTTATATAGCAGCCTTGAAGGTGTTATTCTCATTTTATAGTTGAGAAACGTGAGGCTCTGAGTGGTAAGTGACTTTCTACTTTAAAAATGATTTTAGAGGAATTTCAATACATAGAAACGAAGGGAGGGCATTCCACATGGAATAAAGCATGCGTTAGATCTGTGTGTAGGAAGGCATGGGATACATTTGCACAGAGCAAAGAGTTCAGCCTGACTGAAGTCTGGATAACATTCAGGAGATGGGCTGGCAGTTTAGTCTCTTCCATTAGAATCTTGATGAGGTTAATGAATTCCTGAACTGTTTTCTGTAGGCACTGGGAGACACCATTGAATTACCAAGCCTGGGGGTTTTGTGATCAGAGTTATGCGCTAGGAAGCAATATCTGAGATGCATTGGAGTAGTGAGAGAGGGGAGGCCAAAGATCAGTTAGAGTGACCACTCGGAATTCTTTTGCAGTCATTAGAAAGTAGTTGGGGTCAGAGTGCAAATGGCTGATAGTTCAGGAGTAAGTTGAGAGGTGAGAAGGGAGAAGCACAAATGTAAGTGGAAATGAAGTGGAAGGGAGGAGTCTATGGAGCATGAGTGTAAGTAATACTTTTTTTGTGTGTTGGGGGAGCATAATGGTCACCTGAATAGGTAGGTCAGATGTAGGATTAGCTTTGAAAAGGGAGGATTCTGAGAGATATGTGAAAAAAAATGCTTCACACATAGAGCCTATGAGCACAAGAAGGAGGGACTTTAGCAGTCTTGAATTTGAAGGGTTGACATTGGGCAACCTTTTTCAGTTTAAGCAGTTGAAGGTGTCTGTAGAGAGTATGGGACTGTAGTGGGCCTGGGGACTTGAAGAGTAGACAAGTCTCAACCTCTGTAAGAGAGAATTCAAATTTAATAGGGTCAATTTTCACACTTTAGAGTGTGACATGGAATAATAGTAGTGTACTTATGTTCATCTTTTATACAACTAACGTATAGAGTAGAAGTTCTCTTAAACAATATTGGCTATATAATATACCTGCAGTTGGGTTGGCTAAATAGAATATTTGTTTAAAATGAGAAAGAAAGATACATACCTTAAATATTTATACGTGTATGAATGCTTATATTTCACCAGTCTTTTGATGTATAGCCAAGACATTTTCTTTAAAATGTTTTTAAAGTGGCTTGCCTTAATTAAATTACATGATTTAATGTTTAGAGACAAAGCATTTTGTTTTTGCACTCATTTTTGATGTAATATGCAACTAAACTATGTAATTATAGTAAATACAACAGACATAAACTGATTTTAGAATAAACACAATTTACTCTAGGATGCAACTCTGTTATTGGGATAAAAATAAGATGGTGTACCAGAGAGGACTCCCCTTTCCCCTACAAGGA